>NC_000024.10:21369104-21739542 GCF_000001405.40 Homo sapiens
ATTTCCTAGATTACAAGACTAAGGCAAAGAAAGTTTCAATGGCTTGCACAAATTCACATAGAGCTAGATTTGAAGCCAGGTATGTCTATTGTCTATTCATATGATGCCCTTTCTTGCATGGCTCATTTCTTCAACATCTGTAGTACATGTAAATGGATATTTACAATATGTTTTTTCATACTTTGGGATTTTCTGAAAAGCATCATAATTAAAATCAAACACTTAAAATTAAAATCAGGGAAATTCTGCTTGCCACTATTAGGTGACAAAAGGACCATATATATGTAGAAAGCCAGTTGTTAGAAGTAAGTCCCAACATAACAGTAATTATTGATAGAGCAGGAGCACTGGCATCTCAGACAAACACCATCCCTTTAAATTCCATCTCCTTTTCTGGCCACATGTATTTCAACGAAATCACTTCTCTCCTAACTACAAGCAGCCAAAAAGAGCAGACATTACAACGCAAATAAGACATCTCAGCACACAGCGAGGTGAAGGAAAAGTCCCTTGAGTAACTGCCAAATTTTCCCTCATACAATGGGCCCCAGTAAAACACTGGGCCTTGTTAGGCACATTCCTTTCCCTTCAGGTGCACTAAGATAGGGAAGCTAAAAGCAGACTGGGGGAATAAGCATGCAGCTGCAGAAAGATGTATGGGAAGACACACAACTCTCCCTCCCAGACAAGCACAACAAAGAGACACAGAAGCAGCCCAAGCCTTTGATAAACTCTCCCACCCTGAATCCTTAAGAACTGTCAGTCTCTGAGAAAGTGTGCCTCTGACCTAACTTAGCCAGAAGGTGCCCTCTCAGGTTTGTTTTCTCTAAAATAAATCTGTCCTTACTGGTGAGCCACTTTTTGTGTTTCTTCCCTCTCTCTTTACATCTTACAATCATAATAAATGTAAATGATCTAAACTCACCCATTAAATATCAGCTAAACAATACTTACAAGAGAGAAGCCTAATGCATCAAGCACATAGGGACTGAAAATAAAAGGATAGAAATAAATAAACTAGTAAACACTAACCAATAGAAAGATGATATGTTTATATTAATTCTATAAAAACTAAGCTTTAATTCAAGAAAATACATATTTTTAAAGATAGAGAAGGGCCACTTCCTCATGGAAGTCTTCCTTCAACAGGAAGTTAGTTACCTAAAATATGTGTGCACCTAACAAAATAAGTACACGTATACACTCAAAAAGGATAAAATTTCAGGGATATATATTTTTTAATCTACCCATACGGTTATTTTATGTGTCAGTTTGACTGGGTCACTGTGTGCCCAGATGTGTGGTCAGGCATTATTCTGTTGCGTCTGTGAGGGTGTTTCTGGATGAGATAAATGTTTTAGTTCATGAGTAAAGAAAGATATAAGAAATGGGTAGAACTGAAAGGATGAAATAAAGGGGAATTCCTCCTTCCTGACTGTATTTGAGCTAGGACTTTGAATTTTTCTGCCTTTAGATTCAAGCTAAAACCTTGGCTCTTCCCAGATCTAAAGGTTGTCAGCCTTCAAACCGGTAACACAACATTCATTGACCATCCTGGTTCTCTGGCCTTTGGACTCAGACTATTACTGACCATCCTGGTTCTCTGGCCTTTGGACTCAGACTACAACTATACTATCAAACCTCCTAGGTCTCCAAATTGCCAACTGTATTTTTTAGAACTTGTCAGCCTTCATAACTGCAGGAACCAACTTTTTATAATCAATTTCCTTCTCCATATATTTGTGTGTGTCTATATACGTATATTATATGTATATACGTATATAGACACACACACATGCACATATATACACCATGTATATATGTGCATGTGTGTGTGTGTGTGTGTGTATATATATTTGTGGGCATCTGTGTATACACACACACACATATATGCATCATATTTATTTCTGCTACTGCAGAGAATCCAGAATAATACAACCCCCAAAATGGGTGATGTCAATAAAATTGGATTCAATAATATTGGAGATAGGTTACATTTACAAAAGAACCTTAAAAACCAGTTTTGAAAAATTAAACATTCTAATAGATACATATCAACTTCTAAGTACTATAATTAGAGAAAAACAATATTCTCAAACACAAATGAAATTTCACTATTACCATTTTACATTTGGTCACATGATAGTATGTAAGCAAGTCTTAACAAATGTTGAATAATTAGTGTCATAAACACCCCAAGTTCTTTGACCTCATGCAATTAGGTTGAAGTCAGTTACAAATGATTTGTTCAGTCACTGCTTATTAGAAAAATGAAAAAAAAAACACAAGAAAGCAGTTCTCATGAATCTTTTGGATCCATACATCAAACAAAAATAAAAATAAACATATTCAAATGTACTTACATATGTATAGAAAGATGTAAAATCTTACTGTCTTACTGTGTTATTTTTTGTTATAGCAAAAGCCTTGAAATGATGTAATTGTTCATCATGAAATAAGGAATTTCTTTAGTACAGTATTTTGCCTCCAGAAAATGGTATGCGATAGCTGTTCATGTTATTAAAAAGAACAAAGTTGCTCTTTGTTGATAAAGTACTATTAGGGTGAATAAGGTAAGTACAGAACAGCACATAGAATATACACTCATTTTAACTTGAAAATTGTATGTTTTAATATATATTTCCAAGAAATTGAACAAACTTCTATTAGGGACAACTTCAGAATGGAGAATTATACACCTGGGCTCAGGTACCCTGTGGTATTGTCTAATTTCTTTTTCTTTCATATCCTTTATGCATTTACAACTTAAAAATACTACTAAAATGTAGAATGAATCAAAGAACCCTAGTCTAAAAATATGTCTTCTGAAATGTTGCCAAATGGCTTTCAGATCCTTCCACGAGTGACTTTTTTCCTTTGGTTTTAGCACTGGCATGTGCATTGGAATTCTCTTCAACATAATCCATCCTCATGAAAGTATACCATATGATGTCATCAGTAAATTAATGTAAAAAGGAGAATTGGATTTTCAAACCATAATTCTCTGGACTAAAGACACTGGGCGCCAGGGAAAGGAAAGGAGACACATGGAAAGAAGAAGGTAAGCTAAAAGCACTGGTACTTTCTAGGTCTGACAACAAAATTTCAGGTTGAGACTTCACCGAATGATCTTAAAACTCTTGAAAGATTTCCTGCAGTCCTTACTTTTTCAGACAAGAGGGTCAAGCTCAGCAATATTCTTTGTTGTAACTCCTGGTCTGAAGGGAAAAATGATTGAGATTCTGGGGAAAGTGAATAGAGAACTCTGATGAAAGCCATGGTTAACATAGGCCTGAAGCTTAAAAGCATCAAATTTACATAAACATAATTTTTTTAAAAACCAGCATAATTTTAATTTTATTGTAGTCATCATTTGCAGACACTGTTTATTTTGGAGAAGTGATTACAGAAATCTGACAAATCAAGGCCTGATGAGAATACTTAAATTAACCACATTCCAGAAGCCCAAATCTGAAAAGCAAAGGTGTTTCTGATATAACAGCCCAACTTCTGCATTTCTTCTCTATTGGGCACTGTAATATTGCACATATGAAAAACAAAATGGAGTGTTAAATAAAAAGTAATGGGATTAAGAAGAGTCATTGCTTAGTGAGTTAAAACAACACACATATACATGGAGAAGAAGAGGAAGACAGTGATAGAAAACATACTATTGATTTAATTCAGAATAATTTTCATTTTTGTCTATTACCATTAAATAGTACCATTACAATAATATAATTTTGTAATATTGACTTCCAAAATGTGAGTGGTTTTTATTTTGTATATTTGGAAACCTGAGCAAAGTTCTTTATAAAGACATTTCGTTTTTTCCCAAATTTGCTAGCTAATAGCTAGCTAAATGCTGGTTGCCTGAATATCTCTCACTAAGTATTTTGTCTTTTCCCATTGATTTTAATATGAACTTGGTTTGTATTTTCTTGGCATCTTTACTAAATCTACAGATGTTGAAGTTGTTCAGATCTCAGTCATGGATCTTCTTGGGTTTTCTCAAGGCTAAAACACCCTTTCTATACTGACCATCAAAAAATTCCCAACTTCAGGCCAGATCTTTGTTCTACCTTCAGAGTTGGCATATCCAACTGCATGCCTTACATCTCCACATACCAAAACCAGACCTTCCTTTCATCCTCCAAACATGTTTCCTCCTACAGGATTCCACTATTTCAGAAATTCACCGTGCTAAGTATCCTATATTTCAAGATAGAAATGTAGAGGATGATCCCTGAGGCAGCCTTTTCTCAATGAGTCTTCATCATTCACATCCAACACTTCACAGTTTGTGTGTCCTCTCCCAAAATTATAGACTTAGTAAATAAAGTTCCAAAAATATAGACTTAGTAAATAAAGACTCCCCTAAACAACCTTCAATTGTCCACTTTTTTTTTCCAATTCACGTCAGTTTCTTTACAGAACAGCTGGAGTTCTGCAAAGTCAAAGTTAGAGTAAGTACCAGTTTCTGCCAGTATTACTATTTTCTTTATCACGAGATAAATGTTACTTAAAAACGTGCATATGAAGCTATACTAAGTAACAAAGTTAAATGATGTCTCTGTTTTACAGAACAGTACAAGGCAAATAGAATCAATTATTATTATATAATCTTTATAAATACACATACACGTAGTAGATATTTTAGACCCCACTTCATACATCTGCAATTTGGGTCTCAAAATAGTTAGCTTATCTTAAAGTCTAATATCAGATTACAGAACTGCGTCTCTCCACAATATCATGCTATCTCCCTTTAAGAACCAGCTGGGGAATCATTAAGAACAAAAAAAATGTCCTTTTCTTGAACATCTCCAAGGTGAGCCAAAAATCTAAATTTCCTGTGGAGATGTTGTCATGTGCAACTTCACCAAAACCTTTACAAATTTAACTACAGTTATGCTTCAGTGGTCTAGCTGTTTATCCAATACCTGCACACCTGCTTTAAAACAGAAAAATTTGGAAGTTAATACAAATATTAACTCTTATCATTACAGATGCTGACATCTGAAGACGCTTTCCAATATTCCATAAATATGTGAAATTCAAATGTCAGTACAGTCTCCAAAATGTCAATGTAATCTTAGTAGCAGTGGATCATTTACAGAAGGTAATTTTGCCAGAGTGGACAAATTTTTTTTAAAATATTGCTATTTTAGACTTACTGATAGCATTAACTTATACACAGTGTATAGCTAGAAACATATTCCTAAAGAAAATGTTCAGAAATAGGTTTCTTACTTTTTGCTAAATTGCAGACTAGCAGGTTAATTACTCCTGTGAAGTGCTAGATAATTGCGGTAGCATTTACCAAGAATGAGAAAGAAGATAGGGGCATATGACTTGAGAAGGTGGGAGTGAGGAAAAGATAAGGTATTTATTCCTGACTCCTGACTTGATGTTCTTTGTTTGATTCTTTTGTTTTTGTTGTTGTTGTTTTACTTTATCTTATGTGTCAGACCAGAGCTTCACAAACAGCCCCAAATAATTACATGGGTCATAAAAAACATATCCAGACAATTCTCATTATTTTCCATCAAAATCCTGGTTCAATCATTTGAAATGAGACCTGGAGAACCAGCAATTCTAACAAGTATGCTAAGCCATTGTTACCAAAATGACAATTGTGAAATATTTAGAAAACCAGGCAGGAGTCAGGTAATCAATATTTAATGATTGGTTCTTGCTGTAAGGGTAAAGGATTTTATTGAAATGACTATTTAAATTCAAGTTTTATGAAAAAGAATTGAGCACTTTAGTGCTTTCTCATTAATATCTTTAAAGTATGTTTTGCTAAAGTGGAAAAATTATCTTTTCATTAGAAGTTAGCATTATGGCCACAGATGACTTCTGAGTTAGCTTTTTGAAAATCTTCAGATCGTAAATTATAAAAATTATCTTGGGGGTTTATAAAATTCCAGAAAATCACTAAGAAAAATATACATAAAAATACCAGCTTCCAAATCAATCAAAATAACACTTACAAATAGACAAGAAAATATATAGACAATCTAGACCAGTAGAGGAAAACAGGACAGGTAAATGGATCCATTTTAGAAAAGATGAAAATTAAACGACCAATGGAAAATGGCTAGATGTTTGAGCTCATTAGTAATCCGGGGATATAAATCAAAACCACATTACATTCCAACTTTTGTTCATTAGTTTGGCAACTATTAAAATAATAATAACAAGTGTAGTCAAGGGTATAAGGAATGGAAATTTGGTTCCATCAATCACAGGACTATCTAATGATATTTAGTAAAATTAGGGTGACTAAAACTTTGGTTGTTCCAATGGAAACTTTTTTTAGAACAAAGGGTACTAACATATATAAAATTATTTACTATTTATTATATTATTTCCTTACAGGTTTTTTTATTGTATTGATGGATCTATGAAATAGTTATCTTCCAACTATTTTTGAAAATAAAATGCTTCAAAAATTTAAAAACCACAATTACATATCTTGAGGCAAAACAGAAAAATAACTTCTTTATATTTATTATTTAAATATTTAAAATAGTAGGCAGAATAATTATTCTAGAACATATTTACATGAATTAATCTGTTTCTTAACAATAATTATCTGTAGTTCTTTTCTGGAAAATGCATTTATTTTAATATTATATTGATTTTTAAATAAAGTTACTTGAGCTTTTCCGAAGTTGCTTCTTCTTGTCACCAATAAAAGTTATCAACAATGTTTAGCTTTTTAAGTGAACTTTAAAAAGCATTTATCATATTGTTCAATTTTTTTTCTGGCACAATAATATTTCCACAGCTTTATTTTGGTCCCAATGATTGACTAAAAATTCAAACCACATTTTAATTCAATTTTCTGTTTGAAACATCTAAATGGCATTATCCAACTCTTTTGGAATTTATTCTGTTAATGGAGCTTATGGTGCTTACATACTAACAATTACTGATGAATATTTCTTAAGTGCAGAAAAATTAGAATTAAAAATGTACACAATTGATTTTAAAAAATAGTAATTTGATGTAAATAAAAAGCCAGGCCTCTCAGAATTATATGCTTAATTTTTCCGAAGTCACACACTAAACCTGTGAAAATGTCATCTTCAGGCATAGTTTTCTTAATGTAACTAAGTATTACCTTCTTAAATAGCAGCTGGTTTTTCCCCTCAACCCTCCATATTCTGGATTTCAGGATATCACTTTTAGCCTTATGGTCCCAACATGGACTACAAGGCTTTATGATTATGCCATGTGTTTATTGGCACCTTTCAGCCCATAATTTGATTGAAAGGGAAATTGAGCAGTTTTTGATTAAATATCTACTTGGATTTTTATGTCATTGCTGCTGAAACAGATTTTTTTAAAATAGTCATTAGCAAGCAACCTATAAGTAAATAGTTGTAGGTATACGAGAGATGACAAAACCCCTGTGGCCAGACAAATTAACTACGCTTTGTGTGCTAAGCTTCTATTTCTAGCACATAATTTACATATATCTAGCCTACTATTTCCTTCATTTTCCCCAAACCCACCATATGATGATCTGGCAGTGTCACGTGAGTGAGCCACATAGAAAAAAAAAAATATGTTAAATACTTCTTCCATCACCAGGCAAGACTGGAAGAAGCTAGCCATTACTAGCCAATACTGACTCAGCGTATATTGATTTATTGTCAAGCACTCTGCTACATGCTGTCCTTGAAAATGAAGCATTAACTATGTTTTGTATAAACTGTGTTAGGAAAATAAAGTTGATTTTCAGACTTATCCCCCTATTCAAGTCATCATTCTGTTAATATTTTATTTTCCTCACATACTGATAGAGCCCTGACAATAGCTATCTATAATTATTAAACAAAATGAACATTTAACAAACACATGCTGGTTCTAATCAATGTAACTTATAATAATACTTCATTAAAAATGAAAAACCTAAGACAAATGCAAAGCTGATTAGCATGGATGAACAACAGTAACAAAGTGGTAGCCCTGGGAGCTAATGAGAATATTTTATCCCCTCAAAGTTAAAACTGTATGCACACTGCAGTCCAGCCATTCTTCTAGTATTTTCATTATAAACTCTCACACATGTGTACCCAGAGGCATAGGGAAGGTTTTTCATTGTAGCATTTCAATAAACACATAATGGAACATAATGAAATTCAGTAGACTGAGAACTATGCCATCAATAATGGCAGCTCTCAACAAAAATGTTAAGAAAAAAATAAGTGTAATAATATACACCTTATAACATTTACATAAACATTAAAAATTCACAAAGCACCAGTCTCCTGACTGTCTTTAAAAGTATAAAAGATGGGATAGCTACCTTTATGCAAATTAACTAGACTTCAGTTGCACTAATTAAGAGAACAACAGCTGAGTCAATCACATGATAATAGGCAAGTTATAATTGATGTCAAAATTCTACCTTATTATATATTAACTTCAAAATCATATCACAAGTTTTCTTCTATTTTGAGAAACATCACTTTACTAATAAATAGAACAAAGATTGATTTTGCAGATTTGCCTGATTTCAATAGAGCATATTTCATCTTCAAATATGATAAGCACTTTCCAATCCATAAAACACTGTTAGAAAAAACTCTCAATCAGGCTAGACACACATTTCAAAGAGCCTGTGAGTTTGCAAATCATGTATGCCACACTCTCATGCTACCATGATAAAGCATAGCGCTTACATAGTGTTTCTTAGCTTGAAAGAGTCTAGGAACTTTAACTAATTAATCCTTAGACTAACCAGTGAGATAGTGATAAGAAGTTCCATGAATAGATCATTTAACTATATAATCCACACTTCCTTAAATGTAATTCAGCTTATGTGTCACGTTGTGTTTTCCTAGCTTTCTATTTCAATCTTCAGAGAAATAATATTTATGTGTGACTATATCATGCATAGGCATCTATTATGAATACAATTACGTAGACTGCACTCTGTCTGCTACTAAAAGCTAGCAGATATATGCACAGCCAATACATAAAAAAGTCTGGTATATTCTGCTGTATTTTCTTTTCTTATTTATTTCATATCTTATTTTCAGGTATTTCAGAGCAGACTTGTTAGATTTGAGTAGGCTAAAACTTTTTAAAGGAGGTATTACAATTCTCTTTTTAATTTTTATAATTACTTTAGTTTTTTGGAAAGTGTATTAAAATTAAACTTCTATAATTATGCTGAATGTAAAAGAATATTATATGTGAATGCTTCACCCAAATGAAATAATATTTAATATTCAATTTAGAATTCTCTCTAGTAGAATTTCCTTCTCTGCAGGTAGCTGGCTACAGGGGTCTAGCAAAACCAATCTATTTTTGTGGTAAAGGCAAATACTGGGTTACTCAGGAAAGAACTCTTTCAGTCTGCAAAGCACAGTACATCTTTTCTCTGAGCAGAATAAATTCTTATCCAGTTTTACTGTTCAATTAAATATTCAATTGAAGTTAATTGTTTTCTTTTTTATTACAAAGAAAATCTGGTTAATTTCTACTTATTTGTACTAAATATATTCTCTGTAACTACCTAAAATTACATAGACATACACACACACATACAAAAGACTCAGTACAACTGGAAGACCAATGTGTACATGTGATCTGCTAAAAAAAAATAAATAAATAAAAATAAAAAAAATTCTACTCTATTATTTTCATTATAGGATATAGTTGAAATTCGATCAATGGCCAATTTGAAATGAGTGTCTAAGACATCACTGGAGAAAGTATGTACGATGCAAAAAACATTTCTCTATGCATATACTTTATTTGTAAATACATTTATACTGTAGAGTTAAAATGGTTAACTTTTTTGTCAAAGACTGGTACTGGCTAAAATTTTGTTTCTTAATATCTGTATCCCATTTGTGTTTTGTATCTTATAATCCTTTTATGCTATATCTAAGATTTAAAATGTTTTAAACATTGGATGTTTGTCTTTAGTGGAAGTGTGGGGGACCCATGCGGTTGCTGTTTAGGGGATCTCATCTAAAGAAAGAAGTTAGTAACACGCAGCTGAGCAGGCAGTGGGCAGTGGTCCAGTGCTAGGTTTTTAGCTGTGACATGTATAAGTTTCTCAGGAATTCTCAGAAGTATTTGACGGAAATGAAACTGGTTTACCAATGCTCTTTAAAAAAATCAGCTAAAGAATTATCCTATAATGTCCTGAGGAGAAAAATGAGCAAGGCACATAATTTGAGACAGGAAAAATACTAGGTGATTGCAGGAGAAAAGACAATCTCAAGCAGCAGTTTCACATGACAAGCAAAAATACACCCTTAAAGTAGCTGCATAAACTGGAAGCTGATAAGATTCCCACAAACAAGAGTGTGGGCAAAGCTGGATAGCAACAACTGGACCCAATATGGTGTTGGATTTGAGCTAGGTTTCGCCTTGGAGAAAATACCAAAAAAAAAAAAAAAAATTACTGTTGCTACCGTGCAGCCCCACTACTACAGTGCAGCAGAGCCACTGATCAAAGGCAGCAACTGCTTAAGTATGGCTGGTTCACATGTGAAAACTACAAATCCCTGTTTGTTTAATTCATGTTTACTTTTTCTGTTATATAAAGTAAAAATTATTCCTTGCTGACACAGTGTTTCATTTTTCTTCCTTATTCCATACCATTTACTTTCTTCTCACATTAGTTATAGTTTGTAACTTGTTTTGTCAAATATATGCAATGAGATAACACTGCAGTATTGTAGAAAGCACACTGCATTGGAAACAGACTCATATTGCAACAGGAAAATGCTGGAGGGCACACACCTGGAGAACTCAAGGCTCAGGGAAGAGCCTGCAGTGAGAAATCACAGGCCATCCCTGTTCTGGGGGAGAAAGGCCCATCAGGGAACAGTAACACTCATACTTCAGAATTGGGGAACCTGAAGTGACCTAAGAGGTGGGCTTTAATGCTCAGCCACATTCCCTCGCTAGACACACACAGAAGGTCCCCTGCCATTTAACTGATCATCTACAGTGGGATTTATTTTTACTTTTTACCAAGGCTCAACGGATAGCTGCCTCATTGTCTGCAGAAGAACACAGAGCTCTGTGGGGCTGTGGGAAAAGAGAGCTGACCTGCCCCCTTCCAAGAAAAAACCACCCTCCTTAGATGTCAGTGCCTTGAAGGGATGGGTTTGGTGTATTAATAAGAAAGAGTGCATTGGACTGGATACTAAGAAATGTATTGCATCATTTTTCTTGTCCTCTATAACATGAAAGGTCAATTAGAGATATAGAAACAATGGAACATTTCACAGCATGGCCTGACATTTCACTGCACTTTTATCTTTTTAACCATGTACCAAGTTCATTAAATATGCAAAGGTAGGACTGTTATAGGACGAAAGTGGTGGAGTCAGAGGTCACAATCCACAGAAAGCTGACAGTCCCTTGTGGATGGGAACCTGAGTGCTGAATTAGAGTGAGAATCAGCTTTCAGGCTACCAACAGGGGACAAGGAGAATGAAGCTATCAGCAGTTAACAATATTGGATTAATTGAAATGATGTTGACAGAGATTTTGTTAGCTTTACATCAAATTGAGTATAGTACTTCAAATTGAGTATTTGATAAGGGTAAACTCTTGTCAAATTTCCCACGTGTAAAATTGAGGATTAATTCAAAGATTACACAACCCATACATATGAGTATCTCATTTAAATTTATATGCACAAGTGCAAACTTGCAGTGTGTAAATATTTGTCTACATCTAAATGTATCCAAATCCATTGATCAACAGTTAGAAATTTAGAAATTATTCTCCCATTTTACCATTCCCTTTCCTAGAATTTTGTCAGAAATATAATTTTTCCATCTGTTTGAATCCTACTTTCTGGAAGCATGTAATGTATGGATATAGTAAAGCCATGAGAAATCCCAGAGTTTGTATCAGAGAAAACATTAACACTGGTTTTATAAAAGATCCATTTTGAGGAGAAATTTATACTTCACATGACTACAAATACAGAAGTATTAATTCATCGAAAGCTAATATCACTCAATACAATTTGTTTTTAATGTTTTATTTAAAATATGTAATCTCAAACGATTACTCGAGTAGAATAATGTTGTTGGTAATAAACAATTATTAAGAATTTCCTTTAATTTGTTGATTATTTAAAATGTAAGTAAAATACTAAAAAGTAGTAGTACTAAAAAGCAGCCATGTAGTTTCTCTATGGTTTTTTTTTAAATTAATAGTATCAATGGAATTCTTTTACACAGAGAAATCTCCTTATATCATTTTATTATTATACTTTTACTTTATTACTTGCTTGCATGTCGCAACTGATAGAAATAAAAATATTTTTATTTATACATATATAAAGCATGGATTTTTGTTTATGTTTTCTAGTGAGAGAAAGTCACCAATAATTTTATCTATATAGGAAAATTTTGACAAGCCCAAAATTCTTAACTTTCTTTTCTTTTGAAGGTTCTTATTTCAGTCTAGGTATGAGATGGAATTGACTGTGATCACTTTTTTATTTCACTATGACTACGGAGTTTCTGATACAGTGCTACAAATGTATAGACTTAAAAACTTGCTTTCTTCTTCTTCTTCCTTTGGACCTGAATCATGTGATTTCTGCAGTAATGTGCACTGTTATCTGAAATGAGGTTGCTGAAAGATACAAGCATAAATGGAATTTTTTACTTCCGTGAACCTTTAGGAACAACAAGTGAAGCTGTAAGATAATCATGATATGAACTTAAATCCACAGTTTCTCACAGAAGCACATAAGGGTGAAAATGCATTTAAAAATACATGCCACATCCAAAACATGAGGTAGGAAAATGAAAAGTTTATTTTGACATAAAGAACAGTTTAAAAGCTATGATTATTTCTGGTGAGAGCAACTAGCACTAAAAATCCTATTTTCTCTGTTTTAATACATGAAACTATTAATGTATCTTCATGCTCTAAAAAGAGTTAGCTCTAACTTAAGCAACAACTTTACAGCCATTTCAAACACTGGGTGCATCATCTTAGAATTTCTCCAAGAATCTTTTGGGAGAAATATAATGTAATCTTGCTCTATAAACAATTGAATTAATCAATGAAATTATTATGACTGTAGTCTTGCAATTTCATTGTCCTTCTCTTTTCGGTTTTTACATATTCTGATTAAAATTCAAAAGCCCCTAGGAAGCATATGATAAATAACAATGACCGAAACAGCTGAAAAATCAAAAATGAGCAGCAGACACATTTCAAGGTTTCCTTTATGAGAATGCTACATTGACCATATGACATACACATGATATCAATCCCTGTGAGAAAATAATATTTGGGTAGCACTTGACAGTTCATCCAGTAACAGCAAATATTCTCATTTGACCTTCAAAAGGAATTTTAAACTTGTGTTTCATAAGTGACGAAAATGTGATTTAGTAACAGAAATCAGAGCTGTTACATCTCTTTAAGAACATGTCAACCAGTAAAGCAGAGGCATGAGTTTTCTTCTGGAGTGAAGAAGGCAATGTTTATTAAAATCATGAGTCTTTTTTTAATGTTTCATCTTTTATTAATGTTTTGCTTATCAAAATCGTTGCCCTTATTTGCAGTTATATTGCCTGTATTTGCCTATTACAGCAGTTATCACACTTACTATTCCTCATTTATCTCTGTACCTGTTTCTACTGCACACTCAAAATAGCAAGGAAACAGTGTTTTTCTGAGCTTCTTGCAGACTGCCAGGCTTATTGTGGCATTTAGAAACTATCTGCTGAATGTTTGTGACATTTTCATTTAAGTTACATTCTAGGCCACTTGATTCTCATTTTCTATTTAGTATTTGGGTTTGGAGAGCTATTTTTAATTTTAAGGTTTTTTTTTTCTTTTTTTTTTTTTTTGTTTTATTATCCTGTAAGTTCTAGGGTACATGTACACAACGTGCAGGTTTGTAACATAGGGATACATGTTCCATGTTTGTTTGCTGCCCCTATCAACTCGTCATTTACATTAGGTATTTCTCCAAATGCTATCCCTCCCTCAACCCCCCACCCCCGCGACCGGCCTCGGTGGGTGATGTTCCCTGCCCTGTGTCCATGTGTTCTCATTGTTCAACTCTCACTTATCAGTGAGAACATGCGGTGTTTGGTTTTCTGTCCTTGTGATAGTTTGCTTAGTATGATGGTTTCCAGCTTCATCCATGACCCTGCAACCGCAATGAGATACCATCTCATGCCAGTTAGAATGGCGATCATTAAAAAGTGAGGGAATAACAGATGTTGGAGAGGATGTGGAGAAATGGGAACGCTTTTAAGTTTTTTTTTGTTTTTTTAAGTATATTTTAAGGATATACTTACACAGACGTGGAGCGGACAGTGTACCCCGTTCAAATTGGAGGCTCTGCTGGAGAGGACAGCCAGGGCACAGAGCGTGGAGGCGCCCTAGGGGGAGGAGAAGGTGCTGCTGTGGACGATATCGTGGCAGTGGTCCAGGTGGTGGTCGAGGAGAAGTCCGATATGGAGAGGCAGGAGGAGGATCAGCGGGCACGGCCATGCCCTGGCCCCAGCACTCCCCAGCCAGTAACAGACTCGTTGGAACTCCGTGAATGCCCCAGGCCGCATGGCCTGCCAGCGGCTGAGGTAGAAGCTTTGGCAGAGGTTCCTGCCCGGCCTCCGGAGAGAGCAATGAGGACAGGTTGTGCGGCTCCGATCCCAGGCAGCATCTAGGGGTGAATGTTTACAGCTCCTGAATCCCCAGCGGCCATGTGTTATACGATGTTAATTTAGTTTATCCATCTGTAGGCGGCTTGTGTTAGCTCAATAAGACACTCTGCCTTACCGCAAAAACAGAAGGCTTTCTGGATCCCGGGGTTTCCTGCCTTGGCTCACACGTGGGCTTGGAGAATAAGTGCAAGGTTTCATTGAGTGGAAGTTGTCAGCAGATGGATGGTGAGCCAGAAGGGAGATGGAATGGGAACATATGCACACCCGTGCCTGTGTGCCTTTGTGTACCTTGGTTTGGGGGGGCCCACACTCCAGCCCACAGATGTGCCTCAAACTCAGCTCTTGCGCTGGCAAGCAGGGCACCACCAGGTTTGGCAATCCAAATTCAGGACCCCTGAAGCCTACACGCTAGGGAGACGCGAAGAGTCCTCATGGTTCTCACAAATGGCAGAGGGAGGAGGAAAAGGGTGGCTGGCTCAAGCTACCTAGAGGAGATGCCATGGACCAGAAATGATATTTGGAGGGAAACAAAACCTAGCTGGTGCACGTGGGTCCCTTCCACGCCTTGAGGCCTGTTAACACCTGGGGCTCAGTTAGGCTCAACTAAGGCCCTCTTACCCTCCACGCAGAGGTGCACAGGAGGCAAACCCAGGTCTACGTCCTTCTAGAGTGGCCAGTCCTATCATGTTCTGTTTCAATGACTCCAGGGTCCCCTGACATGCTTTCTCCCTCTGCCACCCTCACTCATGCTTCCCCAGCACTGAGACATTTCCTATGACATTAAAAAACAGACATAAAATTTGTAAAATACCTTAATACTATAGATGCAGATAAAGTAATTTGTTATGAAAAGTGCTCTTCCTCCTTACTTGTATCAGTCTTTTTCATGATGGGGGAAAGAATGCAACATACTTTGGTAAATTAAAAAAGTATAAAAGTAAAAATAAATCCCACTGTAGATGATCAATTAAATGGCAAGGAACCTTCTGTGTGTGTCCAGCGAAGCAATGTGGCTGAGCATTAAGGCTCACCTGAGTATTGGTGTAGACACCCAGTTTCCCTCATACCAGTGTGAGTGTGGGCATGTTCCCACCTGCGTGTCTGAGCTGGTGCACGAGTGTGCACACCTGTGCCTGTGTACCTTTGTGTACCTTGGTTTGTTGGGGGACACACTCCTGCCCACAGGTGTGCCTCAAACTCAGCTCTTGAGCTGGGAAACAGGGAGCCGCCAGGTTTCGCAATCCAACTTCAGGACCTGAGAAGCCTGCGCGCTAGGGAGACGCAGAGTCCTCATGGTTCTCCAAACGGCAGAGGGAGGAGGAAAAGGGTGGCTGGCGTAAGCTACATAGAGGAGATGTCATGGACCTGAAATGACATTCGGAGGGAAATGAAACCTAGCAGCTGTTTCTATCTTCCTGTGTGTTCAGTCGGGGCATTCAGGGAAGAAGCAATGGAAACTGAGGGGCTTTGGGATTCGTTGTCTGGGAATCCCTGTGCACCAGAGAGTGCCCAGCCCATGAGACAGGAGGACAGCATGTGGGTCCGGCAGGGCCTGAGTCTCCAGGGAGGCTGGCATTCTCCCCAAGAGGGCATGGGTCGGCAGGTGGAGGAGAAACCCGGGCTGCGGGGTCAGGTAGATGAGACACTTATCACTTAGTCAGGTGGTAGCTCAGAAACAGGCCGGTGACACCCAGTTCCAGTGCTTCATGTGCGCACACAAGCTTCGCCCCACGCATCCTCTCCAGGATGCCTCACCTGGGTGGATAGGAAGCAAGGCACACCGCATCCTAAGCTTATGGTCATGAGTGGACCCAGAGGGGGGTCTCCAGTATCACTGGTCCCAGGAGAGGCAGGCATGCATGGTCTCTTCAAGACAGGGGTAAAATGCATAAGCCCAACTCTCCACCCAGTGGGTGTCTTGCCCTGATGATGTCAGCCATGGCAGATACAGCTCTTCCACCTAGATTGCAGATCCACAGGCTTAAAACATCCCCCGGCATTCTCCGGGAATGGTCCCTGGACTCTGGACCAGCCAGTGCCCCAGGACTGTTCCTTCCCAGCCGCCAAGCTCATGGGAGGCTCAGTGGGGACTCTCCTCCTAGTACATGGCCATCCACAGGCACTGTCAACAACCCAGGGCCCTTCTACATTCTGGGGTCCTGCCACCTTACCCAGCAGCGGGATAATGGGAAGGGAAAGAGCTGGAACAGACAGAGTGGAGGCCACAAGCCTCACACTCCTGCATGGCAAGTGAAGGGGGGGGATCCTTTTCAGCCCAGGGAGCTGCTTCCTGAACATACCTGGAAGCCCAGCACAAGCTGAGGGATTCATTCCACTACAGCTGGGCATGGGGGATTTCAATGTGTGTCGGAGCCCTGGATCCTAGTCGCCCTACCAGGTGTACTTCTCCTCCAGGTCACATTATGTTCACAACCTCTTTAACCCAGATGGACTCCTCCTCATCATCACATGGTGTTGGCTGTAAGGGTTACTTCTGGTGCCCCAGCTGCTGTTTCAAGGTGCAGAGATGGACCAGCAGACCCCTGAGTCCTTGTCCTCCTGTCCAAGTAATATCCATAGAAATAGTAAAATAGTGGCACGTTAGACCTCTTGACATTTTTAAGGCTGACATGTTTACAAGCATTTCATCCAGATATTTATGAGTTTTTATCTCATTTATTTTATTTATTTATAGCTGTCATTTCAAAATCTATTTTTGCTTGAGAGTTATTTATACATGTAACCAAATGTTCAGAGCTATGACATATAGGTTTCAAGGTTAAAAGTCTGTATCTGCTATTGTGTTGGGTAAAACCCATCCAGCACTTACAAAAATAATTATTGATTAGGCATGGCCACTGTAGTGGTCTAAAACACACTTTGAAATTCTTCTCAAACTCATTTGAAAATATTCCTGATGTAACTGAACATAGTACTTGCTTCTAATGCTTTCTAATAGAAAACAGGGCAAGCATTTTCTAGATACTGGGCCACCTCTGGCGTAGGCTAGAAAAGGTGACACAGCTGTGCCTAAGTCTCCTGCTTTCATGGGGACAAACCCCTTAGGAGAGCCCTGGACCAGTACATCACGAAGTCTAACACCCTGATAACACTATACAGAAGGGACATGCCATGGAAAGACTCATAGAAATAGGAGATGCCCAAGGATCTCAGCATTCCAGCCCCAGCTATTTGAGTCATGCTAGCCATGGAACCAGGGAGACAGGAAGACAACTGACAATGTCCCCATCCTGAGCCATCACTAGACTGCATCCTCCTGAGTGCCCCTGAACCACAATCATTTGGCTGAGAGACTACGGAAGATTGCAGAGACTGAGAGTTAGTAAATTATAATGATTGTTTTAAGCCATTACATTTTAGATAATTTTGAAAAGCTCTTTAGACTCCTAGAAAAACTGAGTTGTCTACTGATTTGAATAATTGTGGAGAGCTTTAAAGGCCAATGTCACGAATGCTAATACCCTGGAAAAGTCAAACTATCAAGACTCTTCAAAACACAACAGATCTTTAATGTCCCTTTGCTATGGCTGGAGAATAATCTAACATGTATCTGATAGACCTTTTGGAAAGCCTCTGTTCACATCTCTCGGCCTGGTATGGGTCAACTCTGGTCTGGTTTAATTCTAGGCAACTGCAGCAGCTCACCTTTCATTTTAGGTCGTGGCCTACACTGATTTTTTGATCACTGACTGTGTCTGTGTCTGTGCGTGTATGTTTTGTGTGTTACCATACTTTATCCGAAAGACCTAAATAATAGTGTTATAGTTTTTTTGTGAACATAAAGCATTCCAGGAAGACAATATTGCTTATCTACTGAGCTTTAAAACAGATATGAGGCAGGGCACAGAGGCTCACAGGTGCATT
Organism: Homo sapiens; assembly: GCF_000001405.40. Lineage (NCBI taxonomy): Eukaryota > Metazoa > Chordata > Mammalia > Primates > Hominidae > Homo > Homo sapiens. The sequence continues at coordinate 21,387,683 of NC_000024.10, forward strand.
CCCAGCAGTTTGGCAGGCCAAGGTGGGCAGATTTCTTGATGTCAGGAGTTTGAGACGAGCCTGGACAACATGGCAAGATCTCATGTCTAATATCATATGAAAGCTAGCCAGCCTTGGTGGCCCATGCATATTATCCCAAACCCTGGGGACAGAGTTTGCCCTGTATTAAGATTATGCCACTGTGCTCCAGCCTGGGCACCAGAGTGAGACTCTGTCTCAGAAATAAAAACAAATAATAAAATACTAAAATAGATAGGAGAGATCACTGAAGAGAGAAATGAATAAAACTGGGTGGGTATTGTGGCTTATGCCTGAAATCCCAGCACTTTGAGAGTCTGAGGTGGGTGGATCACTTGAAGACAGGAGTTCGAGACCAGCCTGAGCAAATATTGTGAAAACTGGTCTCTACTAAAAATACAAAAAAGAAAAAATAGGTAGGATTAGTGTCATATGCCTGCAGTTGCAGCTGCTCAGGAGGGTGTGACTGGACAATTGCTTGAACCCAGGATGGGGAGGTTGTAGTGAGCTGAGATCATGCCACTGCACACCAGCCTAGGCAACAGAGCAGAATTCTGTCTTCAAAAAAAATCAAAGAGAGAAAAAGAGAGAGGGAGGAAGGAAGGAAGGAAGAATGGAAGGAAGGAAGGTTGGAGGGAGGGAGGGAATAAGGAAGGGAGAGAAGAGAGAATGAAAGGTATAAAACCAACAGGAAATGAATAAAAATAAAAACTTGCCATTTTGCCCATTATCCACATGAATTTTTGAACTATGTTTAAAACAATATTTAGGTCTCTAGTCGACTAACTGAAAGTTTAAAATAAGCTAGTGTATATTGTCAAAATTACTCATGTAACTATGGTATTAACTAACATTCTTGTAGTTTTCAACAACCAAATCATTTTAATGTTTATCATCAAATCACATACTAGTGAGTGCAGGGTAGTCTGTTATGCTGCCTAATCTACACTAAATTAAAAATGAAATCAAATCTGCAAAAGGCTTTACAGTTACTATTACCAGTAAAGACTGTTTTGTTTCCTGACTTGTGGAGGTTTTTATTTCCACAGTGTTGAGGGCTCTGGCAGAAAGCTTTCTTGGTCCAAACTCACCACTTATCATCACAGTATTTATGTGTCAGGCATTAAGGGGAATGAGCATCCAATCCCACTGCTTTTCTGCATTGGTTCCCATGCACAAGCAAATGTGCTGTGTTAGTGATTATCAAATATTCTTACATTTGATCAAGGAAATTTGTGTTTTCCAAACTGTAAAACAAAAATATTACTATCAGTTGTATTTTTATTATTTATTTACTTAGAGGCAGGGTGTTGCTCTGTCATCAGGCTGAATCATACCTCACTGTAGTGCCAGACTTTTGGGCTCAGAGGATCCTCCAACAGCAGCCTCCCAAAGTACTGAAATTACAGACCTAAGACATTGCACTCAGCCTCAAGTTTAGAGAGAAAGGCTAAGGAATATATTGTAAACTATGTAAATAAACATAATTGCATGCTCTCTAGAGAGCTGGAAGAAACCCCTGCAAAACTGCCATTGTGGACAAGGCTGCTGACAACAATGTAATGCAAGCAAAGGAGTGGGTCCTTCCCCACTGAGCCTTCAGATGATACCAGAGGCCAGCTTGGCATTTCCACTGCAGCTTTTTGAGAGAACATGAAACATAGGTGTCTGCGTTTGCGTGTGTGTGTGTGTGTGTGTGTGTGTGTAAGCATACATACAGAACCTGTTGAACAAACTAGGATCACCCACACAATGGAATATGATGTAGCTTTTTGTAGATCTGGTAGAATTCATCCGAATCTATCAGTTTCTGGGCTTTTTTTTTTTGGCTGGTTGGTCACTTATTACTAATAATTCCATTTTGGAAATTGAAATTGGTCAGGTTGGAGCTGAGACTGTGTCCACTTACATTCTCTTGTGGAACACAGAATGGCATGCTTGTAATTTTGGCTGTGATGGTTACTGGAAGGTCTCTGCACAGATAGGCTAGCTTTCTGCCAGCAGCAAGAGGGCCTAGGACTGACAATCAGCTCCCTTGATATCTGCTGTTGAACAGTGGGAAGAGCTAGAGCTGAGACTGGGATTCTCTGTTTCTGAATAAAGTCATGTGCTCTAGAGATTCTAACGCCCCAGTGATTTCCATTAGATATATCAGAAGTGATCTTCCTTCCAGGGGTACTAAGGCTTATTATATAAACTACTTGCCCACTGCATCCAGGTAGGGCCAGAAACTTCATCCTTCACTACTAAATTGCCTCTGCTTTTCAGCCTGGGGATGGGTGGAGCACACAGGGCTAGGATGGTCAAAAGTATGGCAGCTGAGATTGGGTGGGGACACATGCCCCTTCTGTGGATAATCACCAAGCTGCCTCTTTGTCACAGCCTTGGAATTTTGCAGAGAAAATCACTGTGGGATTTGGCAGTTAGTCAGTGATTTGAGCCTGGCAGACCCATCAACCATGGTTTGTTGCTGCAGAATAATGCTGTTGCTTCCCTTCTCTGACGGTGCACCTCTGCTGGCTGGAATGCAAAGCCACTGGTAAGATTACTGTTATGATCCCTGTAAGCCCCATCCATGTACTTTGTTTCTAACTGACCCCAGTTGTCTGATACCCGCAATGTTTCCCACAGGGTAAGACTAGAGAGAACATCACGTGAAGAATTGCAAAATGGAAAAGAAAAGGCTGAATGTACACCTTCAACTCTCTCCTCCCTGAAGAAACTGTGAGTCCGGGGAAATTTTTTGTACGCAACACTATGCTGGCTTGGGGGGGAGAAAAGTATCACATTAAAACTGTTATTTTATCCTATTTGTGTGGCTATTCTTAGTTCTACAGTCGAAGAAGGTGTCACAGATTCAATCGCAAGTTATGGAATCATTCACTAAGGTGTCCTTACCTAAGGATAGTTGTGAGTTAAGGTTTTTGTTTCTCAGAGAGGGAGGGAGTTAGTAGAATCGCAGAATGCCTGTTGTGTCACATCAGACCCCAGAAACAGGCAAGTTGAAAGACTGCTCCAGGCTGAGCACAGTGGCTCACACATGTAACCCCAGAACTTTGGGAAGCTGAGGTGAGCATATCACGAGGTCAGGAGGTGAAGACCATCCTGCCCAACCAGGTGAAATCCCCTGTCTACTAAACATACACACACACAAAAAAAAATAGCCAGGCCTGGTGGCATGTGCCTGTAGTACCAGCTACTTGGAATGTTGAGGCAGGAGTATCTCTTGAACCCAGGAGATAGAGGTCAAAGTGAGCTGACATCACGCCACTGCACTCCAACCTGGGTAACAAAGTGAGACTCAATTTCAAAAAAAAAAATAGCGATCCTAAGGGAGGAGGAGTTTAAAAGGTTGGGGTGCTTCCATGGAGAAGCTGAAAGCTAGAGCAAGCCAAGGGTTGGATTTAAGGAAGAGCTCACGGGACCATTGAAAACCACCTCTTTGTCCTCTATGGAATGAAGGAAATAGTGAATTCTGAGCTCCACTGCTTACTGATATAGGCAAGTTATCAACCAGAGATACATGTCTTAATCTGTTTGTGTTCCTAAAAAAGACTGTGAGACTGGGAAATTTATAAAGAAAAGAGCTTTCATTGGATCCTGGTTCTGCAGGCTGTAAAAGATGTGTGGTGCCAGCATCTGCATCTGGTGAGAGCCTCACCAGGCTTCCACTCAGGATGGAACATAAAAGGAAAACAGTCACGTCATGTGTGGAGAGAAGAGAAGGGGAGAGAGAGAAGAGGAGAAGGTATAAGGCTCTTTTCAACAAACTATTTGGATGTAATCTAGACTGTGGCAATAATACGGTGGAAAACTCACTTATTAACCATTGCAAGGCAGCCAGGCTATTTATGAGGGATCCATCCCCATGACCCAAACAAACACCTCCCACTAGGTGTCATTTACAGTGTGGAGGACCATATTTCAACCTGAGACTTGGAGGAAAAAATGTCCAAACTACATCAATAGGCAAGTTTAAAAATCATGCAGAGTTATTGTAAAACAATCCTTTTTCCTCTTTAGAATCCTGGAACTACAAAATGCTGGGATTCATTAGCTTCCAGAGATTGGTAAGTTAGTGTGCAAACTCTTAGGCAGCAACCTGAGAAGTCAAGGCCATAGTTGAGTAGTTCGACTTCTTGGAAGGAAAATTTAGAAGCTCAGTATATTGCTAGAGTGAGTGATTATGAAGACTGATGAGAAATGCCTATGTGCCTGCTCTCAGAGGACCTTGACAGATCCAAAAGTCAAAATTAGAAACAAGATACCTGGGCAAAAGCTATAAAAGTCAAGATAAGGCTGGGTGCAGGCTCATGCCTGTAATCCCAGCACTTTGGCAGGATGAGGAAGGTGGATGAGCTGAGGTCAGGAGTTTGAGACCAGCCTGACCAACATTGTGAAAACTTGTCTCTACTAAGAAATACAAAAGTTAGCCTGGCATGGTCACAGGTGCCTCAGGAGGCTGAGACAGGGGAATATCCGTTACTCAGGAGGCTGAGACAGGGGAACCACTTGAGCCTGGGAGGCAGAGTTTTCAGTGAGCCGAGATCATGCTATTGCACTCCAGCCTGTGCAGCAGAGCAAGACTCCATCTCAAAAGAAAAAAGAAGAAAAAAAGTCAAGACGTTAGATGTACAATCTAAGATTTTCGAGGAACAAGGTGGGAGCTGAGCTTTCTTGACTGCTTAAGATTCAGTAAACCAGGAGGAAACAGTTTTAGAAGTGCTTGAATGTCTACTTAAATCCTTCTTTTATCTTGGAGGTCCTAGGAGAGCTTTGAATGCCAATCTGTGCTAGAATCCAGGGATAGGCAATCATTTCGTTAAGAAGCAGCTGTAACAGTTGGGGCATTACATATGTGGTTTAATACTTCAGTCCTCTTAGAGAAGCTGTGAAATAACAGTTCTCTATTGACTCTAGGGTCATGTGTCAGCCACAAATTCTAGAACAAGATCATGATTCAGTTTTTCTTACTTCTTTTTAAGTGAGTATTTTCATAATCCTATGTGCAAGAGTATCTCAACTAGTTTCTGAGTTTATCTCATAGGGAATTGATGTGGGTGTGGCTTTTTATTTGTTGCGTTTGTGGATGGAGGAACAAATTAGAGCCTCCTATTTTATCACCTTGTTGGAGATACCCTTTTAATTTTTTACTTATTTAAAAAAATTTGTACATAACAGTTGTAAATACTTTTGGCATACATGTGATATTTTGATACAAGTAATGTGAACTGGTAAGCGAGGGATCAAAGAGGGGATGGGGGTGGGTTAAATTATACTTGCTTAGAAGGAATAATATCTAGTGTTCAGTGGCACAGGATGACTACACTTAATAATGATTTATTGTACATCTCAAAATAATTAATAGAGCGAAGGTGGAATGTCTCCCAGGTTAAAGTGCATGGCACAATATCGGCTCAATGCAGCCTCAGCCTTCCAGGTTTAAACGATTCTCCTGCCTGAGCCTCCCAATTAATTGTAACACACTACAGGCAAATGCCACCACACTGGGCTAATTTTTATATTTTTGCTAGAGAAGGGATTTCATGGTGTTGGCCAGCCTGGTTTTCAACTCCTGACCTAAAGGTATCTGCAAGCCTCAGCTTCCCAAGTGTTGGAATTAAAGACCTGAGTCATCACACCTGGACAGTAAGATACACAAGACTAGGGAGTTGTATCTTTTCACTTCATCCTCACAATCCTATGTTATAGGTGAATGAAAACACAAATTCATAACATGAATAATTCACTTAAAAATCGAAGTTGGTAACTTCTCCCTTTAAAATTATTTGCACCCTTACCCTATAAAAAGTGATGATCTTGTAAAATTTTCTCAAGAAAATACTCCTTCCTTGCAGATTAGTCTGTTAATTGTAAAAGTTATGGACTTCAAAACTTCAGGAACTTCATGTGTTTCATTTCTTTAGGTTGTATAATCAGGAAAAGTAATTGGTTTAGTTATTTAGGTCCAAATATTTTTATTTTTAACATTCGATGATTTCTTAAACCTTTAAGCAATCCCATCTGAAACTTTATGCAGTTATGTTTTATACACTTCATTGTCCCAAAAGTGTGAGGTTTAAAGCATTTCCATTCATATCATCAATTAAATCTGATAGGCTGAGAGTGGTGGCTCATGCCTGTAATCTTAGGATTACACTTTGGGAGTCTGAGGAGGATGGATCAGGATTTTAAAGAATGGCCTGGCAAACATGGTGAAATGCAGTCTGTACTAAAAATACGAAAAATTAGCCAGCTGTGGTGCATACTTATCTAATACCAGTTACTCAGGATGCTGAGGCAGAAGAAGAGCTTGACCCAGAAGGCGGAGTTTGCAGTAAGCCAAGATGGAGCCACTGCACCCCCGCTTGGGTGACAAAGCTATGTTTCATCTCAAAAAAAAAAAACTGATAAAATCCCAACCATTCTAAATTATTCCTATTTGTAAGAACTTATTACTAAACTGTTATAACAACCACTGCCAAAACTTTCAAGAAAAAATTATCATGAGTACCACCCAAGACAAAACACCTACTTTCCACTATTTAAACTAGGAACATTTAATTTCATCATGCTATGCACTTCAGAAACTTAGCTAGTTCAGTTTTGATTTAGGTTAAAAAAAAAAAAGGTTTCATTATCATATCCTCTTTCAGTCACAGAACGCTTCAAGTAGAATGTTCCAGATGTTTTAAACTTTAGTATCAACCCCATCTATTTATTTCCTTTGACCTGTACTATTCCTCTAAAAGATAAACGTTTTATGGTGAGGCAGACAGTTTTGTAGTCTTTCTGAAGGCTTCTCAAACATTTTAAGCTTGTAAGTTTTTAAAGAGAAACAGCCTAATTAGAAAACTTGTGCCGCTTGCAAGGGAGATGTAACATATGCCTAATTTTGTATCTATTTATGTTCAAAGAAACAAAGGAAAATGTTCAGCAAACAACAGAATTTACTCTCCTATTGAATTTTCTTTTAAGCATGTGCAGCTAACCAATAACATCAGGAATTTTCTATTACTGTAAAATTTTATTCTGAACATTTTAATGTAGATATTACATCTAAACAGATAGTTTTCAAATAGCATTAACAAGTATGAAATTACTTTGAAGAAAATTATTTTTCCTTTGAATACCTCAAAACCTTCATGGAGGAAGTTAGTATCTACCTGTCTCCACAAAGCCCATATGCTTCTTTTAGTAATATGCAGGTAACAATGCAGAAATAACATTTCAATTTTCGATTTGCAAACAAGGTTTGGTATGCAATAACTATTATTTGGAATACTTGCTTTAATATCTGCTTCAGTCTCCTTTTCAGATCGACTTTCCCGACCATCTACTGTAGATGCCACATAACTTCAGTTACCATATGCTTCACGACGAGCAGGGTGAACCCTACCCAGAGAAGGTGGATTCCTTTGGTCTTTTCTGCCAGTGTGCTCATGACCACAAAAGTAAAAATCACCGCAGCTTCTTGAGTAACTTTCTTGACTTCTGCCCTATGTATCTCGTGTATTGTTATAATCAGGGTGGCTGCTTCCACCATAAGACATCCGAGGCCCTCTTGCAGGTGGTGCACCATGAGAGGTCCCTGCAGGGTTGATAAAATAATATGTGGGACTATATTTAAACACTTTTACTGCCACCACTAAAGGATGAATTAGTTAAAGTCCTATTTGGAAATATCTGCTTTCCTCTGCCCTTGTTGACAGGATAGATATTAATTAAGCCTGCATTGGTCAGAAGGTTTTATTTAAAAGAAGTGTAAGAGTAGTATTTTGAAGCTTAACAAATTTAATTCTGAAGTAAACGTTGAGTCACTTTTTCTGCACATGAAGTTCTCTCCTTCATATCGTTCCCTACACTTTATACTGTTAGACTACTCAATATTTAAATATGTTATATTGTCCTTTATAATTTTCCTTAGAATTTCATTAAAATAATGATCTGGACTATTACATAAAATTCTTTAATTTAAAAATCCATCCTGGACTCTTACCATATCCCTGAAATTCATTTTTGTAAGAACTTCCACTTGTACGATCAGAATGATCTCTACCACGGGTTTCGTCGTAGCCACCACTATCACTAAATTGAAAAAAAAAATTTTTAATGTCAGAATAAACAATTTAAGAAATCTATTTGATAAATCCAGATAATGTTATAGTACCTATATCCTCTAGAGGAATGTTCATCCCGACTAGAGTGACCATTATCACAGTATGCATAGCCTCTAGATGGTGGAGCATAATCCCTGGTTTCTTGGGAGCTTGGATGATTTCTGTGTGAGTAAGTTTAAGCAACAAATTTAAAATTTTCAACTTCTACTATCCAACATATAACTAAATTACAACTTAAACACAATTAAATTGCCAAACATCTAAAAAGATATTTCTCCAAATAAAATAGGCAAATGCCCAAAAACACATGGAACAGATACTAATAATCAGTGATTCATAAAATGCATTTCAAATCCAAAATGAGATTCCAGACTTCAAACACACACTAGAATGGCATTACATTTTAAAAAGCAGGAAGTAGCAAGTGTTTGAGAGTATGTAGATAAATTGGAACCCTAATACAATGTTAGCTGGAATGAATAACTTAAGAAATCTTTTTGACAAGTCCAGAAAAAGTTATAGTACCTATATCCTCCAGAGTAATGTTCATCCCAACTAGAATGACCATAATCATGATATGCATAGTCTCTAGATGGTGGAGCATAATCCCTAGTTTCTCAGGAGCTTGGATGATTTCTGCGTGCATAAGTTTAAGCAACACATTTTAAATTTTCAACTTCTAGTATCCAAAACGTAACTAAGTTGCAACTTAAACAAAATTAAAAGGTCCAAAATCTAAATGGATATTTCTTCAAATAAAATAGGCAAATGCCCAAAAAGCACATGAACAGATACTCACAATCAGTGATTCAGAAAATGCACTTCAAATCCAAAATGAGATACCATAATTCACACACACACACACACACACACACTGGAATGGCAATAAAAGCAGGAAATAGCAAGTGTTTGACAGGATGCAGATAAATTGGAACCCTGATGCAATGCTAGTTGGAATGGAAAATGATGCAGCTACTATGGAGAAATGTCGTGGTTCCTCAAGAAAACAATATAATTATCATACTACCAAGCAATTCCACTCATATACACCCAGAATTGAATACGTGTACTCAAACAAATATTCATGCATAGAAATACTGCGGTGGAAACAACCCAAATAAAATAATGAGTTAACAGCTTGTGGAAGGAGTGAAGTGCTATGATGTAAATGAACCTTCAGGACATCATGGAAAAGGAAAGGAGAGAGATACAAAAAGTCGTGTAGTGTTTGAGCCGATTAACATTAAATGCCCACAACAGTAAGTTCAGAGGCAGAACACTGACTGGTGTTTGCTAGCAGCTGAGGGAAGGGAGAAAATGGAAGGAACTGCTTAACTGGTAGTTGGAGTTTTATTTTGGAGTCATGAAAATGTTTTGGAACTCGATGGAGGTAGTTGTTGCATGACATAGAATGTATTAAATGTCACTTAACTGTTTACCTTATAATAATTAATTTTGTTATGTTTATTTCATCATCAAAACAAAAATAATCAACTTTTTAAAATTTTTTCCTTTACCCATCCTTAGTTGCATAACCGTCATCTCTTAGAGACATATGGTCATTTCTCCAGGAAGAGATTGTCTCTCTGAGTGGAGGACCTCCCTAATTCCCTCTTCCATATGATACGAGACCTTTAACATTAAAATGTTGGAACATTATGTAAAGAACACCAAATCTGAAACACTATTTTCTCTTCTCTCAAACAACTTTTTAAAATTATTTCTTCTATGACTCCATTCTTTGTTTCCTAAATTACTAGACAGTCATGACACTGTGAATATTTCTTATGGCTTTGGAGAATCCCATGGCTCCCACAAGGCCAGTTCTTCTAATGAAGCTGAAGGCAAACATTAATTCTTAGGTAAAAGTTCATTTGTAATGGTTAAGAACTACTTAGTTACTATTTTCCTTTTCATATGAATTACTGATGACTACAAATGACATAGGGAAAACATGTAAAACCACCAAATCTTCACAATTTTAAAGTTTACATACATTGACCTTTCTCAGCTGAGGAAGGTAAATTTTCCCACATAGTTCAATCTACCTCACAAACACAAATACTGCTACCTTTGAACGACTGCATGCTAATTTTTTACATAAAAGTTCTCCTTTCTCTCTAAGTGGTTGGCTCTATCTTAAATGTTGACAAATTAAAATGTACTAGTGAAAACTTTCTAATGATAGCCAAGATTTACTTTTACTGCAATAAACAACACTATTAAAGGGGTCATTACAACATGGTTGCTATTTCAAAATAGAAAAAATTATCCTTTAATATACTCTTCACAGTGCTATTCCTTAAAGGTCAGCCTTTCACCTATGATATGTTCACTAGCTAATTTTCCAATGGAAATGTGTTGGCTTGGGTATCCTGAAGTCAATAAATACCTGACTTCACCAATACTCTACTTATGAAATGTAAAATTGAAAATGTCAGTTTTTAATTTCCTCCATATTAGGATGGAGGACTAAGTAAGAATTTTAATTTGTTCTGCTTACTTTCTTTGCTGAAAACTTCTGTTTCTTGTCTTGCTTTCTTCTGTTCAGTCTGCAATCTTACAATTGTCCTTCTCAAAAATATTACTTCTATTCAATCCTACTGCTCACATCATGTTGCTTAGTACTACATTCTCTCCTCAAATAATTTCCAACCTTACACTAAGGATATTGTGTTAATGTTTAAACATCCTAGAACAATCTTAATTATTGATTTACAGTTCAGCTAATAACTCGATTTGAAAATTACATGGATTTTGTTATTTAGGGGAAGATCTTAAATCCCTTACAAGACCTCTTGCAGCCACGTCGCCCGTTGTTTCTACCTTGAAACTTCTTTTTTTATTTCTGGGCCCAAAATATTTGCCCAGATTTGCTCATGGCTGCTTCCTCCCCAGTGTTCCAAAGTCATCCAAAATTCCTTAAACTCTTTATTCACCTTGAAAATCTAAGAACCTCCTTTATTGGCCTTCTCAACATTTATGTGCACATAACATTCCTATTTATTTTTACACAACAAAATATGTGAGATTAAGTAGTTTAGAAATAACATTGGCTGGGTGTGGTGTCTCACACCAGTAATCCCAACACTTTGGGAGGCCGAGGCAGGTGGTTCATGAGATGAAGAGATAGAGACCATCCTGGCCAACAGGGTGAAACCCTCTCTCGCTCAAAGTAGCAAAATTAGGTGGGCATGGTGGCGTGGCCTGTAGGCAGGAGAATCAGTTGAACCCAGGAGGCAGAGGTTGCAGTGAGCCAAGATCAACCCACTGCAATCCAGCCTGTTGACACAGTGAGACGCCATTTTAAAAAACAAACAGACAAAAACTCTACACAAATTACCTGCTCTTTTGCTTGAAAACTAGGGGGAGAAAGGAAATTATCATAGATTACTATACAGAAGTCAAAATTATCTCCAGAGTTACCACAAAGCCATGAACCAAAAGCTACTCTTGGTTTCTACCACAGCTTGAAATACTAATTTATAAGAGTGAATAAAAATGTACTTTCTGCTATGTGCCAGGAAATGTGCTAGATGTAACAGAAATAAAAGCAACTAGGAAGACTTAAATATGCACTATATACAATTTCACAATCAATAGATTAATACATGGTACAGCAAGTACAAAATACCTACAATACGCAATGAGGAAGAAAATATGAAATCTAAGTGGTTTTTGAAGCATAAATTGTTATTTTTGAGACACACACAGGGAAGGATAATTCTTAAGAAGTCCAAAAAAGCATTTTGGGGATAGCATAAAGAGGAACAGAGGCTAAAAACAGATTGGGATAACGTTATTTATCATTTTTTTAATTTGCTATATTTGTTTGCTATAGAGTCTTGCTCTGTTGCCAGCCTGAAGGGCAGTGGCATGATCTCAGCTCACTACAACCTCCGCCTCACAGGTTCAACTGATTCCCCTGCCTCGGCCTACCAAGTAGCTGGAGCTACAGGCACTTACCACCACTCGCGGTGGATTTTTTGTATTTTAGTAGAGACAGGGTTTCACCATGTTGGCCATGATGGTTTCGTTCTCCTGACATCATGATATGCCTGCCTTGGCCTCCCAAAGTGCTGGGATTACAGGCTTTAATAAAAAGTGCACATAAAAACAATGGCGCCTTAGCACCATCTCCCACAACTTGCCCAAATTTCAGACATGTCCGACAGTTAAAGGTAGAATCCTCAAGAAAAATCAATGAGTTTAACAAAAATGAATTTCTTAAAAGGACTAATATCACACTGCTCCCACCAAGCCCAGCCTGATTAGGATCATGTTATAAAGCAAAAAAGTTCTAAAGGGCCCAGAATGGAATGAACTTGACACAATGTAAAGGAATTCAAGAGTTAACAGAATTACATAAAAGTTTAAAGCTTTAGTAAATACACAATCCCTAGATTTAAGACTCAATAGGACAAGAGACCAATGTTTGGATCAAAACAAATCCTCAAACACACTGGGGAAATGAGTAATTAGGTATTCATGTTACATACATCACTCTGGTGACAGGAAAAAAACGTCCTTAGGAGAAAAGAGCAAGGATGGGGAAAAAATGCCAGTTACTTCTTGTGTTATCCAACTTCAATGTTCTCCTATTTTTTTCTATTTTCAAGTACTTAACACTTCCTTAAATGTAAAGGTCTTATTTAAACCCACTTTCTCAAAAATATATTTTCAGAAAACGGGAGAGAATCTTTCCTTCTTGTGAGTCTGTCTAGATGTCTATCCACAGTTTTTCTGTGCTCTAGAAGTATTTCCATGAATTGGAAGTAATTGCATTAATGGCATGTAATAAATGTTGACTTATTCCTTTCATTTACATGAGGGTCCCTTATAAGTTTTAAAGCTCTTCAAAACCTTTGAAGATCTATTTACACTTATATTGAAATACAAACATAGAAAAAGTTTACCATATATTAATTTATATAAGGTTAATTCCAATACCCTTCCAACTACAGTTGAATGTATATGGCACAAAGAAGAGGATGTCTTCATATGGCACTCTACTATCTTCAAAAGTTACATAATTCTAAAAAGACCTAGAAATACTGTTAACTGAAGAAGAGAGTTAGAATATTATTAATAAGGGACTCTACCTCTCCATTCATATCTTTGGCAGCATTCTTAACATCTGCAGGGTTCTCAAAAGTAATAAATGCAAAGCCTCTGGATTTGCTGGTTCGATCCTTTATCAAAAGAACTAAAATATATGAAAACATTTTACATTGATATAATGGACGCGTCAAGGTACTAACCATCTAAAAGTTACATCAAATCAAAAATAATTGCATTTCACATCACTAGTATTATACTTGATACTGGTCACCCCTATAGTTAGCCTATTTTGTTCCAGTTTGTTCCCTAACTCCACAACACGTTTAGTTTTCCTTATTTTCGTTTCTAAGTAGTAGGTGATCCTTACCACAGATCCTTAACCTGCTACTATGAGAATTTTCCAAATATCAAATAGATAACCCCAAAATAAGAGTTTAAAAACAATAAGGCATTTTAATGTAGGTATACAATGAACTTTGAAAAACATGTTTTTTCAAAACATATATATAACAGACATATTTTAAATATACATATTGAAATATACATATGAAAATACACACACACACACACACGCACACACGGTTTTAAGGGTTACCTTCTGATATGGGACCATGTTTCTCAAATACTGCTTTAAGCATCTTTTCATTGGTTTCCCTATTGAGGCCACCAATGAAAAGCTTGCCCGGATGATCTGCTTCTACCATTGTGCTGCAAATGGTCAAAGAAAAATCTATATTTAGATAAAAATAAATAAGCTAAAAATATAAAAATTTATTACATACCATGTTGAAAACTCAAGTGAAATTCCCTTTCAGAGGCTGACATCTTTTTAGTACTTCTTACTTTAAATACAAACATCAATTCAAGATGGATTAAAGACTTAAACGTTAGACCTAAAACCATGAAAACCCTAGAAGAAAACCTAGGCAATACCATTCAGGACATAGGCATGGGCAAGGACTTCATGTCTAAAACACCAAAAGCAATGGCAACACAAGACAAAATTGACAAATGGGATCTAATTAAACTAAAGAGCTTCTGTACAGCAAAAGAAACTACCATCAGAATGAACAAGCACCCTACAAAATGGGAGAAAATTTTTGCAACCTAGTCATCCGACAAACGGCTAATATCCAGAATCTACAATGAACTCAAACACATTTACAAGAAAAAAACAGACAACCCCATCAAAAAGTGGTCAAAGGACATGAACAGACAGTTCTCAAAAGAAGACATTTATGCAGCCAAAAAACACATGAGAAAATGCTCATCATCACTGGCCATCAGAGAAATGCAAATCAAAACCACAATGAGATACCATCTCACACCATTAGAATGGCAATCATTAAAAAGTCAGGAAACAACAGGTGCTGGACAGGATGTGGAGAAATAGCAACACTTTTACACTGTTGGTGGGACTGTAAACTAGTTCAACCATTGTGGAAGTCAGTGTGGCGATTCCTCAGGGATCTAGAACTAGAAATACCATTTGACCCAGCCATCCCATTACTAGGTATATACCCAAAGGACTATAAATCATGCTGCTATAAAGACACATGCACATGTATGTTTATTGTGGCACTATTCACAATAGCAAAGACTTGGAACCAACACAAATGTCCAACAATGATAGCGTGGATAAAGAAAATGTGGCACATATACACCATGGAATACTATGCAGCCAAAAAAAATGATGAGTTCATGTCCTTTGTAGGGACATGGATGAAATTGGAAGTCATCATTCTCAGTAAACTATCGCAAGAACAAAAAATCAAACACCGCATATTCTCACTCATAGGTGGGAACTGAACAATGAGATCACATGGACACAGGAAGGGGAACATCACATTCTGGGGACTGTTGTGGGGTAGGGGGAGGGAGGAGGGATAGCATTGGGAGATATACCTAATGCTAGATGACCAGTTAGTGGGTGCAGCGCGCCAGCGTGGCACATGTATGCATATGTAACTAACCTGCACAATGTGCACATGTACCCTAAAACTTAAAGTATAATAATAAAAGGAAAAAAAAGAAAAAAAATAAATAAATATGTAAAATTTCTAACATACAGAGCAAAAGGGGCACTGACTTCACAGATAAATGCTGCATTTTAATATGGACCTGACAAAATCTCATTTCTAAAACTTAGATAAGAAAAGCTATTGTAATTTTCCTAAGTTGTAATGTGAAGGAGTGCCCCATTTAAATAATTTTATTTGAAAACTATATATTTATGAGGTACAGTGTGAGGTTTTGTGTATTTTCTTTCTTGAGATGTATATCCCCTGTTGCCAAAATGCACTGCTCATTGCCACCTCCTCCACCCAGCCTCAAATGATCTTCCCAAAACTCAGCTTCCCAAGTAGCTGGTACTACCAGGGCTTTTTACCAGAGCTGGGAAATTTTTTGTGTTTTTTTTAAATAGACATGCGTTTCCCCATATTGCCCAAGCCAGTCTCCAAATCCTGGGTTCAAGTGATTTGCTGGCTTGGGACTATTAGAGTGATGGCATTTCAAGGGTGAACCACCACGCCCAGCGGGATATGTGGATAAAAGATTAAATCAAGCAAATTAAAATGTTCTAGGAGGAGAACATTTTAAATATTTTACCATCTTTAAGTGATTTGAAATATACAATAGGTCAAGGATCCCTGAATCCTGGCCTTCAACCCGTACCTATCTGTGGCCTGAATGTGATGCCGGAGGATGACCTGCAATACCTGTCTGTGGAGAATGTAACGCCTGAGGATGACCTGAGGTGGTACAGTTTTATCCGGAAACCATCCTCCCTACTCCCTCGCTGGCCCTCCCTGTCCCCGTGACAGCCTCACTGCCCCACCTGGCCTCTGTCACATTGCTCCTACCGGAAGACCCGCCCCACCACGTGCCCCTCGGAGACCTGCCGCCAGCCCCCACTCCCAAACCTGTCCACCTCGCCGCCTTCTTCCCCTGCGCAACCTTTCTCTGAGGAAAAACTGACTTCCACTAAACCAGTCCCTGATGCGAAAATAGCAATGAAAGAGTCCATTACGTTACCCAGGCTGGTCTCAAACTCCTGACTTCAAGCCATCCTCCGACCTCCACTTCCCAAAATGCTAGGACTACAGGAGTAAGGCAGTGTGCCAGGTTAACAGAATAACTTAAGCGCATCTATTTTGTTCCAGTTTTCGGCTATCTAACACCATTTATCTGGATTACACCTACTTATTCGGTTTAAATTATTTATGGTGCCAAAGACACATGAAACATGTTTCAAATACTGTCATACAACGAAGGAGACAATTACAGGCTTTACAGAGGCAAACTGAAACTCAGATTATTTACGGCCCCAGACTTCTACATAAACTAACGTAATACAATTTATGTCAAAATTTGGTAATTCCCGTCAAGCAAATCAGACATGTGACATGCGCTGACTAAAAGTATAAGTTTTTAATAGCCTTGGTTAAATATATTGCCTGTATTTTGAATGATGACCACATTCACAGAGAAAACCCTGTTTAATAAAAAGTGCACATGGCGCCTTAGCACCATCTCCCACAACTTGCCCACATGTCGGACATATCCGACAGTTAAAGGTAGAATCCTCAAGAAAATTAATGAGTTTAACAAAAATGAGTTTCTTAATAGCACTAAGGAGTTCTCTCCCCACTGTCTCCTCCTATAATTCAACACCCTCACATGGAAAACCCATCCCCTTTTACAGATAAAATCGCAAAACTTTTCTGTTCTTATCAAGAGACCAACCTGTCCAGAGAAACAGAAAATACACGTGCTTTTCAGCAGGACAAACAGCCTCAGGGTCGCCCGGCTCTCATGTCGTATGCATCCGGCTTTGGGACACCACGGGGCCAACTGCGGGAAGGACTGCTGGAACTGGCCTGAGGGGGAAGGACGCCAGAAGCCGTGCCCGGAAATCCCGCCTACCTCCAGCGGCCAATCATTGCGAGGGCGGGGGGCGTCGACCAGTTATTGCGAGGACTGTAGGCGTCTTACGAGGCACCCTGCCCCTAGTTGGCAGGCAGCTCCATCCTCCCGCGGTAAGCCTCCTCTGAGAAGCTGCTTGTGCCTGGCGGCGGAGGATTCCGACACACGCGGACTGTAAGCCCTTTGGCATTGTGGGCATAGAAGACCTACACCCTAACTGGCATCCTGAGTGTGGCAAGACATTAACCCACAGGGAACATATGAAACATCTTACTTCATTAGGCAGGTTAGGCTGATGGTACTAAATACTGCAGATCCAGAGGGGAGAGTGAAGAACCAGGCGAGGACGCCGCAGCTGCGGTGGCTTGGAGGGGAGTGGGGCAGGGCGGGTGCCTGGGAGAAAAGTCGACGGGTAAGTTGCTGGGGTGGAATTCGTCTGCACCAGAAGCTGAAACCCCACAAGGACTCTATCAGGTCTAGGCAAACACAGACTCCGAGTTCCATGCTTCCTCCCTGAGGATGCTGTACTCACAGGGGCGTTCCAAAGGACCTCTCATCCTGTGCCCCTGGGCACACGGGAGGCCAGCCGCCATGGTTGCCAATGCGATAACCCGTGTGCACTGCCTCGCTGGCACAGATCCTCCCGCAAGCGCCGCAGTGGCCGTCGTGCCTGCCAGTGAGGCTCTGGAAGCCCAGGGCCTCGGCCTCCGACTCCAGGGCTACTGTGTACAGCTAACCCTGCTGGGTATCTGGGCCCCATGGTGAGTGTGGCGGACTGTGGGCCCTGCGGGGCTCCCCAGGAACCCTGTATCCACGTGGGTGTGGCACATGTTTCTCAGAAGGGCAAGGCCCAGGGGCCCTTCCGGGAGCTTCCTCTAGAGTCTAGGGGTGCCAAGGACATGAGATGGGCAGTGTAGGCCTTAGTCTGTGGGAGCCTCAAGGAGGGCACCATGTTAAGGGGGAGGTGCTGCAGGAAAGGGCAGCCTGTGCGCAGAGCAGGGAGGCAACCCTGGGGGAGGAGGCATGCTAGTGGCTAGTGGGGGATGACATCATGGCAGAGATAGAGGTGGTGGCCAAGGAGGAGGCCAATGTGGAGCGGCAGCAGGAGGACCCGCAGGCACAGCCTGGCCCTGGCCCCAGGACGCCCCGGCCAGCAACCAACTCGCTGGACGT
The DNA here is from genome assembly GCF_000001405.40 of Homo sapiens. Classification (NCBI taxonomy): domain Eukaryota; kingdom Metazoa; phylum Chordata; class Mammalia; order Primates; family Hominidae; genus Homo; species Homo sapiens. The sequence continues at coordinate 21,405,982 of NC_000024.10, forward strand.
CCTTCACTTGGAGCTGGGCTCCAGTGAATGTCCCAGGCCGCAGGGCATCCACGGCTTCTGGGTCAGAGCCATATCCTTGCAGCTGCCAATTCGGGATGGCTGACAGGTGGGTGGGCGCCGAGCTCCCAGGAGCGGGGTTGGGGGAAACAAGGTGGTAGGCACCGGGGCTCAGCCAGGATTCAGGACATGGGGGACAACGAGGGGAACCAAGGACAGATTCATGCAGATAGAAGGGCAGCTTAATTGCGGGCACCCTGAGGGCACGTTATAGGGACAGAAAGCCAAGCACAGCACTCACAAGGGAGAATAGCACCTCAAAGGACCCTTCATAAACAGCAGAAAGTTGAAGGACACATTTCACTGGGAAAATCCCTGGAGGAAGGGGAATCTGCGCGCCCAGGCCAGCCATGGAAATACCCCTGCTCCCGGTACCTGTGTCCAGCAGGCTTATCCTAGAAACACAAGGTGCTCAATACTCGGGTTCACCGTGCACGGGGCTGCTGTCCTCTGCAAGGCAGGCACCAGCTCCTCAGACACGATTTCTTCCCTCTGCCAGTGCTGCATCCAAGGATGTTTAGGCCATGAGCATATACAACCTCCCATGAAACCACTAGAGTCTCATGGAGAGAGTCAGGCACAGCCCTGCAGCTACTTCTATTCACAGCGGTTCCCTCGGGTGGACACGCCCACCCCTCAGTGAGACCAAGAGAAGAGGACACCGCACACACGGACAGCAGCAGAGCCTGTCCAGCACCCAGCACATGAGGGCCTCCCACAGCTCAGGAACCCTGAGCAAGTAGCTGCCTCACACCACAACACCCCGCCGGCAATCCCCTCCCCACTTTTTCTGTGCCTGTCCCTGGTCAGAGCAGGCTGTCTTGGCCTGCCTCCACCCGCCGCCAAGACCACCACAGCTGCGAAGGTGCCCGCCAACACCAGACAGAGGACCAGGAAGGGAGGGTGCCAGACCAAAGGCCTGCGGGGTAGCCCTGCCCCACACTCTCCGTGCTCTTGCAAAGTTGCAGGGTGTTTCCCTGTGAGAGGTGACAGCGTGCTGGCAGTCCTCACAGCCCTCGCTCGCTCTCCGTGCCTCCTCTGCCTGGGCTCCCACTTTGGCGGCACTTGAGAAGCCCTTCGGCCCACCACTGCACTGTGGGAGCCCCTTTCTGGGCTGGCCAAGGCCGTAGCCGGCTCCCTCAGCTTGCAGGGAGGTATGGAGGGAGAGGCGCGAGTGGGAACCCGGGCTGCGCGCGGCGCTTGCGGGCCAGCTGGAGTTCCAGGTGGGCGTGGGCTTGGCGGGCCCTGCCCTCAGAGCAGCCTGCCGGCCCTGCCAGCCGCGTGCAATGAGGGGCTTAGCACCCGGGCCAGTGGCTGCGGAGGGTGTACTGGGTCCTCCAGCAGTACCAGCCCACCGGCGCTGTGCTCAATTTCTCGCCGGGCCTTAGCTGCCTTTCCGCGGGGCAGGGGTCCGTAACTGCAGCCCTCCATGCCTGAGCCCCCCACCCCCTCCGTGGGCTCCTGTGCGGCCCGAGCCTCCCTCAGGAGCGCCGCCCCCTACTCCACGGCGCCCAGTCTCATCGACCACCCAAGGTCTGAGGAGTGCAAGCGCATGGCGTGGGACTGGTAGGCAGCTCCACCTGCAGCCCCAGTGCGCGATCCACTGGGTGAAGCCAGCTAGTCTCCTGAGTCTGGTGGGGACATGGAGAACCTTTATATATAGCTCAGGGATTGTAAATACACCAATCGGCACTCTGTATCTAACTCAAGGTTTGTACACACACCAATCAGCACCCTGTGTCTAGCTCAGGGTTTGTGAGTGCACCAACTGACACTCTGTATCTAGCTGCTCTGGTGGGGCCTTGGAGAACCTTTATGTCTAGCTGAGGGATTGTAAATACACCAATTGGCACTCTGTATCTAGCTCAAGGTTTGTAAACACACCAATCAGCACCCTGTGTTTAGCTCAAGGTTTGTGAATGCAGCAATCAACACTCTGTATCTAGCTACTCTGGTGGGGACTTGGAGAACCTTTGTGTCCATACTCTGTATCTAACTAATCTGATGGGGACATGGAGAACTTTTGTATCTAGCTCAGGGATTGTAAACGCACCAATCAGTGCTCTGTCAAAACACACCCCTCGGCTCTACCAATCAGCAGGATGTGGGTTGGGTCAGATAAGAGAATAAAAGCAGGCTGCCCGAGCCAGCATTGGCAACCCCCTCAGGTCCCTTTCCACACTGTGGCAGCTTTGTTCTTTCATTCTTTGCAATAAATCTTGCTACTGCTCACTCTTTGGGTCCACACTTGCTTTTATGAGCTGTAACACTCACCGCGAAGGTCTGCAGCTTCACTCCTGAGCCAGCGAGACCACGAAGCCACTAGAAGGAAGAAACTCCGAACACATCCGAACATCAGAAGGAACAAACTCCAGACGCGCCACCTTAAGAGCTGTAACACTTACCGTGAGGGTCCGCGGCTTCATTCTTGAAGTCAGTGAGACCAAGAACCCACCAATTCTGGACACACCTGCACGCTCACCAAATCATCTGGTGGCTCCTTGACCAGAGGCAGATTGTGCGTCACACCCAGGTGTTGGTTGGCCGGGATCACAAACGATGATGAAGTCAGTCCTGCTAAGCTACATGATAGATTTGCAGGTCAGGCTAAGGAGCCTGGGTCTGCGGGAGGGGTCCGTTGTCTGGGTCAGGGTGAGATCCCCCTCGGACCCGGGGTGTCTCAGCGGGAGAGCTAGGAAGGGGAAATACATGCTTCACTCCAGCTAGCAGGTCACCTCAGCCCAGCTACATGAAATGGTCTTTTGAGTTCGTCTTCTTTCTCCATCTTGGCCAGGTAAGGGGAGGAACTCAGCCATCCCAGGTACCGACGGTAGGACGAAGTTTTCCTTTTGTCACAACCTTTATTTCCACAATGAAGTTATCGTTCAGGAGTATTGCCTTGGACTCCTCAGTAAGGAGTGCCTCCCAGCATGGTAGGGAAGCTGATGTGTGGGAGGGTATGTCTGTCATGAACCTTTCTGACATCTCTCTTTCCAGGATACAGGATGTCTCATTCCACTGCAGTCCAGTGGTTGTGGGATCATGAAGGTCAAGCCTCCAGCTGCAGGCGCTACACTTTCTACCTGAGCTTCTACGGTCGGTTGGCTGACCATGACTGCCCACGTTCTGGCAGGATTCCTGAGATGGGTGCCACAGTGGGACATCATGGGAAAGAACCTTGCCTTGGCCTCTGGGGAACTGACTTTGAGCCATGACCTGACCTGTCCTGTACCCACTTCTGCAGTACCCCAGATCATCAGCCAGAGCCTGCCATACTCAGGATGCCAGTTAGGGTGTTGCTCTTCCATGCCCACAATTCCAAAGGGCTCACAGTCCGCGTGTGCCAGGCTCAATCCCCTGCAGTACTTCCCCAGAGAGGGAGGCCATTAGAGAGGGAACAGAGAGGAGGCCAGGTGAGCAGTCTAGGGCTGGGGACTGAGAGGCCTTTGATTCCTGGAGTTGTGCCCCACGTGGAGAATCCAAGCCTCAGGGAGGTGACTGCAGTGAGCAATCCCAGGCCATCCATGGGCTGTTGGAGAAATGGCCATCAGGGAACTGTAACATCCTCATTTCAGGATTGGGGCACCTTAAGTCACCTAAGAGGCATAAGTGTCTAAGGTCAGAGGGTGAGAAGCAAGTCTCAAGGGGTAGCTGTCTCATCAAACTTAGAGGGCTCCCTTCCCTGCCCTGAGGCTGGCTACCACTTGAGACTCAGTTTGGGCTCAGCCAGGGCCCTCTCGCCCTCCAGGCAGATGTCCCCCCGAGGCAGATGTCCTCCCAAAATGGCTCTCTGAGGCCCATTGTTTTCTGTTACAATGACCCGAGGGTCCCCTGACATGCTTTCTCCCCTCTGCCATCGTCACTCACACTGCCCTGCCCCCCAGGGACAAGAGAGGCCACTGCACAGGGAATCTGGAAGACCACACTGGGCTCACAGGAGAGGAAATGTAAAGAGATTGCACAATGGCTGGGACCTTTGGTGTTTGTCCAGGGAGGGGAACTGGCTGGGATTTAAGGCCTACCTGAGTAGTGGTTTGGACACCCAGTGTTACTTATCATGATGAAGACCTGCTTTTTCACATCCCCTAATATTAATATGGAAGTTATTTTCTTAGAATAGAGAAACAATGAGTACAAAGAAACAGTGTTTGTTCTGATTCATATGGAAATGCTGCAGACGCATCCGTTTTCCATTACAATTCTTATGTGAGAATTGAAGTGTATATTGAGTTTTAGGATACATTTTGATTGTTCTACTCCTGGCAAATTTTGTGGTCATGTTTGCAATGTAGAGCCATAGAATCCAGAACATTTTTGAGTAACTTTCAGCTTCTTTTAGGGTACTTAATTGTACATTTTTATTTTCTCACCCTGTGGTTCTCTTCAGTTTATTATTTGAACTTTATATGCAAGCTGATAAATTTGTTTTCTTATTTGTCTCTTGTGGAAATTTGTTTTAAAGGACATTTTTTTCTGTTAGATATGTGAGTTTGACTGTGAGTACTTTTTCTAGTACAAATTTTTTATTTTCATTTGTTAGTTTTGTGTGTTTCTGTGTGCGTGTGTGTGTGTGTGTGTGTGTGTGTTTTTAGAAGGAGTCTTGCTCTGTCACCTAGGCTGGAGTGAAGTGGCAGGATCTTGGCTCACCTCAACCTCCGCCTGCCAGCTTCAAGCGATTCCCCTGCCTCAGCCTCCTGTAACAGAAAACGATGGGCCTCGGAGAGCCATTTTGGGAGGACATAGAGATGGGCCTCGGGGGGACATCCGCGTGGAGGGCGAGAGGGCCGTGGCTGAGCCCAAACTGAGCCCCAAGTGGTAGCTCCTCAAGTGGAGCTGGGATTACAGGCACATACCACCATGTCCAGCTAATTTTTGTATTTTTAGTTAAGACTGGGTTTCATCATATATGCCAGGCTGGTCTCCAACTCCTGACCTCAAGTGATCCACCCACCTTGTCCTGCCAAAATGCTGGGCTTACAGATGCAGGCCACCATGCCTGGCCTCACTTATGTGTTTATGTTTTTGAAGCCTCCCTCTATTTTCTTCATGGACACATATTTTAGAGTTATTGAAATAATATATTTTATTTATTTACTTAATACTTTAGTAGGATTTTAAAGGTAATGTTTTTATTCACTAAATGCAGTATTATGAATAGGTTAAAACCTTGTGTAGTATTGCCATTCTCTCTTCCATAAATTCTTCAAGAACTCTGATACTCTTTTTCCCCCACCTGAGGAGAACATGCAGATAGTTACAATAAATTGTGTGAGTGGGTATGAAAACATAATTTGAAGGCTGGGCAGGGTGGCTCACACCTGTAATCCCCACATTTTGGGAGGCCAAGACTGGTGGATTACCAGATGTCAGAAGTTCAAGACCAACGTGGTCAACATGGTGAAACCCCATCTCTACTAAATATTCAAAAATTAGCTGGGTGTGGTGGCAGGTGCCTGTAATCCCAGCTACTTGGGAGGCTGAGGCAGGAGAATCGGTTGAAGCCAGGAGGCAGAGGTTGCAGTGAGCCGAGATCGCACAACTGCACTCCAGCCTGGGCCACAGGAGTAAAACTTTTTCTCCACTGTCCTAACACCCCAAAAAAAGCATCAAATTTACATAATTTTCTTAAAAGCCAGCATAATTTTATTTTTATTGTAGTCATCACGGTCAGACATTGTTTATTTTGGAAAAGTGATTATCAAAATCTGAAAAATCGAGGCCTGATGAAAATATTTAAATTAAACACATTCCAGACGCCCAAATCTGAAAAGCAAAGGTGTTTCTGATATAATAGCCCAAATTCTGCATTTCCTCTCTATTGGACAGTGTAATATTGCACATATGAAAAACAAATGCAGTGTTAAATAAAAAGTAGTGGAATTAAGAGGAGTCATTGCTTAGTGAATTAAAACAACACACAAATTGAGAAGAAAAGACAGTGATAGAAAATATATTGTCTGTTGATTTAATTCACAATAATTTTCATTTTTGTCTATTAGCATTAAATAGTACCATTAACATAATATCATTTTGTATATTGTCTTCTAACATGAAAGTGGTTTTTATTTTATATATTTGGAAACCTGATCAAAGATTCTTTATACATGTTATTTTTTCCCAAATTTGCTACCTAATAGCTACCTAGTGCTAGTTGCCTGGATACCTCTCACTAAGTAGTTTGTCTTTTCCTATTAATTTTAATATGAACTTGTTGTGTATTTTGTTGGCATCTTTACTAAATCTACAGGTGTTGAAGTTGTTCAGATTTCAGTCATGGATCCTCTTGGGTTTTCTCAAGGCTAAAACACCCTTTCTATGCTGACCATTAAGAAATTCCCAACTTCAGGCCAGATCTTTGTTCTGCCTTCAGACTTGGCATATCCAACTGCATGCCTTACATCTCCACATACCAAAACCAGACCTTCATTTCATGCCCAAAACATGTTTCCTCGTACAGTATTCCACTATTTCAGAAATTCACAGCACCAAATACCCTGTATTTCAAGCTAGGAATGTAGAGGATGATCCTTGAGGCAGCCTTTTCTCAATGACACTTCATCATTCACATCCAACTCTTCACAGGTTGTGTGTCCTCTCCGAGAATTACAGTCTTAGTAAATAAAGAATGGCCACTAAGTAACCTTCAATCATCCACTTTTTTTTGAATTCATGTCAGTTTCTTTACAGAACAGCTGGAGCTCTGCAATGTCAATGTTGGAGTAAGTACTATTATCTGCCAGTATTACTATTTTATTTATCATGAGATAAATGTCCCTTAAAAATGCCCACACAAAGCTATACTAAGTAACACAATTAAATGATGTCTTTTTTTACGGATAAGTACAAGGCAAATAGAATCAATTGTTATAATATGATCCTTACAACTACACACACAGGTCCTAGATATTTTGGACCCCACTTCATACATCTGAAATTTGAGTCTCAAAATAATTAACTTCTCTTAAAGTCTAATTTCAGATTACAAAACTACCTCTTTCCACAATATTTTGCTATCTCCCTTTAAGAACCAGCTGGGGAATCATTAAGAATAAAAAAAAGTCATTTTCTTCAACATCTCCTAGCTGAGCCAAAATCTAAATTTTCTGTGGAGGTGTTGTTAATGTGCAATTTCGCCAAAACTTTTACAACTTAATCCACAGTTATGCTTCAGTGGCCTACCTGTCATCCAATACCTGCACACCTGCTTTAACACAGGAAAATTTGGAAGTTAATACAAGTATTAAGTCTTATCATTGTAGACAATGACATATGAAGACACTTTCCAATCTTCCTTGAATATATGATACTCAAGATGTCAGTACAGTCTCCGAATTGTCAATGTAATCTTAGTAGCAGTGGAACATTTACAGAAGGTAATTTTGTGAGAGTGGTCAAATATTTTTATTAAATACTGCTATTTTATAACCATAAATAGCATTAACTGACCCATGGTATATAGCTAGAAATATGTTTCTAAAGAAAATGTTCAGAAATAGGTTTCATGTATTTTGCTAAATTGCAAACTAACAGGTTAATTACTACCGTGAAGTGCTAGATAGTTGGAGTAGTATTTACCAAGAATGAAAAAGAATATAGGGCCATATGACTTGAGAAGGCTGGAGTTAGGAAAAGATAAGGTATTTACTCCTGACTCCTGGCTTGATGTTCTTTGTGTGTTTTTTTATTCTTTTTTGGTTCATTTTTTGTTTGTTTGTTTGTTTGCTTGTTTCTTTGTCATTGCTGTTTTACGTTCTCTTATGTGTCAGACCAGAGTTTCATAAATATCCCCAAATAATTTCGTGGGTCATAAAATATATATCTAGATACTTCTAGCTATTTTCCTTCAAAATCTTGGTTCAATAATCTGAAATGAGACCTAGAGAACCTGTAATTCTCACAAGTATGCTAAGTGATTATTGCCAAAATGACAATTGTGAAATATTTAGAAAACCATCTAGGAGCTAGGTAATCAATTTTAATAATTGATTCTTACTGTAAGCGTAAAGGATTTCGCTGAAATGACTATTTAAATGCAACTTTTATTAAAAAGATAGAATTGAGCACTTCCGTGCTTTCTAATTAGTATCTTTAAAGTATGTTTTCCTAAAGTGGCAAAATTATGTTTTCATTTGAAGTCAGCATTATGGCCACAAATGACTTCTGAGTTAGCTTTTTGAAAAATCTTCAGATCATAAATTCTAAAAATTATCTTGGGTGTTTATAAAACTCCAGAAAATGACTAAGACAATATAAATAAAAATACCAGTATCCAAAATAATCAAAATAAGTCTTACAAATATACAAGAAAACATATATACAATCTAGCCCAGTAGAAGAAAGCAGTACAGGTAAATAGTTAGATCCTTTTTAGAAAGGAATAAAGTCAAATGACCAAGGAAAAATGGCTAGATGCTTGAGCTCATTAGTAATCCAGGGACGTAAATCAAAACCACATTGGGCACCAACTTTTGTTCATTAGCTTGGCAACTATTAAAATAATAATACTGAGTGCAGTCAAGAATGTAAGGAATGGTAATTTTTTTCCATCAATCCACAGGACTATCTAGTGACATTTATTGAAATTAGGGTGACTAAAACCTTTATTGTCCCAATAGAAAGTTTTTTTAGGATAAAAGAGTACTAACATATATAAAATCATTTATTATTTAATTTATTGTTTTATCAATTTATTATTTATTTCCTTACAGTCAAATTGTTTTTACTATATCAATAGATCTATGAAATAGTTATCTTCCAACTATTTTTGAAAATCAAATGCTTTCAAAAATTTAAAACCACAATTACATATCTTGATGCAAAACAGAAAAATAACTTCTTTACATTGTTATTTAAATATTAGAAATAGTAGGCAGAATAATAATTCTGGAACATATTTATGTGAATTAATCTGTTTCTTAACAATAATTATCCATAGTTCTTTTCTGGAAAATGCATATCTTTTAATTTTATATTGACGTTTAAATGAAGTTACTTGCAAGCTTTTCCAAAATTGCTGCTTCTTGTCACCAATAAAAGTCATCGACAATGTTTAGTTTTTTAACTGAACATGAAAAACTATTTATCACATTGTTCAATGTTTCATTTCTGGAACAATAAGATTTCAACAGCTTTATTTTGGTTCCAATGATTGATGAAAAATTCAAACCATTTTTTCATTTAATTTTCTGTTTGAAGCGTCTAAATGGCATTAATCAATGCTTTTGGAATTTCTTTGGTAGTTAATGGAGTTAACATACTAACAACTACTCATGCATATTTCTTAACTGCAGAAAAATTAAAATTAAAAAATATACACAATTGATTAAAAAAATAGTAATGTGATGTAAATAAAAAGCCAAGTATCGCAGAATTATATGCTTAATTTTTTTCCAAATTCACATATTAAACCTGTTGAAATGTCATCTTCAGGCATAGTTTTCTTAATGTAACTAAGTGTTTCCTTCTGAAATAGCAGCTGGTTTTTCCCCTCAATCCTCTATATTCTGGATTTCAGGATATCACTTTTAGCCTTGTGGTCCCAACATGGACTACAAGGCTTTACGATTACACCATGACACTTTTCAACCCATAATTTAATTGAAAGGGAAATTGTTTTTATTAATAATTTAAGTAATTAAATCATTTAGTTAAATAGTTTAATTAATTAGTTTAATTAATAGTTTAATTAATTAAAACTATTAATAGGGAATAGTTTTTAATTAAATATGTAGTTGCATTTTTTTAGGTCATTGCTGCTGAAACAGATTTTTAAAAAAATAGTCATTAGCAAACAGCCCATAAATAAATAGTTGTAGGGTATATGAGAAATGATAAAACCACTGTGGCCAGACCAATTAACAACTCTCTGTGTGCTAAGCTGCTATTTCCAGTACATAATTTACATATACCTAACCTATTATTTCCTTCATTTTCCCCAAACCTACCATATGATGATCTGGGAGTGTCATTAAGTGGACCACATACAAAACAAACAAACAAACAAAAACTATGTCAAATACTTCTCCCATCACCAGGCAAGATTGGATGGAACTACCCATCCCTAGGCACCATGTACTCAGTGCATATTGATTTATTATTACTCACTCTGCTGCATGCTTCCTTGAAAAAGTAGCAGAATCTATGTTTTGTGTGAACTGTGTCAGGAAAATAAAGTTGATTTTCAGATTTGTCTCCCCACTAAAGTCATCATTCTGTTAACATTTTATTTTTCTCATGTACTGATAGAGGCCTCACAATAGCTATAATTATTAAACAAAATGAACATTTAACACTCATGCTGGTTCTAATCAATGTAACATAATAATACTTCATTAAAAATGAGAAATCTAAGACAAGTGCTAAGCCAATTAGCATGGATGAAAAATATTAATAAAGTGGCAGTGCAGGGAGCTAATGAGAATATTTCATTCCCTCAAAGTTAAAATGGTACACACACTGCAGTCCAGCCATTCTTCTAATGTATTCATTAGAAACTGTCACACCTGTGTATTCGGAGGCATAGGGAAGGTTTTTCATTGTAGCATTTCAATAAACACATCGTGGAACATGAGAATTCAGTAGACTGAGAACTATGCCATCAATAATGGCAGCTCTCACCAAGAATGTTAACAAAAAATATGCAAAATAATACACACCTTATAATATTCACATAAATATTAAAAATTTACAAAGCACCAGTATTATTTACAAATAAATATTTTAATAAATTTAAAAAATACAAAGGTAATAACAAGTTCATGATAATGGTGCCTCTGGAAATGGAAGAAAGGAAACAAACCTGAGGGCATATATTCCAATTACAACCAGAGGTCATGTAAATAGAACAGGAAATGTATCAATAGCTGTTATTTTTAAGTGGGGTTAGTTGGTATTTCTTATATTATTTTGTATTTGTATATATTTTTTAAATTTTACTCAAAAACAAATTAATTTTATAATGAATAATATACCATTTACATTGGAATCATCTTGTGAACTAATTGCTTTAAAACTCCCCCGTCCCCATTGCCACTTCCAAGGAATTAAAAAAATTAAAAATTAGAATGTGGTATTTTTAAAAGAAAAATATTTTACAAGTATGAAATAAAATATTTTACCAGCACATCACATTTTTTGACTGATTATCCATGTAAAATCATGTAGTAGGAGAAGAGAGAAGGACACAGGCAGAATTTCACGTATTAGTACAGGAAATAATTGAATGTTTATTTCAAATACCTTCTTAAGACATACTAGTGGCCAAGAAACATAACAAAAGTGCTCAACATCACTGATCATCAGAGAAATCCAAATCAAACTCACAATAAGATACCAGTCAGAATGACTATTTTTATTAAAAAGCCAAAATAATAATAATAAGAATAATATATGCGGGCAAGGTTGCAGGGAAAAAGGAACTCATACCCTGGTGGTGAGAATGTTCAGTCACAGTGGAAAGCAGTTTGGGGATTTCTAAAAGAACTAACAATAGAACTACCATTTCATCCAGCAATCCTATTACTATGTATATGCTCAATAGAAAATAAATCATTAAAGCTATCGAAAAGACACTTGAATTCTCATATTCATCACCATAGTGAAGACATGGAGTCAACCTAGGAGCTCATCCACGGTGGACAGGATGAAGAAAATGTAGTACGTATGAACCCTGGAATTGTACACAGCTATAAGAAGAAAAAATCATGTCCTTTGAAGAAACATGGATGCAGCTGGAGGCCATTAACCTAAGCAAATTAATGAAGAAACAGAATATCAAATATAGAATATTCTCACATATGAATAGGAACTAAAACTTGGGTGCACACAGAAATAAAGATAAGAACATTAGACACTGGGGACTCCAAAGTGAGGACAGAGGGAGAGGGGCAGGGGCTGAAAATCTTCCTATTGGTTTCAAGGTTCCCTATCTCGGTGATGGGATCAATAGAAGACTAAACGTCAGCATCACACAATATACCTTTGTAACAAGCCTGCACATGTACTCTCTGAATTTATAATAAAAATGGAAATAAAAGTAAAATAAATTATTAAATGAAATAATATATTACATTATAGAATGGACCTTATTTCAGTGATACATAACTGAAACATGCTAATAAAATGGGATGGCTACCTTTGTGCAAATTAACTAGACTTTAGTTGCACTAATTAAGAGAGCAATAGCTGAGACAATCAAAAGATAATAGACAAGTTATAATTGATGTCAAAATTCTACCTTATTATATTACCTTCGAAATCATATCCAAAGTTTCCTTCTAGTTTGAGAAACCTCTCTCTACATATATATAGAACAAAATTGCTTTTGCAGATTAGCATGATTTTAATAGAGCAAATTTCATCTTCAAATTTCATAAGCACCTTCCAATCCATAAGACACTGTTAGAAAAAACTGTCAATCGGGCTAGACACACATTTCAAAGAGCCTATGAGGTTGCAAATCACTTATGCCTCACTCTCGTGTTACCAAGATAATGCAAAGCACTTATATAGTGTTTCTTAGCTTGAAAGAGCCTAGGAACTTTAACTAATTAATCCTTAGACTACCCAGTGAGAGAGTGATAAGAAGCCCCTTGAAGAGATCATTTAACTATATAATTCACACTTGCTTAAATGTAATTCAGCATATGTGCCGTGTTGTGTTTCCCTGCTTTCTATTTCAATCTTCAGAGAAATAATATTTATGTGTGACTATATCATGCATAGGCATCTATTATGAATAAAATTATGTAGACTGCACTCTGACTGCCACTAAAAGCTAACAGATATATGTACGTCCAACACATAAAATACATCTGGTACATTCTGCTGTATTTTCTTTTCTTATTCATTTCATATCTCATTTTCAGGTATTTCAGAGTGGACTTCTCAGATTTGAATAGGCTGAAACTTTTTAAATGAGGAATATACAATTCTCTTGTTAATTTTTATAATTAGTTTTTTGGAAAGTGTATTAAAACTAAATGTTTATAATTATGCTGAATATAAAAGAATATCATATGTGAATGCTTCACCCAAATGAAAGACTATTTAACTATTCTATTTAGAATTCTCTCTAGTAGGATTTCCTTCTCTGTAGGTAGCTGGCTACAGGAGTCTACCAAAACAAATCTATTTCTGCAGTAAATACCAACACTGGCTTCCTCAGGAAAGCACTCTTTCAGGCTGCAAAACACAATACATCTTTTCCCTGAGCAGGATAAATTCTTATACAGTTTTACTGTTCAACTAAAATGTCAATTAAAGTTAATCATTTTCCTTTTTATTACAAAGAGAATCTCATTACTTTCTAATTACTTGCCCGAAATCTATTCTCTATAACTATCTAAAATTACATAGACATACACACATGCATACAAAAGAAACAGTACAACTGGACGACCAACCAATGTGTACACGTGCTCTGTTTTAGAAAAGTTTCTACTGTACTATTTGCAGTAAGGTTATAGTTGTAATTCAATCAATGACCTATTTTAAATGAGTGCCTAGAACATCACTGGGGAAAGTGTGTACAATGCAAGAAACATTTCCCTATGCATACACTTTATTTGTAAATATGTTTATACTGATAGTTAAAATGGTTAACTTTGTTGTCAAATATTGATACTGGCTAAAGTTTTGTTTCTTAATATATTCTTCTTTAACTTTTTCCAGTATGTTTTGAAATGTCTTTCATATATTTACTCTAATTTCATCTGGGAATAGATAGCCAAAGATAAATGGAGAAAACCATTTTTTTCCTATAAATTTATCATCTCCTGAGTGTCAAACTTGTCATGAAAGGAGAGATGCATCCTCTGCTCTTACTTTAGGACCAGACTTTCCACCAATAGATTATAAATGTGAAAATATCTGGCTACTTATAGCCACTGTTCTGCAGAAAACACTATTACAGTCTGAGATTGAACCCTAAGAATTGGCCTTGGGAACTTTGAGACTCTGGTCAACTAATTTATTAGCTAATTTCTAAGGGTGTTCTCTGTTGCAAGAGTTATTGACTCTTTAGTCAAACACTCTATCATGGAAAAATCTAACCTAGTGGGCCGTTTTGTTGTGAGATGGTAATAAATAATAATAAAAATATTCCTGGAATGCAGATAGCCAGGACTATAGATAGGTCTTCAAGGAACAGTCCTCTCAGTAACAATGTGAAAGTTTGTCTGAATTTCCATTTCCACATTATGATAATTATGCCACATTATGTAGCAATTCTGTAAATTATTTCTGGTTTTGAAAAACTTTACTCTTGAATGTGGATTTATGTTTAAAAGATAATATTGTTTCATAGGACCATTTGCATGTATAAATTATGCATCATTTTATGGGAGCTCATACATGGACATCTCATACAGAGCAAATGATGAGACAGATGTGTGAGATGCATTAGGGTGGTTGAAGAAGAAGCACTGTTTCCACTCTCTGGGTCTCTAATTTCCAATAAGACAAACTACAAAATAATTACAAATAAGAGTTTAAAGAAGAATGACTCAATTTCTTGCGTCTGATTGCTGTTTTGTATCCTATAAAAACTTTATGCTCTATCTAAGACTTGAAATGTTTTAAACATTAGATGTTGGTCTTTAGGACACCAAGTGGAAGCCAGGGGACACATGCAGTTGCTGCCTGGGGGATCTTGTCTAACGGAAGAAGTCAGTAACAGGCAGCTGAATGGGCAGTGGGCCAGTACCAGGTGTTTAGCTGAGACTTGTATAAGTTTTTCAAAAATTCCCAGAAGTATTTGACAGAAATGAAACTGGTTTACCAATGCTCTTTAAAAAAATCAGCTGAAGAACATCCTATAGTGTCCTGAAGAGAAAAATGAGCAAGGCACATAATTTGAGATAGCAAAAATACTAGGTGACTGCAGGAGCATAGAAAATCTCAGGCAGCTGTTTCACATGACTAGCAAAATACACTATTAAAATAGTTGCATAAACTAGGAGTTGGTAACACTGGGGAAAACCAAGATGTGGGCAAAGCTGGCTAGGAACAACTGGACTCAACATGGTGATGAATTTCAGTTAGGTTTCACCTTGGAGAAAATAGCAAAAAAGTCACTGCTACTACCATGCAGCAGAGCAACTGATCAAAGGCAGCAACTGCCTAACTATGGCTGGTTCACATGTGAAAAATAGAAATCCCTTACTTACTTTTTATGTTATCTGAAGTAAAAGCATTCCTTACTGATACAACGTTTCATTTTCTTCCTTATTCTCCACCATTTTTTTTCTTCTCACATTACTTATAGCTTGTAACTTATTTTGTCAAATATATACAATGAGATAACACTGCAGTATTACAGAAAGCACACTGCATGGGAAACAGACTCATATTGAAACGGGAAAAAGTCCCTAATCCCCTCTCCCGCGGGGCGTGCAATGAGGACAGGTTGTGGGGATTTGATCCCAGGCAGTGTCTAGGGGTGAATGTTTACAGCTCCTGAATCCCCAGAGGGCATGTGTTACATGGTCCATTCGTAGGTGGCTTGTGTTAGTCAGCTCCATCAGACATCCTGACTTACTGCAAAGACAGAAGGCTATCTGAATCCCGGGGTTTATGGCCTTGGTGTACCTGAAGAATTGGCTCACACGTGGGCTTGGAGAATAAGTGCAAGGTTTCATTAAGTAGAGGTTGTCAGCAGATAGATGGGGACCCAGAAGGCAGATGGAGCGGGAAGGTAGTTTTCCCTTGGAATGGGACAGGTCAGCGCTCTCTTCCCACAGCTCCTCGAAACTCAGTGTTCTTCTGCGGTGGATGCCCTGCAGCCTCAGTCTCTGTGCTCTCCTTCCTCCGGTGTCTTCTCGAGGTCCAGTTGCTGTGTCTTTTTCTGCTAATGGTCCCTCTAGACGTCCAGCTGCTGTGTCACTGCCTGCTAGGATCTGGGGGTTTCTTATATCACAGGATGGAGGTGTGGCAGGATGGAGGTGTGGCAGGCCAGGGTGGTCTTGGGAAATGCAACATTTGGGCAAGAAAACAGAAGTGCCGTCCTCACCTAGGTCAGTGAGCACAGGCCTGAGGGTGGAGCCCTAGCCAAGGAACACGCCCTGCTCTACCCAGCACTTCCCTGTCCCCCTTCCACATCAATATATTTTATTTAAATCTCCAAAAATAGCACCCAAATCCTTTAGAGAAGACAATTGGAGAAAATGGCATTAGAAGAGCTAGTCTGGGATTATGGTCACTACATGGAAAACGGAAACACACGGAGTGTTTCCCGCAGGCCATGGAATCACTGCTGAAACGTATCCCCTGCTGAGAAGGACAGGGAAACAAACTGGCTTCTCTCATGTTCTTGTTCTCTAATCTCTGCAGTGTCACCGCTTGACTGAACTGAAACAGGAAGTAATTTTTATGGGAGCCTAGGAACCATGCCTCACAGGGGCCAGGCCTCTCTATTACAGAACAGTGCCAGGAGAGGTGATTGACCTCTGTGGTATCTGTGGGCATATAAACCCAGGAGCACACACAAAGGAAGATCAGAGAAAAATATAATATCAAAGGGTCAAGAGAGGAGCAGTCTGAGGAATGATTCATGCATGATATTTGTGAAAAGACCAAAAAGTAAAACGGAGCTTATGAGGTAGTAAACTAAGAAGAACATAGAGAAAAACAGTCAAAATCGTAAAGTCAAGGGTATTTACCTTTCCTTTTAGGATTTTTAAAATCCCTTCCAGAACGCTTTTCCCAATATCCTTTATTCATTGATTCATTCAAGAAATATTTATGGTCTAAGAATTGGGCAGATGGCATCATATGCACTGTTAGTACTTCTATCATTGACAGAAAGAATGTTTCTTTTCTCCCACAATGTTTTTCTCCTAAACATTGTTCTTGCAAATTTGTATTCTTACAGATCCTGTTCTTTGTTCCTGCCGTAAGAAGCTTCCCCACACCTGTCTTAACCCAGTTAAGAACTTCTTTCCTCTCCAACTAAGTTATTAAGTTTTATATGTTGTAACACTTGTCACAGTACATTGCAATTATTGTTCTTCTCTTCATTCTCCAATTAAGCTATGAATGTTTTGAAGGAAAAGGCTATAAAGACAATGACTTGACATTTGTCAGTAATTATTTCACAAACGATTATTAGATATTTGTACATAATATTCTAACATATTTATCTTGATTTTTGGAAAACAATATAAACCATTTTCTCTGCCCATTCCCCATGAACTGCTCAATTTTAAACAATGTCTATGCTCTTGGAGCAATTATACAAACTTTCAAAAAACACCTGAAAGTGTTTTTGTTTTGTTTTGTTTTATTGTATTATTTTTTAGAGACAAATTCTTGCCTGGTGAAGTGCAGTGTGCCTTGACTGCTCACTGCAACCTTGAACTTCTGAGTAACTAGAACAGATGCGTGTCATGATGCCCTATTTAATTAATTAATTACTTTTGTAGAGTTAGGTCTTGCTAGGTTACCTGTGCAGGTCTCCAACTCAGCCTGAAGCAGTCCTCCCTTCTCAGCCTCTCAATTATTGGGATTCCAGGCATGAACCACTGGACTTCAAAGAGGAAATTTTAGATTTTAGAATATTGCAATATGTTATACTTAATTTTTTTTTCAAGTTTGCTGTTGCAGTGGCACTTGAGAATAATTATTTCTTATGGTGAAAGTGTGATTTCTTGTATCTAGTCATCTACTTTTAAAATCTTTATTCTGTTTACTTAAACCCTAATAACTGGTAGTCAGCTCAGCTGAAAACGGATTCCATGGGTGTTTTGTGTTGAGGTTATTAAGACAAGTGTAGAGAGATATTAAAGACAAAAGACATTTACTTTGTATATAAAACACTTATCTTTTTATTATGGCCATATATTTGAATAATTATAATAGGCATTTGATATGAGAAGGATTATGTATTGCTTAGTATATCTCAGGTGTTATCTAGGCAAATCTATATTTCTTGAGTCATATTATCCCATAGTAGAGTATTGTGAGCTAAGTACAGTTACCTTCCCACTTTACAGATACACTGAAAGTTATCTAAGCATTCACAGTTCATAGGAAGATTAAAACAAGCTGATAGAAATATCAGTTATACAATAGAGTAAGAACTCATTTTTTTCTTGCAAATAGTGAAACATTTGTTTGTTTTAAATAAAAGAGGTACTGGGGAGAATGAAAATGGTAATATTACACACCACTTAAGTTGCCTCCCTAGAGGCACAAACATACACTTGAGCACATGATTGGGATGTCATGTTGCCAGTATTGTTTAGATTTCTCTGCTTTGAAACATTTATGCTAAGGCTTCATCCTTGCAGATAGGGCATCATATATGGCATGGGTAGTTTTTAAAAATATCTTGAAATGCATACTTTAATAACTAATTTTCCAACTTTGTTTTAATCAGGGGTCGATGATATGTGGCACTCCTAGTAAGTAAATGAATGTTTGAAGTGCTGTGAGTTATTTTAGCAATTGCTCAGTTTACCATTTAAGTTATCAAAGATCTTTACTTGTGCAATATCATAAAAATGTGGGACATTAAAAATTAATAACAGGATTTATGTAACTAAAAGCTGCCATCTAATATGATATTTTTCAGTAAGATGACAGCAGCAATTACGCTGAAAAATAGTCATTCCCATAGTTTGAGCCATTATAGCAATTTCCACCTGGGGATTTCACAGTCAGATTCCAGTTCTGGACAACAGTGATTAACGTAACGGTTATTAATGAGAAGAGATTTTGAGATGTGTAGCCGTGTTTAGATGTCAGTGCCTTGAAGCAACGGATTTGGCATATTAGTAAGAAAGAGTGCTTTGGACTGGATAATAAGAAACATATTGAATTGTCTTTCTTGTCCTCTATAGCATGAAAAGTCAGTCAGAGATATAGAAACAATGGAACATTTCACAGCATGGCCTACATTTCACTTCACTTTTATCCTTTTAACCATGCACAAAGTTTATTAAATATGCAAAGTAGGAATGCTATAGGAAGAAAGAGTAGTCGTCAGAGGTCACAATCCACAGCAAGGTGACAGTGTCTTGTGGATCGCACCCTAAGTGCTAATTAGAGTGAGAATCTACTTTCAGGTTGCCAGCATGGAACAAGGAAAATGAAGCTATCAGCAGTTAACATTATTGTATTAATTGAAATGAATGCTGACAGAGATTTTGTTGGCTTTACAACAAATTGAATATGGATAATGTAACCGCTTATCAAATTTCATGCATATAAAATTGTGGATTAATTAAAAAATTACACAACCCATATATTTTGGGTATCTCATATAAATTTCTATGTACATGTGCAAACTTGCAGTGTGCAAATATGTGTCTACATCTAAACATGTACAACTGCATTGACCAACAGTTAGAAAGTTAGAAATTATTCTCCCATTTTACCATTTCCTTTCCTTGAAGTTTGTCACAAATATAATTTTTCCATCTGTTCGAAGCCTACTCTCTGGAGGCGTGTAATGTATGGATACAGTAAAGCCATAAAATAACACAGGGTTTGTATTAGACAAAACAATAACACTCGTGTTATAAAAGACCCATTGTGAGAAGAAAGTTATACTTCACATTACTACAAATACAGAAGTATGCTTTCATCAAAAGCTGAAATCAGTCAATATAATTTGTTTTTAATGTTTTATTTAAAATAATTTTAAAAGGATTACTCAAGTAGAATAACAGTATTGGTAATAAATAATGTTGAAGAATTCCCTTTAATTTGTTGATTATTTAAACTATAAGTAAAACACTAAAAAGTACTATGTAATGTAGTTTAATGAAGACTCTTTATGGTTTTCATAAAATAAATAGTCTCAATGGAATATTTTAATACTGAGAAAATTTCATATATCATTGTATTGTACTTTCACTTTATTACTTGCTTGCATGTCATAACTGATGGAAATAAAAATATTTCTGTTTACACATATGCAAAAAGTGGATTTTTGTTTATGTTTTCTAGTGAGACAAAGTTACCAATAATTTCATCTGTATGGGAAAATTTTTACAAGCCCAAAGTTCTTAACTTTCTTTTCTTTTGACGTTTCATATTTCAGTCTAGGTATGACATGGAATTGACTGTGATCATTCTTTGATTTCACTGTCATTACTGAGTTTCTGATACAGTGTTAGGAATGTATAGACTTTAAACCTTGCTTTCTTCTTCTTCTTCGTCTCCCTTTGGACCTGTATATGTGATTTCTGCAGTAATGTGCATCGTTATCTGACATACAGTTGCTGAAAGATACAAGCATAAATATAATTCTTAGTGTCAGTGAATCTTTAGGAACAGACAAGTAAAACTGAAAGATAATTATGGTATGAATGTTAGTAAACTGTTTATCACAGAGGTACAATAAGGGTGAAAATAAATTTAAAAATACATGCCTCATACAACATATTGAGGTAGTAAAAATGAAAAACTTAATTTGACATAAAGAACAGTTTAAAAGTTATGATTATTTCTGGTGACAACAAGTAGCTCAGAAACCATGAGGAACTCCTGCAAAGCTACAAGATGGATTTGCAGGTCAGGATGTGGGCCATGGGGGAGGGTTCCAAGGTCCTGGTCAGGTTGAGGTCCTCCTGGAGCATGGGGGTGTCTCAGTGGGAGAGCTGGGAAGGGGAAACACATGCTTCACCCCAGCTAGCAGGCCACCTCAGCCCACCTAGATGAAACTGTCCCTTGACTATCCTCTTTCTCCTTCTTGGACAGGCAGGTGGAGGAACTCAGCCATCCTGAGTACTGGTGGAAGGATGAAGTTTGCCTTTCATCGCAACATTTACTTCTGCAACGAAGTGATCATTAAGGAGTACTGCATTGGAATTCTCAATAAGGAGTGCCTCCCCGCATGGTAGAGGGGGTGGTATGTGGGAAGCTAGGTTTGGCATGAGCCTTCCCAACTCCTCTCGCTCCAGGATAGAGGGTGACTGGCTCCACTGTGTCCAGTGGTTCTAGGGTTATGCAAGTGAAGGCCCCAGTTTCAGGCAGGACACACCTAACTGAGTTTCTTCAGCTGGTTGGCTGATGGTGACTGCCCAGGGTATGAAGGGTTGCTGAGGTGGGGTGGCGGTGGGGCATCATGGGAAAGGACCTTGCTGGTCATTGCTTGGTGTCGGAGGAATTGGCTTTGAACCAGAACCTGACCTGTCACGACCACTTTGCCCAGTCCCCCAGATCATCAGCCAGGGCCCGTGGCTCAATCTCATGCAGCACTACCCAAGGGAGTTAGGCCCTCAGAGAGGGAACAGAGAGGAGGCTGGGGAGCAGCCCAGGGCTGGGGGATGAGAGGCCTGTGGGTCCTGGAGCTAGGACACATAGTGAAGCCAAGGCTCAGGGAGGAGACTGCGGTAAGCATACTCAGACCATGCATGGGCTGGGGGAGAAAGGCCCATCAGGGAACTGTAGTACCCACATTTCAGGATTGGGGAACCCTAAGCCACTCAAGAGGCATAAGTAACTAAGGTCAGTGGGTGAGAAGCCAGGCTCAAGGGATAGCTGCCTCATCATCCCTTGCTAGCTTCCTTCCCTGCCCTGAGGCCTGCTACCACCTGAGGCTCAGTTTGGACTCAACCAGGGTGCTCTCACCCCCCACACAGGTGCCCACCTGAGGCCCATCTAGGTCTATATCCTCCCAGAATGGCTCTCCCAGGCCTGTCAAGTTCCATTTTGATGACCCCAGCCTCCCCAGACATGCTTTCTCCCTTCTGCCATCCTCATTCACCCAGCCCCTGCCCACCCCCAGAAAAGACAGGCCACCACACAGGGAATCTGGAGGACCACACGGGGCTCACAGGGCAGAAAATGTGAAGAGATGGCAAAATGGAAGGGGACCTTCTGTGTGTGTCCAGGCAGGCAATCTGGCTGGATATTAAGGCCCACCTCACTATTGGTGATGACACCCAGCGTTTCTTGGCCCTGAACATGTGCACACAAACACACACATTGTCCATGGCATTGACATCAATACTACCTAAGCGATCCTCAGATTCTACGCAACCCCTATAAAAATATCAGTGACCCATTCTTCATAGAAAAACAATCTGAGAATCCTAAATTTGCTATGAAATGGCAGGAGATCCTGAAGACTCAGAGCAATCCAGTAAAAAGTTCAAAGCTGGAGGCATCATACTACCTAACTTCACAATATACTACAAAGTTTTATGTACCGAAATAGAACAGCACTGGCAGAAAAGCAGAGACATGAGCTAATGAAAAGCAACAGGGGACCAGAACTAAGTCACTGCATTTACAGCACAGGACCTTTTCCCAAAAAAGCAAGAACGCCCAATGCAAAATCAAGTATCTTCTATAAACTAGGTTGGGGAAAACCTGAATATCCACATAAAGGATTTTACAAGTAGATTATTTCTCACCAAACTCCATTGTCAGACCTGCAATGATAAAAGTACCAGAAGAAATCACAAGGAGGAAGTTTCATGACATCCGTGTGGGCAATGAGGGTCTCAAAGTGACTGCAAGAGCACAGTAAACACCATCAAAAATAGAGAATGGCATTATATCAAACTAAAGTGCTTCGGCACACCAAAGGAAACTAAACAGAGAGAAGGGACATCCTACAGGATGGGAGAAATTATTGGATTACCATATGTCCGTTAGTGGGTGAATATTTACAATACATAAGGAACTCCAACAACTCAATAGCATGAAAACAAATGGGCTAAGGATGTGAATACTCGTTTGTGAAACTAAGACAAACAATTTCCCAAAAGACACACTAAAAAGCACTCATCATCCCTAATCCATCAGGAAAATCAAACCACAATGAGATTTCATCTCACTTCAGTCAGAATGCTTATTATCCAAAAGACAAAAACAAAAACAAAAAACCAAAAAAAAAAAAAAACAAAAAAAAACTCATTTCTGCTAAGGATGCAGAGAAAAGGAAATCATTGCACACTTTTAATGAGAATGTAAATTAGTGCAGGCATTACAAGAAGTTTTATGGATTTTATTTAAGTATAGAATCGCTGGGCGTGGTGGCTCACGCCTGTAATCCCAGCACTTTGGGAGGCCGAGGGGGGTGGATCACGAGGTCAGGAGGTAGAGACCATCCTGGCTAACACGGTGAAACCCCGTCTCTACTAAAAATACAAAAAATTAGCGGGGCGTGGCGGCAGGCGCCTGTACTCCCAGCTACTCGGGAGGCTGAGGCAGGAGAAATGCATGAACCTGGGAGGCGGAGCTTGCAGTGAGCCGAGATCGCGCCACTGCACTCTAGCCTGGGCGACAGAGCGAGACTCCATCTCAAGAATAAAAATGGAAAAAGAGTCTCCAGAAATCTACAAGTAGAACCACCCACCATATGATCCAGCAAATCAGAATACCGGGGCACATGCAGAGGTACACAAATCAGTATGCTGAAGCGGTGCGTGCACCCATGCAATTATTGCTGCACTCTTTACAGTTTCGCTATGGCCAAGATACGGAAGCAACTTGAGTGTCCCTCAATTGATGAGTGGATAAAAAAATAGGGCACATAAACACAATGGAAAAATGCCCTGCATTGTCAAAGAAGGAAATCCTGCCAGTTGTGACAATGTGTGTGAATCTGGTGAATGTGTTCATGCCACTTTGTTAAGTGACATAAGCCAGGTATCAGAAAGGCAAATAGCCCACTACCTCATTCCTATATGAAATCTAAAAGCAGATCTCACAGAGGTAGTGACTCCAGTGGTTGGGGTGGTGTTTAGTGAAGAGAGTATACTGAGGAGATGTTGGATCAAGAATACATATTTCTAGTTAGAAAGGAGGAATTGGTTAAAAACCTTTTCTGCAGCATGCTGACTTTAACTAGGGATAACACATTCTTTCTCTAATAAATGTAAGATGGGGCATATCATGTTTTATCACCTCAAAATGACAAGTATGTGAGGTTATGCATGTGTTGATTACTTTCCACTATTTAAACTAGGAACATTTAATTTCATTATGCTATGCACTTGAGAAACTCCGCTGGTACACTTTTGATTTAGGTTAAAAAAGAAAGTTTTCATTACCGTTATCCCCCTTCAGTCACAGAATGCTTCAAGTAGAATGTTCCGGATGTCTTAAACTTTAGTATCAACCACATGTAATTACATCCTTTCACCTGTACTATTCCTCTAAAAAATAAACGTTTTATGGTGATGCAGATAATTTTGTAGTCCTTCTAAAGACTTCTGAAACATTATAAGCTTGTAAATTTTTAAAGAGAAAGAGCCTAATTAGAAAACTTGTGCAGCTTGCAAGGGAGATGTAATATGTGCCTAATTTTGTTTCTATTTGTGTTCAAAGAAACAAAGAAAAATGTTCAACAAACAACACAATTTACTCTCCTATTGTATTTGCTTTTAAGCATGTATAGCTGAGCAATAACATCAGGCATTTTGCATTACATGTAACAATGTATTCTGAAAATTTTAATATAGATATTACATCTAAACAGATAGTTTTCAAATAGCATTAACAAGTACGAAATTACTTGAAAAACATTCCTTTTCCTTTGAATTCCTCAAAAACTTCATGGAGGAAGTTATTATCTACTTCTCTCCACAAAACCAACATGTTTCTTTCAGTAATACACAGGTAACAATGCAGAAATAACATTTCAATTTTCAATTTGCAAACAAGGTTTGGTATGCAATAACCATTATTTTGGATACTTGCTTTAGTATCTGCTTCAGTCTCCTTTTTCAGGTCGACTTTCCCCACTATCTCCTATAGATGCCACTTAACTTGACCTACCATATGCTACATGAGGAGCAGGGTGCACCCTATCCAGAGAAGGTGTATTCCTTCAGTCTTTTCTGCCAAAGTGCTCATGACCACAGGAATAAAAATCACTGCAACTCCTTGAGTAACTCTCCCGACTTCTGCCATATCTATCTCGAGTATTGTTATAATCATGATGGCTGCTTCCACCATAAGACATCCCAGGTCCTTGTGCAGGTGCTGCACCATGAGAGGTCCCAGCAGAGTTGATAAAATAATATGTTGGGCTACATTTAAACATTTTTACTGCTATCACTAAAGCATGAACTAATTAAAGTACTATTTGGAAATATCTGCTTTCCTCTGCCTTTGTTGACAGGATAATAATTAAGCCTGCAATAGTAGGTTTTATTTAAAATAAGTGTAAGAGTAGTATTTTGAAGCTTGACAAGTTTAATTCTAAGGTAAATGTTGAGTCACATTTTCTGAACATGAACTGAAGTTCTCACTTTCATATCATTCCCTATATTTTATACTGTTAAGAATACTCATTATTGAAGCATGTTATATTTGTTCTTTATAATTTTCCTTAGAATTTCATGTAAATAATGATCTGATCTATTAAATGTAATTCTATAATTTACAAATCCATCCTGGACCATTACCATATCTCTGAAATGCATCTCTGTAAGAACTTCCACTTGCACATTGAGAAAGATCTCTACCACAGGCCTCAGAGTAGCCACCATGATCACTAAATTGAAAAAAAAAATAAAAAAGGGTTCTTAATGGCAGAATGAACAATTTAAGAAATCAATTTAATAAATCCAGATAACATTATAGTACTTATATCCTCTAGAGGAATGTTCATCCTGACTAGAATGACCATAATCACAGTATGCATAGCCTCTAGGTGGTGGAGCATAATCCCTAGTTTCTCGGGAACTTGGATGATGTCTGTGTGCATAAGTTTAAGCAACACATTTTAAATTTTCAAATTCTAGTATCCAAAAATATATCTAAATAACAACTTAAACACAATTAAATTGCCAAACATCTAAATAGCTATTTCTCCAATAAAATAGGCAAATGCCCAGAAAGCACATGGAACAGATACTCATAATCAGTGATTCAGAAAATGCATTTCAAATCCACAATGAGATACCATACTTCACACACACACACACACACACACTGGAATGGCAATAAAAGCAGGAAATACCAAGTGTTTGAGGGGATGTAGATAAACTGGAACCCTGATACAATACTTGTTGGAATGGAAAATGATGCAACTTCTATGGAGAAATGTGGTGGTTCCTCAAGAAAACAAACATAATTATCATAGAACCAAGCAATTCCACTTATATACATACCCAGAATCGAATAAGTATACTCAAACAAATATTGGTGCATAGAAACACTGTGGTGGAAACAACCCAAATAAAATAATGGGTTAACAGTTTGTGGAAGGAGTGAAGTGCTGCAATGTAAATGAACCTTTGAAACATCATGCAAAGGGAAAAGAGACAGATGCAAAAAGTCATGTAGTGTTTGAGCCCATTAACGTTAAGTACCCACAACAGATAAATTCAGAGGTGGAACACTGACTGGTGTTTGCTAGCAGCTGAGGGAAGGGAGAAAATGGAAGGAACTGCTTAACTGGTAGTTGGAGTTTTAGCTTGGAATCATGAAAATGTTTTGGAACTCGATGGAGGTAGTTGTTGCATGACACAGAATGTATTAAACACCACTTAACTCTTTACCTTATAATATGTAATTTTGTTATGTGAATTTCATCACCACAACAAAAAAAATCAACTATTTTATTTCATTTTTCCTTTAACTCTCCTTAATTGCATAACCATCATCTCTTGGTGACATATGGTCATTTATCCAGGAAGAGATTGTCACTCTGCATGGAGGACCTCCATAATTCTCTCTTCCACATGATATGGGATATTTAACACTCATGTAATGGAACATTATGTAAAGAACACCAAATCTGAAACACTATTTTATCTTCTCTCAAACAACTTTTTAAAATTATTTCTTCTATGACTCCATTCTTTGTTTCCTAAATTACTAGCCAGTCATGACACTGTGAATATTTCTTATGGCTTTGGATAACCCCATGGCTCCCGCAAGGCCAGTTCTTCTAATGAAGCTGAAGGCTAACACTAATTCTCAGGTAAAGTTCATTTGTAATGTTAATAACAACTTAGTTATTATTTTCCTCTTCATATGAATGACTGATGACTGCTAATGACAGAGGGAAAACATGTAAAACCATCAAACTTTTCACTGATTTTAAAGTTTACATAAATTGTCCTTTCTCAGCTGAAGAAGGTAAATTTTCCCATGTTGTTAAATTCATCTCACACACACAAATACTGCTACCTTTGAATGACTACATGCTAAATTTTTACATAAAAGTTCTCCTTTATCTCTAAGTGGCTGGCTCTACCTTAAATGTTGACAAATTAAAATGTATTAGTGAAGATTTTCTAATGATGGCCAACATTTACTTTTATTTCAATAACCAGTAATGTTAAAGGGGTCATTACAACATTGTTGCTATTTCGAAAT
Source organism: Homo sapiens (assembly GCF_000001405.40). Lineage (NCBI taxonomy): Eukaryota > Metazoa > Chordata > Mammalia > Primates > Hominidae > Homo > Homo sapiens. The sequence continues at coordinate 21,433,327 of NC_000024.10, forward strand.
AGAGAAGGTTCTTCTTTAATATCCTCTTCACTAGCTATTCCTTAAATGTCAGCCTTTCACCTATGATATGTTCACTAGCGAATTTTCCAATGAAATATGTTGGCTTTTGTGTCCTGAAGTCAATAAATACCTAACTTCACTGACAGTCTACATAAGAAATGTAAAATTGAAAATGTCAGTTTTTAATTTCCTCCATATTAGGATGGAGGAATAAGTAAGAATTTTAATTTGTTCTGCTTAAACTTCTTTGCTAAGAATTTTATTTATTATCTTGCTTTCTTCTGTTTAGTCTGCAATCTTAAAATTATCCTTCTGAAAAATACTGCTTCTATTAAATCCTACTGCTCACCTCGTGTTGCTTAGTTCTAAGTACTCTCCTCAAATAATTTCAAATTTTACACTTAGGATCTTGTGTTAATGTTTAAACATCCCGGTACAATCTTAATTATTGATTTACATCCCCTTATATTTCACAACACTGTCCTTCTGTGATACTCACTTAAGAATATTGAACTCCTTCATGTCTACCTTTCAAGCCTTAAAATTATTTTTAAATTATATTTAAGCCCAGTGACTCCTTTTCTGCTAAATGCTCTTGTAGTTCTTTTGAATCTTCATATAAGTAGTAAGAATGCCTTGCAAATAAGCTTATTGAGGTCTCAGAAGCTGGATGGCCCAGGTCAGTGGCTGACACTGTGAGCCAGTGTAGAAGGCTGAGGCAGCTGGACTGCTCAAGCCCCAGGCTTTAATGTCAGTTTTGAAAATGTAGTGAGATCCCCTCTCCACAAAAAAATAGGAAAAAAATTTAGCTAGGTGTAGTGGTGCATGCCTGTAGTTGCAGCATCTCAGGAGGCTGAAACAGGATAATTGTTTGAGCCCAGGATTTTGAGGCTGTAGTAAGCCATCATCTCACCAAAGCACTCTGACCTGGTAAGAACAAGACTCCAACCCAACAAAGAAACTGAACAAGCAATTTTCAGATTGGAACACCAGGGGACCATTACCACGGGACCTAGGAAATGGAAGAATTCTTTAGATGAAGAAGCCTAGCATCTCTTAAAGAATACTGCTAGGAGCTTTTAGAAAAATAAAGGGGAATCCTCTAGCAACACAGGATTAAAAGAAACGTTGGCCTCACTCTAATCAATTCTTTGATCTGCAATGAGAAGCTAGAGTATTTCTTCACCATAAACCTGAAATGTACCTAGTGAGAGAGAAACTATACTCAAAGTGATCGATCACCAATTAAGCCAATGTGTATGTCACTTCTATTTTGTTTGATAAACTTAAAGTTAAGCATCCAGGTAAAATAGCTCATTTTTAGTCCTACAAAAACTATGGTCTTTCTATCAGGTAGCATTTACCTTGGCCTCCCATCCAACTATTGCTTCTTACCATAGCAGAAAGAGCAGATTTTTTCAGAGGAGGGACTCGACTTCTTGAAGAGGGACCTCTTTTAACTGGAATGGGTCCCCTAGAAGAACTCATGTTGAGATCAGGAGTGTATCCACCATCATCTGTATTTCAAACAAACTCTTTTTTTTCTTTTTCTTTTTTTTTGAGGTGGGGTCTTGCTCTTTCACCCAGGCTGGGGTGCAGTGGCACGATCTTGGCTCACTGCAAGCTCAGCCTCCCGGTTCACGCCATTCTCCTGCCTCTGCCTCCTGAGTGGCTGGGACTACAGGTGCCTGCCACCACACTCGGCTATTTTTGTGTGTGTGTGTGTTTTTAGTACAGACAGGGTTTCACTGTGTTAGCCAGGATGGTCTTGATCTCCTGACCTCGTGATCTGCCCGCCTCGGCCTCCCAAAGTGCTGGGATTACAGGCGTGAGCCACTGCGCCCGGCCTCAAACAAACTCCTTAGTTAACTAACATCACTGTTTCTTAAATGGCTAAGTTTTAGTTTTTTATAAAGATTTTCTACATATTATAATCTTACAAATTCACATTTGTCTAAACTAATAAAATTAACATTTTTATATGAAATTAGTACAACTCAAGCAATAAAACTCCATTTAGAAAATCTAGAAAGAAACTCAAGAATCATAATATTTTCTATGAGAGAGATGTGGGAAAAGTAGGGAGTGAACAGGGAGCAGATATTGATCAGTAAAATATCTAAGTATAATATACATAAAAATATTAAAAGAAAAATGATAAATGACTGTTTATATCATTCTGTTATGAGGAAAAATTTTCAAAGCATATCATAAAGATAAACTAAATTCTATTCAAAGAAACTCAAATATTTACAATATCAAAAAATGCCACTTCAGGAAAATACCTTACCTCTAAAATTTGTTAACAGAATATAGAATTCTTACAATTCCCTTATAAAACACTAATTTTCAGATTAGACTGTTAAATTTTAATAATCTTTAAGAATTGCATATTAAATAATATAAAAATATTTTTCATATATCTACAAAAAATATAGACATATGCCAATTGCCAGGTGGCATTACAGGTTAGAATACACACATTCTCTTACATGACAGAATATTATTGAACCTCACCCTCAAGATCAATGGAGACAAAATAATCATGAAGCTATGCATCTTAAAATGGAGCAAACACTGCAATTTCAGCTTCAAAAGAACATCTCCAATTAATTACACATCTGGTTATTAAAACCCAAAAATAAATGATAGATTTTTGAAGGTTGGTTAATAGACAATACAAGTTAACTGATATATTTATTTATTTATTTATTTGTTATTGAGATGGACTCTTGCCCTATTACCCCAGGCTACAGTGCAATCGTGTGATCTCACCTCACTGCAGCTTCCACCTCCCAGATTCCAGTGATTCTCCTGCCTCAGCCAAGTAGCTGGGATTACAGGTGCAAGCAACCATGCCAGGCTAATTTTTTATACCTTTAGGAGAGACAGGGTTTCGCCATGTTTGTGTGGAACTCCTGACCTTGTGGTCCCCCCATCCCATACTTCCCAAGTTCTGAGACGACAGGCATGAGCCATCTCACCCAGCCCATCCAATCATTTTGTTTTGTTTTGTTTTGTTTTCAAATATATGGTTAGTTTTTCTTTTTTACGTAAAAATCGACCCCTCATTTCTATGGTGTAAATCACTCATAAATATCATTTTCAGTGACTCATCCTTCAGCAAAGACAGATACATATATATCTGTGAAGCCGTGGTTATTAGACCTTTCCAGAGTCACTGACTGTTTTCAGAAATTAAAGTTCTACATTTCTTAAATTGAAAATGCTTTATGGCAGACCAATGTACAAACTCTCTATCAAAATTACAAAGCAATAGATTTGCATAGATGTTAGCACATGTATACACAAAAAAACAAATATTGCAAAATCAATCTTAAGTACTGAGTTACTTTTTTCCTGTTGGAAAATTTTAAATATTCCATCCTATTTTGATGTTACAACTGATAGGAAGTTCTGGGCCCCAAAGTTGAAAACTCTAAAGTATAATGAATATAAATGAGTTCTGCAGAAACTTGTTGAGTGCAGGCAATCAGCATTCATAAACTCAATTCAGTTTGAAATTTTTGTTATTTCAATGCAAAGTTATTACAATTTTAAAATGAATTTTAGATATTAGTTCAATCATTCTGATAATACACCTTTAGTACTTAGAAATAATTTTATCTGTAAGTTAATTTTCTGTTCATAAAGGAAATAGATAAAATTGAGAAAATTTGATATCATCAAACTTATTTTCTTTCAGTCCTGTGGTTCCATTTTTATATTTTAAAACATTACCGAAGTGTCCTTCATATGAGAGAAGCCACCCTCTTGTTCCTCCACTACTTCGTCTTCCAGATCTCAGACTTCCTGCAGGTGTCCTGTTTTTTGAAGAAGGTGGTGGTCTCCGCCTACCACAACTTTGAAAAGATGGTTTCCTGGCTTGTTCTAGTTTTATTGCTTTTCCATGCAAAGACTAAAAGTATTAAAGGTACTATCAATAACACTGGCACATTTAACCTAAGCACATTTTACAAACATTTTTTACATCAACTATAGTTCATAGTTAATTAGGTGATGCAAAGATGTTGGAAAAAGTGTTTTTGGAGTCACATGCCTTTAAAATGCTTTACTTGAGCAAAGACTAAACCCCTGGGGAAGTAATCTAGGCAGACATTTGGAGGAAGAGAATTCCAGGCAGACAAAATAACCATTGAAATAATTCGGAGACTAGAATTAAGCAAGTAGTCATACTCGCAACATATGGCAAGATGAACAAAGGAAAACACTTAAGTGAGATCAAAGACAAATCCTTTTGTTTATTCTGAGTATAATTCTGACTACTTGGAGAACAAACTCTAAGCTGCAAGTGAGTATCAGATTCAAGCAGAGAAACTAAACAAATGATGATGCTTCAACAAATGTAATGGCAGAGGAGGTGATACATGCAGTCGTTTCATGTGACTGTATAAGTTGTGCTTTGCGTAAAGTTACTTGGCTGAGGGCATAAGTAATATGCAAATAATGATGTTGAGTATGTAGGTGATTTTTTATTGTTTTGAACTTTCTTCTAAATTCCCTCTGGTATTTGATTTCACTTTTTTAACCAGTGTTACAATTATTTATACCTAAATGTTACATGGAACTCATGTAGTATGTACCATGTAAAATTTATTACTGTCAATCAAGTAATATGAAATTTACATGTGATAGAAATGTATAATTTATACTTTTAAGTTAATATCTTATAATTTAATATATAAACCATATAAGCTATATAACTAACTTATAAATGTAAGTATTCCTAAACATACATAATATATCTGTATATGTTATAACTAACATATATGTATTGCATATAGATGAAATGTATGCATTATATATTTTAATACAGATATACTATATGTCTATATGTATTTCCTTTTTTTATATACTTTAAGTTCAGGGGTACATGTGCAGATGTGCAGTTTTGTTACATAGGTATACACGTGCCATGGTGGTTTGCTGCGCCCATCAACCCATCATATACATTAGGTATTTCTCCTAATGCTATCCCTCCCCTAGCCCTCCAGCCCACTAAAGGCCCAGTGTGTGATGTTGCCTTTCCTGTGTCCATGTGTTCTCATTTTTCAACTCCAGCTTATAAGAGAGAACATGCAGTGTTTGGCTTTCTGTTCTTGTGTTAGTTTGCTGAGAATGATGCTTTCCAGCTTTACCCATGTCCCTGCAAAGGATATGAACTCATACTTTTTTATGGCTGCTTACTATTCCATGGTGTATATGTGCCACATTTTCTTTATCCACGCTATCATTGATGGACATTTGGGTTGGTTCCAAGTCTTTGCTATTGTGAACAATGCCTCAGTAAACATAAGTGTGAATGTGTCTTTATAGTAGAATGATTGACAATCCTTTGGATATACAACCCATAATGGGACTGCTGGGTCAAATGGTATTTCTAGTTTTAGATCCTTGAGGAATAACCTGTCTGTACTCCACAATGGTCGAACTAATTTACACTCCCATCAACAGTGTAAAAGCATTTTTTTTCTCCACATCCTCTCCAGCATGTGTTGTTTCCTGACTTTTTAATGATCACCATTCTAACTGGCCTGAGATGGTATCTCATTGTGGTTTTGATTTGCATTTCTCTAATGACCATTGATGATGAACTTTTTTTCATATTTTTGTCAGCTGCATAAATGTCTTCTTTTGAGAAGTGTCTGTTCATACCCTTCACCCACTTTATGATGGGTTGGGTTTTTTTATTGTAAATTTGCTTAAGTTCTTTGTAGATTGTGGATATTGGTGCTTTGTCAGATGGATAGAGTGCAAAAATTTTCTCCTATTCTGTAGGTTGCCTATTCACTCTAATGATAATTTCCTTTGCTGTCAGAAGCTCTTTAGTTTACTTAGATTCCATTTGTCAATTTTGCTTTTGTTGCCATTGCTTTTGGTGCTTTAGACATGAGGTGTTTTCTCATGCCTATGTCCTAAATGGTATTGCCTAGGTTTATCTTCTAGGCCTTTTTTGGTTTTAGGTCTTACATTTAAGTCTTTAATCCATCTTGAGCTTATTTTTGTATAAGGTGTAAGGAAAGGGTGTAGTTTCAGTTTTGTGTATATGGCTAGCCAGTTTTCCCAACAACATTTATTAAACAGGGAATCCTTTGCCCATTGCTTGTTTTTGTCAGGTTTGTCAAGGATCATATGGTTGTACCAGTGTGGTGTTACTTCTGAGGCTTCTGTTCTGTTTCACTGGTCTATATCTCTGTTTTGATACCAGTACCATGCTATTTTGGTTACTGTAGCCTTGTATTATAATTTGAATTCAGGTAGCTTGATGCCTCCAGCATTGTTCTTTTTGCTCAGGATTGTCTTGGCTATGCGGGCTCTTTTTGGCTCCATATGAAGTTTAAAATAGTTTTTAACAATTCTGTGAAGAAATTCAATGGTAGCTTGATGGGAATAGCATTGAATCTATAAATTACTTTGGGCAGTATGGCCATTTTCATGATATTGATTCTTCCTATAATGAGCATGAAATGTTTTTCCATTTATTTGTGTCCTCTCTTATTTCCTTGAGCAGTGGTTTGTAGTTCTCCTTGAAGAGGTCCTTCACATCTCTTGTAAGTTGTATCCCTAGGTATTTTATTCTCCTTGTAGCAACTGTGTGAATTCACACATGATTTGACTCTCAGTCTGCTGTTGATGTATAGGAATGCTTGTGATTTTTGCACATTGATTTTGTATCTTGAGACTTTGCTGAAGTTGCTTATCAGCTTAAGGAAATTTTTGAGCTCAGACAGTGGGGTTTTCTAAATATACAATCTTGTAGTCTGCAAAAACAGACTACAAGACTTCCTCTTTTCCTATTTGAATACCCTTTATTTCTTTGTCTTTCCTAATTGCCCTGGTCAGAACTTCCAATACTGTGGTGAATAGGAGGGGTGAGAGAGGGGGCATTTTTGTCTTCTGCAGGTTTTCAAAGGGAAAGCTTCCAGGTTCTGCCATTCAGTATGATATTGGCTGTGGGTCTGTCATAAGTAGCTTTTATTATTTTGAAATATGTTCCATCAATACATAGTTTATTAAGAGTTTTTACCATGAAGGGGTGTTGAATTTTGTGGAAGGGCTTTTCTGGATATATTGAGATAATCATGTGGTTTTTTCATTGGTTCTGTTTATGTGATGGATTATGTTTATTGATTTGCTTATGTTGAATCAGCCTGCATCCCAGGTATGAACCCAACTTGATCATGGTGAATACACTTTTTGATGTGCTGCTGGATTCTATTAGCCTTTATTTCATTGAGGATTTTTGCATCAATATTCATCAGGGAAATTGGCCTGAAATTTTCTTTTTTTGCTGTTTCTCTGCCAGATTTGGTTATCAGAATGATGCTAGCCTCATAAAAGGAGTTACGGAGGATTTCCTCTTTTTCTATAGTTTGGCATGTTTTCAGAATGAATGGTATCAGTTCCTCTTTGTACCTCTGGTAGAATTCATCTGTGAATCTGTCTAATCCTGGACTTTTTTTTCTTTTTCATTGGTAGGCTATTAATTACTGCCTCAATTTCAGAACTTGTTATTGGTCTATTCAGGGATATGACTTCTTCCTGGTTTAGACTTGGGAGAGTGTGTGCATCCAGGAATTTATCCATTTCATCTAGATTTTCTAGTTTCTTTGCATAGAGGTATTTATAGTATTCTCTGATGGTAAATTGCATTTCTGTGGAATCAGTGGTGATCTCCCCTTTATCACTTTTTATTGTGTCTTTTTGATTCTTCTGATTCTTCTCTCTTTTCTTGTTTATTAGTCTGGCTAGTGGTGTATGTATTTGTTGATCTTTTCAAAAAACCAGCTCCTGGATTCATTGATGTTTTGAAGGGTTTTTCATGTCTCTATCTCCTTCAGTTCTGCTCTGATCTTAGTTATTTCTTGTCTTCTGCTAGCTTTTTAATTCGTTTGCTCTTGTTTGTGTTCTCTTGTTCTTTTAATTTTGATGTTAGTGTGCTGATTTTAGTTATCTCCTACTTTCTGTTGTGGACATTAAGTGCTGTAAATTTTCCTTGAAACACTGCTTTAAATGTTTCCCAGAGAGTCTGGTAACTTGTCTTTTTTCACATTGGTTTCAAAGAACATATTTATTTCTGCCTTCACTTCATTATTTACCCAGTAGTCATTCAGGAGCAAGTTGTTCAGTTTCCATGTAATTGTGCAGTTTTGAGTGAGTTTTTAAATATTGAGTTCTAATTTGATTGCACTGTGGCCTGAGAAACTGTTTTTTTTTTAATGATTTCTATTCTTTTGCATTTGCTGAGGAGTGTTTTACTTCAAATTATGCAGTCAATTTTAGAATAAGTGCTTTTCCTCTGAGGGTAATTGCGGCTATAGGGAGAACAAAATGTTAGCTACAAGTGGGCATCAGAATCAAGCAGAGAGGCCAAACAAATGATGATGGCTTCAACAAACATAATGGCAGAGGAGGTGATACAAACACTCATTTCATATGACTGTATAAATTGTGCTTTGCCTAAAATTACATGACAAAGAACGTAAGTAATATTCAGATAATCATGTTGCGTATGTAGGTGATTTTTTATTGTTTAGAACTTTCCTCTAATTTGCTTCTGGTATTTTATTTTACTCTTTTAAACATAGTTAGAATTATTTGTGCCTAAGTGTTATGTGGAACTCTTGAAGTATGTACCATGTAATATTTAATACTGTCCATCAAGTAATATGAAATTTACATGTAATAGAAAAGTATAATTTACACTTATAATTTAATATATGTATAAACCATATAAGCTATATAACTAATTTATAAATATAAGTATCCCTAAACATATACAATATATGTGTCTGTGTATTTTATAATTAACATATATGTATTGCATATATATGTAATTTATACATTATATATTTTAATACATGTATACTATACGTCTATATGTATTTCTAATATATATGGTTATCTTTGTTTCCACCCATTCAGGTACAGCAAGATAGTCCTGTTCTTTCCCTCTTTGGCCGTCACTGGGAACGGGTAGGCCTGGTCAGTGATACCTCAGAAGCCTGTTATGACCCTGTTCTTGTCATCAGGACAGGTTATACATATCTTGGATTAGATGGCCTATCAAGACATCCCAGAAACCACTGGGTCGTATTTGTTCCCTACCCTGCAATTTTCCTCCTGGAGTAGAAAATAGTCCACAAAACACACTTAGCTGTAACATAAGCTCTGACACTTTGGTCTTCCATGGATTCTCAGTACAAACATGGAGAAGATTAAGCACTTCCCCAGTGAACAGAAAGCACTGGCATACTTATTCAATGTTTTTGGTTCAAATAATAGAGACTTTTTTCATGCCAAAAGACTATTACACTTTCAAAGTGGTCACCTCTCCTCAGCTAGCAAATTCCCAAAGGTATGATCCTGGATTTCTCCTGTTGCCAAACCATGGGATCATCCTGATACAGCTGAATGCTGGAGTACCCCAGAAACTGACACTTCTCAATATTTCTTTTTTTCTGGACCCCAGAACTCCCAAACAGCTATTATACCTATACCCTGGAATCTTCCTCAGAAAAAGACAACAAATTATAAATATCAAGCTGTGACTGATTCAGCAAGATCCTGGATTAATACATTAGCTAGTAAAATTAGGCTTCATACTCTACCATTAGTTAATATTGGTGGATCCTGGTTTCTCTTTTCAAGGGGCCTAGGTGGATCTCAAGTTCCTTCTGAGATTGATACTGGTCAGTCTCAAGTTCAATCTGTTAATGTTCTGTCTCATGGACAAATTGTAGCTAGACCTTGGCTAGAAATTACTCCTGAAGTTGAAACTTGGAAACAATTTGTGTCTTATAAAACAGGAACAGATTCAATCCAGTGAAGAGAGTATTAGACACCAAACATATCATGTAGCTCATAGAGTTAACCCTGGTGCTAAACCATCAACTTACAACTAGATTCCACCAGTACTTTTCATAGTTAATAAAATTGAACTATGGGCTCATTCATCCCTCAGTGAAGATGGATTTCCGTATCCTACAGTAACCCATATTTTTGAACCATGGTGTCAGCTACTCTTGAATGTATTTGGATCCCAAGAAACTATAGAAAAGACAGATGGATACTGGACTCTTGTGGAACCTAAGTCAACTTGGTTCTGGATTTCTTCTACACTGCATACTCCATATTCACGTGCTAAGTCAAAAGGTGATACTATTAGGTCTTGGATCCAAAATAAAACCAGTATGATCAGGCCCTCAAATCAAACGGATAGATTTAGTACCTTGAATAAACATTAGGCTATTATACTCAAACCCCTGATGCAGACATGCATCCTATTATGAACATAATTGAGCCCTTACTTCACTCTAAAGTTGACATGATCAGACCCTGGAGTCAGCCTGAAACAGCCATAGTCCAAATGTGGACCTAGGCAGAAACTCAGTCAGGAAGACTCTTGACTTGCCTGAAAGCTGGTACAATTAATCCATGGTTACAAACTGAAATTGAAAGAATGAGACCCTGGATTCAGCGTAAATTTAAAATATTGAGACCCAGAACCCAGACTGAAGAATGGAAACAAGAACATTGGGCCCAACCAGAAACAGATCCAGTTAGGTACTGGGCCCAAACTGGAATGGAAACAGTGGTACCTGGGCCCCAACCTGAAGGTGATAAAAGCAGACCCTAGAATCACACTGAAGCTGATATCAAACTTTTGTTTCAGTCTCAAGCAGAGACAGTCACACAGTGGAGAGAACCAGCAACTCTGACAGATCATCATTAGATACAGTCTGAAACTGCAATAGTGAGGTTTTGGAACCGATCTGTGACTGATAAGTTAAGAGACTGGATACATCATGAGATTATGCATTTAGACTCTGGGGTGAGGTTGAAAGTGATAAAGTTAGATCCTGGACCAAAGTTGAAGATGACACTTTGAGACACTCGATTCAGAAAGACATTGGTGTAATCAATTCCTGGGTACAAAATGAAGCTACTATATTAACACCATGCATTCAGGGAAAGTCTTGAGAATTAAATCCCTGACATAATCTGAAACTTCCACAGTGCCACTGTGGACCCAGACTGAAACTCCAACAGTAAACTCTTGGACAGATATGTTATCAGATACAGTCACAGTATGGACAAAGGCTGAATTTCAAGGATTAACATCCACCCATCTATTGAGGGAAACTGATCCAATCATACTGTGGACTATTACCAAATCTCCAGCAGTGAATCTCTGGACACATTCTGTATGTGATGAAGCCAAATTTTGGAACCAAGAAGAATTTCCAGCCTTATTGCCTTTGACAGAGCCTATAGCTAAGACAGTCCCACAATGGATCCAGGATAGATTTCCAGCAATGAACCCCTGGGCAAAAACTATGGCTGAAACTGTCATACCATTGACCCTTGATGAAATGACACCAGTAAGTCCTTGGACAAAATTACAGCCTGAATATCTAGAAGGAAATACTTGGCTCCCATCTGAATTTAATCCAGTCTCATGGTGGACCATGGCTTATCTGCCAGCAGTAAAAAACTGGATACGTTTTGATACTGAAACAATAATGTTGTGAAACCAGGTTGAATTTCCAGCAATACATTCCTGGAAACAGTTGGAAACTGATATAATCACACTAGGGACCCAAGCTGAATCACTAGTGATGAATTCATGGATACACTCTCCTATATCTGATATGGTCACAATGTGTATCCAGGCTGAATCATTATTATTACATCCTTGGACACAGTCTGAAACTGATATACTCACAACATGGATTCTGGCTGAAACTCTAGGAGTAATTCCCTGGGAACAGGATATATTCCAACCATGGACCCACGCTGAACACCCACCAGTATCTTGGACTCAATCATTGATTCCGGGTAAAACACCAGCAATGAATCCCTGGAGAGATGTCACAGCTGATATGGTCCTACCATGGAATCAGGCTGAATTTATAGTAGGAAATGCCTGGACACAGTCTGAAACTTATACAGTCACACAGGGGATCCTGAATGGTCCTCCAGCACGATATTCTTGGACACAACAAATAGCTGATGTAGACAAGCTGTGGACCAAGCCTGAATTTCCCACAATAAATCCCTGGACAAAGTCTGTAGGTGATACTACTATACAATAGTATAGTAGTGATAGTACTATACAATAGATTCAGGATGAGTCTCCAGCAATAAAACCATAGACACAGTATGTGTCTTATACAATCAAACCATGGGCCCCAGATGAATCTTCAGCAGTAAATCTCTGTACACTCCCTGAATCTGATAGCATTATCCTGTGGACACAAGCTGAGTCTCCAATGGTAAATCTGTGCACAGAGGCTGCAACTTCCAAAGTCACACCATGGGCCCGGGCTGTATCTCCAGCAGTAATTCCATGGACACAGCCTATACCTTCCATAATTGTACCTTGGACCCAGGTTGAATGTCCATCAGTAAATACCTGGACAATGTCCATAGCCAATACCATCACACTATGGAACCGGGCTGAATTAATAGCGGGATATCCATGGATACTGCCACGGGCTGCTACTATCACACTATGCACAGTCTGAATCTGCAGTAGGAAATCTTTGGACACAGCCTGTATATGACACAGACACTCCATGGCGTAAGGCTGAATCTTCAGCAGTAGTTTACTGGACAGAATCTGTAGCTGATACACACACACCATGAACTCAGTTTGAAGTAAAGTTTACAGTTTTTAACAGTAAAGCCTTGGATCCAATCTGTATCTGATACACTCATACCCTGGACCCAGGCTGAGTCTTCAGCAGAAAAGCATTTGACACAGGCAATAGCTTATACAATCAAACGATGGAACTAAGTCAAATCACCTGCCATAAATCTCTGGAAACAATATGAAACCAATATGTTCACGTGGTGGACTGAGGCTGAATCTCCAAAAGTTTTGAGGAAACCAGCCCCACACTGCCTGGCAGGTACCCCGAATCCAGTGGAGACAAAGGAATTAGTACAACGGAGACAAAGGAATTAGAAAGAGACAGAATAAGAGTTTAAAAGGTGGGTTCAGGGGACCAGAGCATCGGACACTTGCAAATGGCGTGGAGCTCTCGGCCTCCACCTAATTTATTAGTTTACAAGCTCTTTGTTCTTAGGGCAGATGGGAGGGGGAGGAAGGGAATGAGGAAAAGGTTTAATCCGTGAAGGAGAACTTGTGAGTCATTCAATAAAATGTATAGCAGTGGCAGTTTCTGTGAATTTCCTTGAGCAAAGGCATGTGTCTAAACGACTAAAGATCTTTAACTTATTGAGACTGAAATGGGTGGGAGTGGATTTCAGGAGAAGCCAAGATGTTTGATTATACTCCACTTCTTCAAGGGAGTGTTATTTCCCGGAGCAACCTGTGGCATTCTTCTGAGCTCTTATGCTCTTAGGGCATAAAGACATGAAGGCAATAACGAGACTTTTCTCCTTAGAGGCTGCCCACGTCTCCCCATGGGTGTCTTACACAGGAGAGACCAACTTATCTGGCATTCCAGAAACTCTCTTTCTCATGGGTCTTCCTTTTTTGTCTCTATTTTTTTTTTATTAGAACTGCCATTGCTATCATTCATGCTCTCTGGCTTCTCTCCCTAGGTACCCTCTGCATCTATAGACTAAAAACAAACAGCATAAACAGACACAAACCAAAATAAAATTTGCAATTGTTCATCTACCTATGGTGTTCATCCACTTTAAAGGATTACTCTTAGAAAGGCCATCAGTAGCTCCAGCAAGAATATCAGCTCCAGACAACAGGCTTAGGTGAGCCTGAGGTGTCTCGAAAAGTTGTTTTTTTCAGTTTAGCAATATCTAGTGTTAAAATGTCTTCTTTTCCTGGTAGGTTATGTCTAATCATCTCCTAATGGTGTTCAGTGGCATTATAAGAGCTAGGAGTAATATGAAGATCAGAAATATTCCAATCACATTGCATTTGAATTCTATGCTCCATAGAATCCGATCTCCCATCCAAACTACTGTTTGATGGAGATCATTAATTTGATTTGCGAATTTTTTTTTTTTTTGAGACGGAGTTTCGCTCTGTCGCCCAGGCTGGAGTGCAGTGGTGCGATCTCGACTCACTGCAAGCTCCGCCTCCCGGGTTCACGCCATTCTCCTGCCTCAGCCTCCCGTGTAGCTGGGACTACAGGCGCGCGCCACCATGCCCGGCTAATTTTTTGTATTTTTTTTTGTAGTGGAGACGGGGTTTCACCGTGTTAGCCAGGATGCTCTCGATCTCCTGACCTCGTGATCCGCCCGTCTCGGCCTCCCAAAGTGCTGGGATTACAGGCGTGAGCCACCGCGCCCGGCCTGATTTGCCAATTTTTGATCTATTTGGCTTTGGGAATGCCAAAGCTTAGAATAATTTTTCTGCCAACTATCCACAAAGCCCACAGTTTGAATAGAAGAGTGCAAAGCAACACCAGCAGCAGCAGCAGTAGCTGTGACAGATATAAGGCCCATGATCACAGCTATTAAAGTAAATATGAATCTCTTTGATCTATTAAGTATTCTGTTTAGCACTTCAATGATACTATGTATGGAGGGAGAGGCCTCCGAAGGTCTATTGAGGGAAACAGGTATCCAAACTCCTTCTCAAGACTTAACCAGTAAAATGCTATTATCTTTATTAAAGGTAGAATTAATGCAGGTAAAAAGATGACAGTTGAGGCATGATATGGTTTGAGAGTCAGGTAGGATATTAATTTTTCCCACTGCCAACATAAAAGGAGGTTTAACACAACGCTGCAAAGGGACTGTCTAGTTAGAGGTCATGGCTACAACAAATCTAAGTTTTTTACTATGGTTCTCTGTTTTATATTCTCCTTTCCAAATCTGAATTGGGATTTGAGCCATCATTAATTTCCACAATTCTGGATGCTCTGGACTTATAATTGGATCAATCATTTTTGGGCTTGGAGGAGCCATACCATTCTCCTCCCACTTAATAGTGTAATTTGTTTCAATTCTTCCGTATAATTTTGGTGCATTATCTGGGTAGTCATTTGCAAAAGGAGTCTCTCTACAATCTTCATGCTGTCCAGTACAATTTACTGCAAAGTGTCCCACAGGGGCCCAATCAATGATGATTCCATAGGAATTATTTTTCAGTACAGCACTGCTATTTGCAATACAAGCTTCCCAGGTTAGAACCTCTAGTTTTCAGACTATTGAGTGGCCTGCCTACCCAGGGCAGGACTTCTTATTAGGTTTAAATTTATTAATCTGGTGATGTGTCATAACATAGCCATGCTCAAGGTATTTAATAGGGTCCAAACATTGAAATGTCCTTCCACTAAATACATGAATAGAGGCTTTTGATGAATTATGTGCAGGAACATAAACCATCCAGCTTCGTTTATCAGAATTTAAATATCCTGCTGCCAGCCCCAGACAGATGAGAGTAAAGCAATAACCAATGGAAACATTCACTAACATTCCTTCCTCTTCTGGATGAGTAGGACCTTGGTTATCTGCTGGTCCAGGCATCCAGACAGTATCATTAACATAAACCTCCACTGGGTCAACTAACCATGTTAACAGGCCTAATCAGTGGTGAGAGTGGAATGTAGGCCCAATAAGTGTAATTTTGATCTGCCCCTTTGTGGGGAGACTCACCACCAAGGAGATTACCACCATCATAGCTAACATTAGATTACTGGTGGTCAGCGGCTTGTTCTGAGACCTCAGGTTCTCTTCTGCAATGTGAGCTAGTCTCTTAATCTGCCCCCAGGTTGGTGGAGTTGACTTGGCTAGTTTCACTTGTTTCCATGTGCCCAACAGAGATGTTCATCTGAGCCATCTGATCAACTGTGGGTGCAGGAACGTTCCAAGGTCTTTTTCTCTTCCTTGGACTCTGGCTCATGGCACAGCTTAAGATGTCTTGTGGGTACCCAGACAGGAAGCTGATTCTCTTCTGGTGAGATACAAGCAAATCCTCGACCCTAACAAGACCCACTGGGGCCTTTTGTTTAGGCCAGTTTTTTGGCTGTTGATAAAGGGCTATCATCGACACATCTGCTCCTGTGTTGACCAGTCCCTCAAATTATTTTCCTTGAATAAACCATAAAAATAACTCTATTGTCAGACACTCGATTTACCCAATAGACAGCCTTGCTTGCTGAATTTGTGCTTCCAAATCCTCCTGTTCTTTTTTCTGAGATTTCTCCTAACTTAACATATGGTAAAAGTAACAGTTGAGGTATTCTGTCACCTGGATTAGCACTGCAGGGAACAGTGGAGGAGAAAACAATTTGAATTTCTCCCTGGCAATCAGTCTGCTACTCCAGTATGTACTTGAATTCCCTTTATGTTTAAGGTGGATCTTCCCAGTATAAGTCCCACTGTGCCATTTGGCAATGGGCTGTAAACTCCCATTGGGACCTTCCTAGGAGGCTCCCCAGGAAGGAGGGATACAGGTTCAGTACAGAATAAAACTACTGCCCCGCTTCTAGCTGTGGAGGGAGATAATTGCTGTACATTTGTACAGGGATAGACTGGGCCGGGAAGACTCCATTTGGAGTCGGGGACATCCCATCCTGAATTGGAAATGCCCCATTTTGAATCGGGGCCAGGGGCTGGCCCCTCTCTCCATTTCCCAGCAAGGGCTGTCTGCTGTTATCAAACTTTGAAAGACATTGATTAGCTCAGTGTTTACTTTTTTACATATGGGACAGATTCCTGGTACCCTGCTTTTTCCTCCTGAGTTTTGCCTTTTTTGGCTCTTTGTACATTCTCTTTTTGTATGTCCTGTCTGCCCACAATTATAGCAAGATCCAGGCAACACTCGTGTGCTTTTTGTTACCTTTAGTTCATCCACTGCCAGAGCTAGGAGGCTGGCCTTATGTAAGTGCCCCACAATGCCATGGTAGGCTTTAATGTATTCGCTTAAAGATTTTTCCTCATTTAGATCTGCCTTTCCCTTAATAGGTCTAATTGCTGCCTGACATTCTGTATTAGCATTTTCATAAGCAAGCAGCTGAATGATCCCTTTCCTGGCATGAGAATCCTAAATACCCTTTTGAGACATGTCTTGCAAATGGGCAATAAAATCTGGATAAGTCTCCCTTGGACCCTGTTAAACTGAGTTAAAAGAAGGATAAGTAGTACCAGGGTTGTGAATTTTTTCCCAGACTCAGGCACATCGTTCTGAGCTGATAAGCAGCCTCATCACCCATTACTATCTGTTGATTTAGAGTACCCCATGCCTGTCCGATTCCAAGCAATTGGTCAGATGTGATATTAACAGAGGTTGGGTTTGAGCATTTCTGCATGCCTGATTTGTTGCTTAATCTGTCCACCAGGTTTTAAATTGGAGAAATTCAGAGGGGGACAGGGTGGATCAGGCTAATGACTCCCAATCTATAGGTATTAAACGCCAGTTATAAGCCACAGATTGTAACAAGGAATGAATATAAGGATAATTTGGCCCATATTGTCCAATTGCTTGCTTTAAAGACTTTTAATATTTTAAAAGGAAATGGCTCCCAGCATGCTTGAGCATGTTCTCTGGGCTCCTCAGCTGGAGAAATAATTACCAGAAACTGCCAAGCACCCGAATTCCCCATTTCTTGTGCCTGGTGAATGGATGTCTGGATTGTCCCTGCGCCATAATTTGTATTCGGACTAGCTTGCAGTATTCCTCCGCCATAATTAACAGGCAGATAAGCCTGGATCATTCCCCCCCCTTACTTGGCTGTTGGGCAAGCCTGAAGCTTCCCATTGCCACAGTTAGTGGAAGGGAGTGCAATAATGGGAGCTGCAAGCCGCGTCGCAGACTCCTGTTCCAAAAATACCTAAGACTAAAGTTGGAGTGGCCATTCCGGACCTTCCCCTAAAGGCGCAGTAGGTAGCACTGTTTCTTTCATAAGTTTTTGGAGGTTAGGATATATAACTTCCCATTTCTCCCCCTTTTTAAAACTAGACTGTGACAGTTCACTTTGCTGATTAGCAGACTCCTGATTATTAAACTTTTCTATGTCATCCTGAAACTTCTCCTCCTCCTCCTCAGTGTGGAAAGGCTGCAGTGCTGTTTAAATTGCCGACCACACAGACCAAGTGGAGAAGGGCCCTCTTGTTGTGATTGTTTTAAGTCTGATCCTACCTTGTCCCAATCTTTTAAATCCATGTTTCCATATTCCAGGAACCAAGAAGAATACTTTTCTACGAGATGGAACAAAGATGTAAGATTTTGGGTATTCACAATTACCCCTCCGTGGCACAATAACTGCTGCACCAGGCTTAATTAACAAACTTACTCTCAGCCAGTCTCATATTTTCCCTAGGTTACCCTGGAATTCTCCGAGCGCCCTACTTACCTGTAGAGCTTGAAGTGAAAACATATTCAGGTGTCCTTTGTCAGTCGTCCTCCACTTTGCACGCTCTGGCGTTCCTTCACTGGATTATTTGTAGAGATTATGGGGAGCCCCGCGTTGGCCACCAGATGTTGGGGAAACCAGCCCCACACCAGCTGGCGGTTACCTCGAATCCGGCAGGTACCCCGAGTCCGGCGGAGATAAAGAATTAGAAAGAGACAGAATAACAGTTTAAAAGGCTAGTCCAAGGGACCAGAGTGTCAGACTCTTACTCATAGCCTGGAGCTCTCAGCCCCCACCCAATTTATTGGTTTACAAGCTCTTTGTTCTTAGGGCAGGCGGGAGGGGGAAGAAGGGATGAGGAAAAGGATTAATCAGCGAAGGAGAACTCGTGAGTCGTTCAATAAGATGTATAGCAGTGGCAGTATCTGAATTTCCCTAGCAAAAGCGTGGGTCTAAACTGCTTAAGACCTTCAATTCATCGGGACTAAAATGGGTAGGAGCAGGTTTCAGGAGAAGCCAAGATGTTTGATTTTACTCCACTGCTTCAAGGGAGTGTTATTTCCCCAAGCAAGGTGTGGCATGCCACTGAGCTCTTATGCTCTTGGGGCATAAAGACATGAAGGCAGTAAGGACACTTTTCTCCTCAGATGCCACATATGGCTCCCCATGGGTGTCTCACACAGGGGAGACCAATTCATCTGGCATTCCTGAAACTCTCTTTCCCACAAAAAGTAAATGATTGGACACAGCCCATACCAGCTACAGTTATACCACCAAACCAAGCTGAATCTGTAGGAGTAAATCCCTCCACAAATCTTGAAACAGAAATTGTCATACTGTGGACCCAGGCCCATTCTAAAATCAACAATCCCTGCACATACACTCTATTTGATAGAGTGACACCATTGGCTAAGAATGTTTGTGTAGCAGTAAAACAATAGAGATAGTTTAAAACTAAAATAGTCACATCATAGACCCAGGATCTGTTGCCAGGAATAAATCCATTAACAGTGGCTGAAACTGGTATAGTCACACTGCAGTACATGGCTGTATCTCTAGTAATGATTCCCAGGAGAGAGGCTTTATCTGATACAGTCATAATATGGACACAGACAAAACCTCCAGCAATCACTTTCTGGTTACAATCTCTACCTGATGCAGGCAAACTACAGACCCAAATGAAATATCCATCAGTAAACACTTGGAACGAGGCTGAATTTCAAGCTGTAAATTCCATGATGGAGTCTAAGTCTCCAGTTGTAAATATCTGGACAGATCCTGAATCTCCAGCCCCAAGTCCTCTGCTATAGGTCGAGACTGATATAGTCATACCATGGACCCAGACTCAATCTTTAGCAGTAAATGCTTGGTCAAAGCCTGTTGCTGATACACTCATACTGTATACAGCCTGCAACTCTATCATTAATCTTCTTTTCACAAAGTTTACATGGTACACTGAAAGCTTGTACTGAAACCAAATGTCTATCATTAAATACCTGGACAGAGGCTATAGCTTCCACAGATATACCCTGGACCCAGGCTGAATTTCCAGCAATAAATCCCTGGACAGAGCCTGTTTTTCATACAGCTACAATTTGGGCACAGGCTGTATCTGCAACAGTAAAGGCCTGGGCACAGCCTTCATCTAATACAACCAGATTATGGTCCCAATCTGAATCTGCAGCATTAATTGCATGGATACTGCCTGTATCTGACACATACATAGGATTGATCCAATTTGAATCTTCAGCAGTAAATCCCTGTATATTGCCTATATCTAATACATTATTATTGTGGACCCAGCCTGTATCTCTAGCAGTCAATTCGTGGATAGAGGCAATAGTTTCCATAGTCACACCATGGACCAAACCTTTTTTTCTAGCAACAAATCCCTGGACACATCCTGTATCTGATATAGTTGCACTTTGGACCCAGGCTGAATCTTCTGCAGTCATTACCTCCACACAGCCAGTTTCTGACAAAATTATACTGTGGCTGCAGGCCCAGTCTCCAGTAGGAATTATCTGGACACAGACTGTATCTGATATACTTATATTATGGAACTACGAGGAATATTCAGCAGAAAACCCAGAGGCATGGGCTGTAGTTTCCACAGTGTTACCATGGACCTAGCATATCCCTACAGCAGGAAAAACCTGGAAACTACCTGTGTCTGAATCAATCACTCCGTGATCCCAGTCTGAGTCTCCAGTAGTAAACACAACCTTTGATCCAAGATAAAAATCAAGAGTCTATTTTATGGACACATCATGAAATTGAATGTATCAGTGAATGGACTTTGCCTGAATTTGGAACACTTATATCCTGGATAGTGCCTGGGCCTCCAGCAGCAAAACCATGGTCCCAACCTGAAGCTCTAGTTATAGAACTTTGTTTAAAACTGGAACAGAAAAAAATAAAACCTTAGGTTCACCAGAATTTCAAACACTGAGCACATTTACTCCCTTTGGACCTGGTAAAATAGAATCCTGGGCCAAACAGAGAACTACAACTTTAATAACATGGATCCAATCCAAAAGGAATGCCTTCTTCCCATATACACAATCTGAAGTAGGTACAATGAGATCCAAAACAATTTCTGAAGCTGTTACAGTAAAATATGGATCCAGACTGAAGCAGGCACAATCCACCCTTGGACTCAAGCTAGAACTAATACAATCAGACCTTTGACTCATGCTGAATTTCAAGCAGTCAGACTCTGGACCCTGTCCTTGTCTGATACGCTACTGTATCAGACTGAAATACAGGCAGCAAAATGCTTGACCATGCCTGATATTAATATTCTGAGTGCTTGGCTTCAGACCCAAAATTATGTAAGAAGAAATGGTACTCAACCTTACTCTCAAACAGTTACTTACCTGGATGCAGCCATAATCCACCCATGGAACCAATCTGAAAAGAATGCAGTCAGACCCTGGACCCCAGTCTGAAGGTGATGTTATCCAACCTTGGATCTATGCTGAAACCAATACTGTCAGACACTGGACCCATTCTGAAACTGATAAAATAAAACAATGGACTGAGCCTGAATCTCAAGCAAGTAGGACCTGGCCTGAGGCAGGTATGTTGATATGTTTGTCCCCAAAACGATGCAGTTTGACCCTGGACCCAACTTGAATCTCAAGCTTCACACTCCTGGACCCAGAATCAAATTAGCATAAATTACTCTTGGATTTAGCATGTACCTGCTACAATCAGACCATGGACTTACTCTGGAATTCATCCCTGGACCCACCATGAAACCAATAGAGTGATAAGATACTGGTTCCAGACTCAAATAAATTCAACGAGATACTGGAACCAACCTGAAACTGAAGTATTCCAAATTTGGACTGTAAGCCAAGGAATAAAACCCTGTAACATGACTGAAATTGATACAGTCACATCTTGCTTACAGCCTCAATGTGATACAGTTAAATCCTGAATTCATCCTGAAAGTCAGCCACTTTCTCCCTGGCCCCAGACTGAAGTTGGTATATTCTGTCCCTGGACTCAGCAAAGAGCTGCTACATATCAAACATGGACCCACCCTGAAACCTAAGCAGTGAGACCCTGGAACAAGCAGGAAACTGATATAATCAGATCTTTGTTTTACATTCAGGTGCATAAAGGCAGCTCTTGGCTTATTCAAAATCTCAAATACTCAGTTCTTCGATCCAGCCTGACATTGATATAATTCACAATTTTATTCAGTCTGAAACTTTGGTTCTAAGATTCTGGCCCAAGGTTCTACCTGCAGTAGTCAAACCATGGAACTTGCTTAAAGGAAGAACACTCATATCTTGGATACTGCCTGTAACCCAAGCAGACACACACTGGATCCAGTCTGAAGCTGATATTATTGAATCCTTTGTGGATTTTAAAGGTGGCAAAGTGAGAACCTGGATCTAGCCTGAAACAAAAATACTAAGACCCAGAACCCATTGTAAGGCTAATATAATTGCATCATTTTCTCCTCCTGAAATTGAGCTGAATGGAGAAACACTATTAATGAGTCATTTTGTCTCCTTGTCTAAACGTGTACCCTTTTTGCCAGTAAAAACTGTCTTTCCCAGATCAGTATTTAATAGCTTTGTTAACTGAGATAACTGCCACAGAAAGCCAGGATAAAATCAATTCTCTCCAACCAAGCCAGCTTACAAGCATTTGGCTTCCTGGAAGAGTTGTTTACCAGCACTATGGAAGGAAATTAAAAATTATCAAGATAAAAGAAAGCCCTGACGTCCCAGCTACCTCTCTTGTCTCTCTTTCTTCCTCCTTTTTCTTTCTTCTTTCTTGTTCTTTTCCATCTCCATGTACACTGTGTTCTTCTTAAGTCTTTTCTTCTTGTACATTCCCTTCATTCTGCATTTTCCCATCTTGCTCAGTTTTTTCTCCTCTGGTCTCCTCTCCTATTCTTCTTTCCATAGCCTCTTCTACTAATCCTCTTCAGAAAATATCTTCCTCAACATTTACTGAAGAGTCCATTCTTTCTCAATCTTTTTCATCCTTGCATGCTGCTCCAGCCACACTTTTAATAAAACACCCTCTCCTGATGCCTGGATCTCAGTCTGGACCCAAGCCTGGACAACAACCTCTTAGGCATGCAGAATTCAACGTTTCCCTGGATGAGTGTCAACTAGCTGTGATCTGGAAAGAAAGTTTACAGGCTTACTGGCTCTTCAAGACACGTGTTATTTCTCATGAAACCACAGGCACCTTTAGTCTAGTCATATGTTTGAGTTAATATACTTAGTACGAAGACTCTTGTTGAAGCCTAAAACCAGAGTTTGTAAGATAAGAGGTTATATTCTCAGACCTTTGCAAAACCAAAATTTATGTTATTATATGAATCAGCAGAGATGTCTAAATATTAACAGAATATTTTATTTTTGCCAAACAAGATTTATGAACTATGTTTTATGAACACAATTCTATTCAGAGAACAGTATTTTAAAGATAGTCTTACTTCTTAGAAATGTTTTATTATTTCCACTTGAGGTATGTACATATAGATACACACTGTTGGATAATAGTATTATATCTTGGATATAAATAATAAGATATATAACATATGTACTTTATTATTTGAAGGGAAAATATGGAGATAACCTCTGTAGTTTATCTAAAATTGTTGGATGAATAATGTACATTTCCAAATATTTTCTCAGAATTGAAGATACTGAATTTCCAAGCATATTCCTAAAAACCTAAAATTAGATTTTAGAAATGGGAGACCAGTAACACTAAACTCACTCTATTCCACAGGTTTATTCCTTCTGCAGAGTGTGGGTTACGCCCTGGCCATGTCCCCCTCTTTCCCAACTGCTGGGAGGCAGAAATTGGTGAATTTCCTTGGATAGTTTCCTGCAACTGTCTTTCTCTCATTTCTGTGCTGGCTCCATACTAAATGAACAGTGGATCCTTACCACAGCTAGATATGGCAATTTTATGTAAGTCTGAGTAATTCATTTCAAGATTAAGATATCATTATAAAGCAATTACAACATTGAGATTGTTAATGAATATCTTTCTCTTTGTGTGTCTGTGTCTGTGTGTGAGAGAGAGACAGAGAGAAAGAGAGATGGAGACAGGGTCTTGCTCTATTGCCCAGGCTGCAGTGCAGTGGCATGATTCACATTAGCCTCAAATTCCCAAGATTAAGGGATTCTCCCACCTCTGCCTCCTCAGTGCATGGGACCACAGGCATGCACCACTGATTCTGGCTAATTTTTTTTTCATTTTCTCCAGAAATAAAGTCTTATCATGTTGCCCACCTGGTCTCAAGTGATCCTCAAAAATAGTTTATAAAGTAGTATTTGTACTTTAGTGCTTACCTGGACTTCATCTGATTCACATGATGTACACGGCTTATTCCAATTGAAATGTGGAAATAACAAGACTTTTTCTTGACTTTTTCCCCAGAAAAAGCTCAGGAGCACTGGCCCTGGTCCAAATGGGGCTTAGTCATCTTCTGGATTCTGCCTAAGCTTAGACAGTCAGGATTGACAGTGCCATACCCTACCTAGGTCCCAAGGGACCCCTGGATTGATCTTCCCAAGGCAGCCACAACATTTTCAACCCCTGGTCCTTCCTATATGCCCAGAGGAAAGTCTGAAATGGAGTAAATTTATACAACTATGTGACTATTAGCTACCTAGTTGGTCCCTTATGAGGGGTGACTAATGAAGAAGACAATGGCATGGAAGAGTAGTATGTTGGGAAAAAGAATATTATCCTCTCTTGAATAATAAAAAAAAAATTCTTTCTCTTCACTATGTTTCTCTCTCTAATCTAAGCTAAATTTGAAAACAAGCAAACAACCACAAACACCTCTTCTCTGTTTTTCATCAGAAAGTCCTGGAATTCAGCAAAAAAAGCACCCAAGCATTCTACAAATCAGCACTTGTGTCCAATTTTGCCCCAAGTTGAATGAATTCACTTTTTGTATGGTGGCCAAGAAAGCTATGTGGGAGGCTGGCTGTAAGGTACAAATTCATGGGGTGTGAATACCAGAGAGAAAGAGAAATATCTTGAACAACAAAAGTTACTTCTGGCCCTCCTTCAAAATATTGATTGATATCTTGTCTCTTGTTTTTTGCAGGGTGACTTGAGAGCACCTTTGGTGTGCCAGCGACAGCAAAAAGACACTTGGGTGCAAGTGGGAATCTTGTCACTTTTAGGAGCATTGCACAAAGCCCTATGTCTTCAGCCAAGTGCACCCTTTCCTTTTCTGGCTCCAGGGAGTGACATGGCTTAGCCATGCACCCTGGAACCATCAAGGACACATGACTACCTCTGCTTCCATGTCCCTTTCAGTCTCTACCTCTACAAATGCCTTGGCTTTTACCTCCACTGCCAGTGCTTTTCGGCCACACTTCATCTTTCTGCCACAGCCTCAGAGTAAGGCTCAAAAACTTGGTAGGAGAAGTAAAGGAAGAAGAGAATGGAAATAGAAAAGAACAGAGGGAACAAGAGTGGAGAGAAAGCTCTTCCTGAGAAATGCTTTAAAAATTATTTTCCTTATGGCTCACATAGCCATTTCATACTTGATATATGATTCAATTTCCATAGTATCCCTACAGATTACTCTATGCTATAGATCAAATAACATGATTATTATAATTATCTTAAATGCGTATTCTGATAGTAGATAAGTACAATGGATTGATCAATTTCTCATGGCAAAAGATGAATAGGGCTAACATTAAGACACACTCTCCTAATACAAAGACATTTCCTTACTACCACACAGTACCTGACACTTGCAATATAGTTATTTAAAATTAAGTTTCTTTTAAGTTGAAGATATTATGATGTTTGGAAACAGCATAGTAGTTGATAAGTAATGTGTTTTAGGTGCTAGTGTACTAGACTATATTACAGTGCGACTATCAGGTTCCCCCTTCCCTTGGCTATCAGAAAACTTATCATAATATTAGCAATGTCTATTTCACGTTACTGTACTTCACCTATTTCCTTGGAAATTGAGTGATCTCTTTTGGTCTCATGTATTAAATGTGCACTAAACTGCAGCTATTTTATAGCTACCACCTATTGCCAAAGCTACAGTAAATAATACTTTAAAACATAAAGGAAGCCATAATTATTTGCTTACATCCTCCAAAGTCTAATTCAAAGACAGCTACACTTAAGATCTTAGTTATACTTCTAATTTCATCTATACTTCCTTACCCCTTCTATAGAGAGGTCATCTTCACCATTTTTATCTCTCTCTATATATATTAATGAGCATTGCTTCAACTCAGTTTTCTGAGGAATTCTAAAATAATTTTAAAAATATGAGCTCTTTCCTGAACCTCAAACTTGAATTTTCTATTTAAACTATTGGTTTGATATCTCACTAAGATTATAAGTTTAGGAAGATAAGCCCCCTCCAATTTAGAGACAGCTGCCTTATCTCCAAATTTTTCCTTATCTATCTAATATCTTCAAATCATTGTATTTTTTGTTGCCTACTTGCTTCAATGACTTCTAAGTAGCTAAAATCATAGATACACAAATATTGCAGTGGGAGAGAAAGCTGGAATGGCTCCCAATATTTTGATTAAAGAAATTTAAGCTAGGACATAAAGAAACTATGACCTTGGAAAGATAATAACAGGAATACTTTTTTTCAAGGAAAATGCATAAACACAATAGAGGTAGAACTTTGTCTTTGCTAGTCGTATTTAACAATGCTGACTCAGCAGAAATAGGAGGGATTTAAAACTTTAAAAATCATCTACAGTTGGCAATTCTATTCAATCAGCACAATTAGGCTTATTTTTCTCCTCAGCTTTGGCAGATCAGATTGCTCTGCAATATGCTATGCCTTGGCAAGCTGTGATCAACAGCCATGGAAGTGATTTCTGCTGTGGTTCCGTGGTTAGCCACTGTTGGATTCTCACAGCTGCCCACTGTGTCAGGAACATGTAAGTTTGTGCCTGCCTCTTCCCATACCCTATAATTCATTATCCCATAAATACATTGCTGAAGGTTTCTCTGTCCAAATTCACTTCTATCATGTATGACCATCTGGCATATACAGATAACATTTTTGGTTTAGGCTAAAAATAAATTGTCTCACTGTGTTTGGCTTACTAGTACCTCTGTTAATTAATTCCTCTCCTAATCCCATTGTCTGTGGGCTCTTTATTCATAGATTTCTGATTTCTCTGAAGATGAGCTAGGTACCTTGTGTATCATGACTCAAGAAATATGCTGGAAAGCCTGATGTAGGCTTAAGGTTCTGGTTTT
This sequence comes from Homo sapiens, assembly GCF_000001405.40. Taxonomy (NCBI): domain Eukaryota; kingdom Metazoa; phylum Chordata; class Mammalia; order Primates; family Hominidae; genus Homo; species Homo sapiens. Next base: position 21,460,404 of record NC_000024.10, read on the forward strand.
CTAATGAATGTACTATAATAAATTTTTGCCTGTGCACACAGGAATCCTGAAAACACTGCTGTGATTCTGGGCCTGAGGCACACTGGCACACCACTGAGAATTGTGAAGGTGTCTATCATGCTATTTCATGAGAGATTCCAGTTGTTGAGTAGGGTAGAAAGAAATGATCAGGCTTTGCTACTCCTCCAAGATGTCTAGACTCCCATTCGGCTCTTAGCACAGTTGGGCTATCTGAAAAACCTGAATAATTCAGAATGCTGGCTGTCTGGGCCTCAAATTATTATACCAGGTCAGCAGTTACTTTTCATATTAGGGTAGCAGCTCTAAAAAAGTGAGGTTCATATTTTTAATATTATGGTTCAAGGAATAACTATAATCACAATTGTATCCATTACTAATTATAAGATATTTAATCCATATAAGAGACCCACTAGGAGATTTGTTTTTGTTTTATAAGATGATGGTCCTGAAAATACCTTCACAGGATTTTAGATCTGAAAACAATAATATGAGGATCTTTCATAGTCAATTTCGTAAACCAAAATAGAGATGATTTGCTTTCTAACTCTTTGCTCACTTCAACACAAAGGAAAATGAAGCTTTTTTTGGTTTTATTTTGTTTTTAACCTCTTTATGAAAATGAAGCTGAACTTGACTTGGAATTTGGAATTCCATAAGTAAAATTTACTTGTTAATTTTGAAGAGTGGCATTTAAAAAGTGATTAAAGAGTGATGATGCTGTCCACAGTGACTCACTCCTATATTTCCAGCCTTTGGGAGCTTGAACTAGGAGAACCCTTTGGGCCCAGGAATGTGATAGCCACTTGGACAATATAGCAAGACTTCATCACTAAACAGCAACAACAACAAATAGGCTGGTGTGGTGTTGCACACGTGTAGTCCCAGCTATGTGGGAGGCTGAGATAGGAAGATAGCTTGAGACTAGGAGATTGAGGCTGCAGTTTGTGAAGATTGTGCCAATGCACTCCAGTCTGGGTGACCAAGCAAGAACTTGTCTCAAGAAAAAAGCGGGGGGCTGGCGTGGTGGCTCACACCTGTAATCCCAGCACTTTGTAAGGCTGAGGCCAGTGAATCACCCGAAGTCAGAAGTTTGAGACCAGTCTGACCAACATGAGGAAACCCCATTTCTGCTAAAAATACAAAATTAGCCAGGAGTGGTGGTGTGTGCCTGTAATCCCAGCTACTCAGGAGGCTGAGGCAGGAGAATTGCTTGAAGCCAAGAGGCGGAGGTTGTAGTGAGCCGAGATCAGGCCACTGCATTCCAGACTGAGTGACAGAGCGAAACTCCATCTCAGCAACAACAACAAAGTCACTAGAAAGAGAATGAAATTGATAAATGTGCAATGCAAAATGTTAATGGTGATAAAATAAACTGAATATCTTTGTATGTTATACATACAAGTTTAAAGTAATGAGGAGACAGTGATAAGACAGATCATGGTCTTACCTCAATACTTAGTGATTAAATGTAACATATGTTCTTTAGAATAGTTATAGTCCATTTGTCTTTCTAGGAGAGACCGATGAGAATCCAGAAATGTTAAAGATGCAAGTGATGGAAGCTTCCAGCTGTGCCCACCTGTACCCTGGCATAGGCAGTTCCATTGTTTGCTTCATTACGCAGGCCAAAGACTCTAATGCAAATGTGGTACACAGTCGATTATTTTTTGTTCTACATGATAGAAACTATAACTTTGTCCCTCTATAAAATGGTGTACAACATATGTCTAAATAATAAGTGAATTGCTCGTCAGTAGGAAACCATTTTAAAAGTCTTTAATTACAGAACAAAATCTCTGAAAAAAATTGCTGTTTATCTCTGAGTTTTCTTACATGGGTTATTAATCTTTAGCCATACTAAATAGCTAGTATGCTGCTCTTCAAACAAATTAGACATTTTATATAATTCCCATATTCTAATAATAGTATCTTTACCCCTCAGAGTTTCAAACGAGTCCAACCTTTTTCTATTTCCCCAATTAAAATAACTTTTTAAGGTTTAATCTTCAGTGATTTTTCTAGTAATATTTTTGAAGGTATTTGATCAGGATGATTTACTTTTGTACATATCTGATGTCTCACTTTCTTCTGAATACATCTTTTGTTATCCACTTATTAGATCTAAGGTTAAGAAGTTGGAATAGGGATTTAAATCCAAATGCTACATTTGAATTTACAGGAGTCAGTGAGTTCAGGAAGTGTCATTATGTGCAGACCAATATCTGGCAATGGCAGTTGGAGACAAATAGGCTTCACCAGTTTCAAAGCCCTAGCTACTACAATAAGTCAACACTTCTCCTGGATCTTATCTACTTCAGCAAAGGAAGGCTACCCACTAAACCAGGCCCATGTGCTTTGGGTGAAAACTTCTAAGTCCTCTAGCCTCCTTAAACAGCCAAGCACACTGCCACTTTCTTCAATAACAATTACTGCAGCCCTGAGACTTTGGTAGCCTAGTGACTATAACTAGTGATGCTACAGTCTGGTCACAGTGTGATAAAACACCAGAGCAACAAAAACAAAATATTGACTTAAGCCTTCTAAAATCTCTCTAAATATACCTTCAATAAATATGTTTTTTGCTACATAACAACTGCTTTCTACTTCCTGAACTAACGCTTGGCCTTGGATTGTTTTCATTCTTGAAATTGATTCAAAATTGTATATTTAACATGAAGGTGAATGCAGAATTTCATGTGTCAGCAAATAAAATTTTCAAAATGATGCAAAATACAAATGTGAAATTGTATTTGTGAACTTTACTATTCTTTCAAATTATATTCTAACACCTACCCACTCACACAATTTTTTATAACTATCTGCATGTTCTCTTCAGGTGGGAGAGAAACAGTATCAGAGTTCTTAATAATTTATAAAAGACAGAATGACAATACTATACAAGATTTAATCTATTCACAATATTGTATTTACTGAATGAAAAACATTACTTTTAAAATCTTACTAAAGTATTAAGTAAATAAAATATATGATTTCGATAACTCTAAAATACATGTACATGAAGAAAATAGAACAAGGATTAAAATACATAAACAAACAAATGAGGCCAGGTGTGGTGGCCCACACCTGGAAACCCAGCATTCTGGGAGGCCAGTGTGGTCGGATCACTTGAGGTCAGGAGTACAAGACCAGCCTGGCAAATATGGTGAAGCCCAGTCTTGACTAAAAATACAAAAATTAGCTGGACATGGTGGCATGCACCTGTAATCTCAGCTCCTCAGAAGGCTGAGGTAGGGGAATCCTTGAAGCTGGGAGGCAGAGTTTGCAGTGAGCCGAGATCGTGCCACTTCACTCCAGCCTGGGTGACATAGTGAGACTCCATCTCAAAAGAAACAAACAAACAAACACCCAAAAACTAATGAATAAAAAAAAATCAGTACTAGAAAAAGTGCTCACAGGAAACTCACATATCTAACAGAAAACAAAATTCCTTTAAAACAAAAGTTCCAGAAGGGGCAAATAAGAAAACAAATTTAACATCTCATATATAAAATACAAACAGTAAACTGAAAAGAACCACGGGGAAAAATATCGGAGTTTACAACTAAGTTCTCTAAAAGAAACTGAAAATCCCTCAAAAACTTCCTAGTGTCCATGTCTCTGTATTGCAAAAATGATCATAAAAATTGCCAGGAGTAGAACAATAAAAATGTATCTTAAAACTTCATAAACACTTCAAGTCTCACATAAAAATTGTAATGAAAAATGGATCAGTCTGCAGTTTTTTCATACAATTATGAACAAATTATATTTCCTCATACTTAAATTTGTTTTTTCAATATTCTAAGAAATTAACTTTTATATTAACAGTAGGTGATGTAACAAAGCAGGTCTTTATCAAGATAACTGACACTGGATGTCCACGGCATTACTCAGGTGCGTCTTAATTCCCAGCCAGGTTCCCTCCCTGGACACACACTGAAGGTCCCCATCCATTTTGTAATCTCTTAACATTTCCTCCCCCGGAGGAAACTCTAAAATACAAGTACATGGAGAACGTAGAACATTTCCTCACACTGGAGCCCAGTGTTGTCTTCCAGATTCCCTGTGCAGTGGCCTGTCTTATCTGGCAAGGAAGGGAAGTGGGAGTGAGAATGACAGAGAGGAGAATGCATGTCAGGGGAGCCTGGGCTCCTTGAAACAGAACATGACAGGCCTGGGAGAACCATTCCAAAAGGACATAAACCTAGAAGGGCCTCAGGTGGACATCCGCACAGAGAGGGAGGGGGCCCTGGTTGAGCTGGAACTGAGCCCCAGTGGGTAGCAGGCCTCAAGGCAGGGGAGGGAGGTGGTGAGTGATGATAAGACAGCTATCCCTTAAGCCTTGCTTCTCACCCACTGACTTTAGCCACATATACATCATAGGTAGCTTAGGGTTCCCCAATCCTTAAATGTGGGTGTTACAGTTCCCTTATGGGCTGTTCTGCCCCAACCCATGGATGGCGTGGGATTGCTCACTGCAGTCTCCTCCATGATCCTTGGATTCTCCAAGTAGGGCACAGATCCAGGACTCAAAGGCCTTTCAGTTCACAGCTCTAGGCTCCTTGCCTGGCCTCCTCTCTGTTCCCTCTCTAATGCTGTCCATCCCCTCCCTGGGGTAGAACTGCAAGGGATTGAACCATAGGCCTGGCTGATGATCTGGGGGAATGTAGAAGGGGGTCCACTACAGGTCAGGTCAGGGTTCAAAGCCAATTCCCCAAAGGCCAAGGAATGACCAGCGAGGTCCTTTCCCATGATGCACCACGGCAGACTCGACCTCAGAAATCCCGCCAAAACCCAGGCAGTCATGTTCAGCCAACCAACTGAACAAGCTCAGGTAGGCCATATTCTGCCTGCAGCTGGAGGCTTGACCTTCACGATCCCAGAACCGGTGGACTGCAGTGGAATGAGACACCCTGTATCCTGGAGGCAGAGGAGCCAGGAAGGTTCAAGCCAGGCTGACCCTCCCACACACCAGCTCCCCTACCATGCTGGGAGGCATTCCTTACCAGGGATGCCAACACAATACTCCTGAATGATCACTTCATTGTGGAAGTAAAGGTTGTGATGAAAGTAAATCTTCTTCCTGCGGCCAGTAACCTGGATGGCTGTGTTCCTCCACCTGCCTGACTAAGAAGGAGAAAGAGGATGGACTCAACGGGACCATTTCATCTAGCTAGGCTGAGGTGGCCTGCTAGCTGGAGCGAAGCATGAGTTTCCCCTTCCCAGCTCTGCCACTGAGACACCACCGAGGCCCAGGGGGACCTCAAGCTGACTCAGACACCAGACCCCTCCCATAGCCACCAGCTCCCCAGCCTGACCATCATGTAGCACAGCAGGACGTCATTATGGTTTCTGACCCATGCCGACATCTGGGTGTGCCAAACAATCTACCTCTGGTCAAGGAGCCTCCAGATGATTGGGTGGGCAAGCCTCGTGAAACCCTGCAATTTGCAGGAGCACATAGAATGTGGAGCAGGGCTGTCTCCCAGACATTTGGCCTGTCACCCTCCCTTGTTTACCTCTTCCTCTGTCTGGAGAGGAAGAAACTTCAAAACTATGGTTGTTTTGGGGGTGGGTGGAGCCAGGCCAAGACGGCTGCACTGACCTCGGACAGGAGGCGGAATAAGTGGGCAGGTGGTTGCAGCTTAGGGGAAGGGGGCGGGGTGGTGTGAGGCGGTTTCTTCCTCAGGGTTCATGAGCTGCAGGAGGCCCTGGTGTGCAGGGTGCTGGACATGCTCTGCTGATGTCCGGGTGTCTGGTGTCCTCTTATCCTGGTCTTCCTGAGAGGTGGGCCTGTACAGTTGAGGGAAGCCCTGTAGGTAGAATGGGCTGCAGGGTTGTGCGTCATGCTCCCCATGGGGCTCGCGTGGGTGCAAAGGAGGTTATATATGCTCAGGGCCTACACCGCTTTGTGTGCAGCGCCGGCAGGCGGAAGAAAGCATATCTGGGGAGCTGGTGCCTGCCTTGTGGAGGTCAGCAGCCCCATGCACCGCGAACCCGAGTCTTCAGCACCTTGTGTTTCTGGGGTGAGCCTGTTGGAAACAGGCACTCAGAGCGGGGGTGGTTCAATGGCTGGCACGGGCGTGCAGACTCCCCTTCCTCCAGGGCATTTCCCAAGGAAACATACCCTTTAACTTTCCGCTGTGCGGGAAGGGCCCTTGGTACCGCGATTCTCCCTTGTGAGTGCTGTGCTTGGCTCACCTTCCCTACCACGTGCTCTCACGGCTCCCACTAGCAAGCTGGCCTCTGATCTGCCGGAACCTGGACTCGGCTCCCACCCTGTCCCCCATCCCCTGCCTCCTGGCTGACCCCTTGCGCCTCCCACCTGGCTCCTCCCCCCACCCAGCCCCCAATCCCCCCCTGAAGCCCGATGCCTATCCCCTGATGCTAGCCATCCCAAATCGGCAGCTGCAAGGATATGGCTCTGGCCCAGAAGCCGGAGATGCCCTGTGGCCTGGGGCATTCACGGAGCCCAGCTCCAAGTGAAGGACCTGCAGCAAGTCCATTGACTGCCCGGGTGTGCTGGGTCCAGGGCCAGGCTGTGCCCGCTGGTTCACCTTCTGCCACTCCACGTCGGTCTTCTCCTCAACCACCACCTCCACCTCAGCCATTATGTCTTCCACCATCAGCACCACCTCCTCTTCCAAGGTCGCGTCCTTGCTCTGTGCCCCGGCTGTCTTCTCCAGCCTAGCCTCCAGCCTGAACATTGTGCCCTTCTGGTGCTCTCACAGACCCGGGCCTATGGAGTCCAGCTAATCCTCGTCACCCCTAGGCTCTGGGGGCCGCTCCTCAGGAGGCCCCCTCCCCAAAAGGCCCATGGGCAGCCACCTGCTGAGAACCTAGTCCCACACCTACTAGTACCCAGGTTTCCTAAGGAGCCCCGATGGGCCCGCAGATTGCAGCAGTCGCCGTGGGGCTCAAGTCCCCTGCAGGGTCAACTGCGCACAGGAGCTCGGGAGCCAGAGGACGAGGACCTGGGCTTGCAGAGCCCCACCAGCAGGCACCAGAGCCGCTGCTGCGCGTGTGGGAGCCTCTGGATCCGCAAGGCAGTGCACAACAGCATGCACGCAGGCCGTCGATGGCCAGTCCTGGAGGCTGGCCTCCTGTTTGCCCAGGGCGTAGGACAAGAGGCCCTTTGGAATGCTCCTTGGAATACAGCTTCCTCAGGGAGGAAGCATGGAACGCGGAGCCTGTATTTGCTTAGGCCTGGGAGAGTGCAAGCCGGGGTTCTGGCCTCTGGAGCAGACGAATTCCACCTCAGCATAATCAGGTGACTTTCCTCCCATGCTCCGCCCCGACCCCCTTTCCCCAGGACACCCGCCGCCGCCCTCACCCCAGCAGCCAGAGTGAGTTCTTCTCTGGATCTGCAATATTCCGTACCACCTACCTGGCCTGCCTAATGAAGTGAGCTGTTTCATGTGTTCCCTGTGGGTCAATGGCTTGCCACACTCAGGATGTCAGTTAGGGCACAGGGCTTCCATGCCCACAGTTCCAAAGGCCACGCAGCCTGCGTGTGCCTGGACACAGAGCTACCTGGCACAAGCTCCGAGGGCTTCTCAGAGGAGGCTTAACCCAAGAGACTGGGACTGCAGGCCAACCTGGGTTGGTGCAGCCCAGGGAGACGCCCACATCCTTGCACTGATTGGCCACGCAGGGAGGCCGGCGATCTTGGCACGGTTCCCGGAGCCCTTTGAGTGCAGTCCATTAGGAGGCGTCTGGTAGCCTGGGGCTGGCGCTGTGAGGGACCGCCGACCCACAAGCTCTAGTAAGGGCAGCGGCAGGGTTCCTGTGGCGTGGGTCGGGCAGCACAGGTGGTGGTCTGTGGGAGTCCGGAGAAGGGCACTGTCTTCAGGATGGAGGCTCTACAGGAGGGAGCTCCAGGGGCGCAGAGCGAGGAGGCAGCCTGGGTGGAGGAGGCGGTGCTGGTGTTGGATGACATAATCACGGAGGTGGAGGTGGTGGCCCAGGAGGAGGCCGACGTGGAGCGTCTGGAGGAGGACCAGCGGGCACAGCTTGGCCCTGGGCCCATGACCCCAGAGTCGACACTGGAGGAACTACTGGCCATTCAGGTGGAGCTAGAGCCGGTTAATGCCGGAGCCAGTAAGGCCTTTTCTCAGCAGAGGGGAAAGATGGAGCGGAGGCGCAAGCCCCACCTGGACCGCAGAGGCTCATTCATCCAGAGCATCCCTGGCTTCTTGGCCAGTGTAGTAACCTTTTCAGTGTTTCTTCTGCCTTTCTAGTGGAGAGGTGCTCTTGGAGAAGTGTAAGTAACTTACGGGCAGCTTGGCATCGATGCGACTATTTGGGGAAAAACGGAGAGTTGCCATGGACAAGTGTGGCTGTAGAAAGCCGGAGCAGACGCGGGTACTATTTTCCTGCATGCGGCAGAGAAACCCTCAGTGAGGCCCAGCAGCAGACGTTTGGGGCATCTTTTTGAAGAGTAGAAGCGAGTTCTCACCAGAACAGGTTTTTCTGTGAATGTAGCTATTGTTAAGGGAGTGTGATTGCAACCCCCTTGCCAGTCTGATCTGAGACTGGGCATCTTTGGGTATAAGCAGATTCTCCCACTCCTCAGACACAAGCAACTCTCTGAAAATCGTCCCTCCCCATGTCAGTGCAGTCAGCCTCAGAAGTATACACCCTCCGTGAACCCAAGAGGCCTTAATTCAGGCGGAAAGAGAGGAGAAAAGGAGGTCATATATGGAAGCAGATCCAAGAAATCCCCCACCCCAGACTCTGGGTGCTCTTAGGCCTTCTTCCCTGTTGCTTCTAGCTTTTCCTTCCATCGCATCTAAAGGCTCTTTGACCTAAATCAGATTGCAAACCACCTCCAGATGTCAGCCCTGATCTCTGACCAAGATGAAGACATGCTGAGCTACATGATCAACTTGGAGGTGATGCCGGGAAGACTGAGGCTAGAGGGTTTAGCGGGGGAGGGTAAGGGAAATAATTTATTCCTGTAAGCAACAGTGGGCACCTCACCTGAAAACGTATGTAAGTTTTCTCCACCTTGTCCTGACAGGTGAAAGAAGCCAAGCATTCCGTTCATCTCTGCAAGATCATGTTGTTCTTTTGGAGTAACCCCTACTTCCAGAATCAAGTGATTACCAAGGAATATCTCATGAACCTCACAGGTGACAGGTGGCTCCCAGGATGGGTGGTGGAAGGAAGATGGTGGGTGGATCATTGCCAACGTGATCCAGCCCCCTTCCCACAAAATCCTGTCTCTGTAGAATACAGGGCTTCCCATTCCACTCCAATTCAGCGGTATCCGAATTATGAAGTGGAGGCCTATCGCCACAGACACCACAACAGGAGACTTAACTTCTTCAACTGGTTTTCTGACCACGACTTTGCAGGATCTAATAGGATTGCTGAGGTGGATCCTCACTGGGAAACATCAGGAATGACTCTGGTATGTTCCCAGCTGCATGGGTCACCAGTCTGAAAGTCTGATGAGGCCTTTCCTGATTGATTCCTCCGATAGATCCTACGTAAGGGCCTGTGACCCAGTCACCTGAAATACTGCACAAGGATGAAGCCACCTGAAGAGCGAACAGAGATTTCAGGTGAGCTGCTCGGTTGGAACTGGAGCTGTTTGATGCCCACTATGAGGGGTTTGACACATCTCCCTATTCAGGGAGTCTGCATGCTCATTTCATACATGTAGAAATTCCTTGAGAAGAAGACACAGAGTGACAGAATCTGGGAGATTCAGGGTATTGGGCTGAAAAATGCACATTAGAGACTGCACTGCCAAGCAGGTTATAGCTGTGGAGTCTTAAGCTCAGGGAAGCATAGTGCATGTCCAGACTCACTGAGAAGTAAAGCTGAATCATTAACTTCAATCTGTGGCACTTGATTCCATGGCCATCAACCCCACCGGCAGTCATCCTACCAACCCCTTAAGATTGGGCTCCCTGAATGTGCCTCCTTGTCACCTTTGCCACAGACCGCAAAAGACTGTTTCAGTTGATGGATTTTCTTAAGCTATTGCCCCATCAGATTTCTGTGTGCTTTTAGTATGCAATACATCTTGTAAGCTGACTCCCATCATAGAGGATACTGGGAATGGGGCAGGTATTGCAGAGAACAGTTTGTAACACATGGTAGGAAGAGGCTTAAGAGATCACAAATGGGGATGGGGTAGTCTTTTCTCGGCAGGCCTTAAAATTAAAACATTTTAAAGTATGGCCCCAAGGAAATACATCTTGATATGCAGTTGTGTTTCTCTAGGGGACTCCCAGATTTTGAGTTGAATATGATGGAGCATCAGACTTTACCTAAAACAGCAGAACTGCTAAAAAGTTACTACAGTATGGAGGATGTCAGTACTCAGCATGGTCCTATGCACACGAACTAAAGGAAAAACATCCAGTCACAAAAAATGCAGACAGGAAGAGAGGGTAAAATTGGATTGAATGGAATGAAAAATAAATACTATTAAGGATGTATGATTCTGCATGTATGTGTGTGTGTGTGTGTGTGTGTGTCTGTGTGTGTTGGTGTGTGTGGGTATGTTTATCCTTTGGATTCAGTTGTCATAATGAATTGGTCAATCCATATGTTTTATTCTCTCCGTGGAAATGACCAGTCCATGTCAGAGCTAGGCCTCCAAAGTTGTAGAGTGAATAGGTATGGAATATTTTCGGATTCTTCCTGCAAGACAGAGTTGGGGAGGTAAAAGAAAGAGAAAGTTTAGTTGGAGGCTCACTTCATCCTATGGAAACAGAGGTAGTTCAACAAAAGGGGTTAATGGGCACTAAGATATCCAGGGCCCAGTTTGCCAGGATAAGGCACCCCCAAAATCCTTCATTTTGTGTATCATCAGACACATTAAGATAGCACAAGATCATGGAAATCTGAAAGTTCACTTTCATGTTGAATTCACATCTTCTCCTTTTAAAGGGGAATGCATAATCCTTTTCTGGGACAATCAGCGTCTCAGGACAAGGGGTCCCATCACTGTGAGAAGAAATAGGCTAGTAAGGTGTATGGAGGGACTGTGGGAAAGGTTACAGAGGTATGTGGGAAGGCATTCAGGATACACCTTTTTTTTTCTTTTTTTTTTTTTTTTTTTTTGAGATGGAGTCTCTCTCTGTCACCCAGGCTGGAGTGCAAATTTTGGCTCACTGCAAGCACCGCCTCCTGGGTTCACGCCATTCTCCTGCCTCAGCCTCCTGAGTAGCTGGAACTACCGACACCCACCACCACGCCTGGCTAATTTTTTATATGTTTAGCAGAGACAGGGTTTCACCCTGTTAGCCAGGATGGTCTTGATCTCCTGAGCCCATGATCTGCCCACCTCGGCCTCCCAAAGTGCTGGGATTACAGGCATGAGCCACTGCACCCAGCTGCCTTTTTTTTCCTGGCATAGTTGACTAAGGGAAAACACAAACATGCAGAAGTGAGGGGAAAGAGGGTGGATTTGTGGAATATAAGATGGTCAGAGGATCCATGCATGGACTTTCCGTCACTTGATGACCCAGAATATGGACACTGTTATTGATATTTGCATCTTTAGTTGGGCTAAGCTTTACTCCAAGATTATTATTAGGTGAGGAGCCAATAATGTATGTAGCTAACAGCATTACCAGCGCATTTGGAGCTCATGCAAACCCTAGTGAGACTCTATTCTCCCCAGTGATTGGCACTGCAGATTGTTTCTGGAGCCCAGGGCCCTTTTATTCTCTGTGGCCTTTTCAGCATACCTTGCATAAGGTTAAGAATTTAAAGAGTGGGAATGGGGCAGCAGATTGGTGTGTGCACTCAGGGCAACTCAGATTGGGAAATGCATGGGGACTTGCCTACCATTAGGTCATTTGAAAATGTCTTGCCGCAAATTTAATGCATAGGAAAAAGTTGAGGAAAGGATCTTGCAATGATTTTTCTAAGAGGTAAATAGATAAGGAAAATACGGTGAGTAGATGCCAGGTCTAGTTTCGGAGCTAGCCCGTTTTAAACTGGTAGTAGGGGAAGAGCTTTTCCCAAGGCAGGCAGCAAACCAGGAACTGTCTACAATGGACCGGCATGCCGTGGGCTGGTTACTCCGCCATATTGGCCACTCCAAAGAGTGAACATGGCTGACTGGGCTTCTTCCTCGAATCCTGCATGCAGTTCAGTCTAGTGATTTCACATGAGCTCCATTGTTTAGGTATTATCAGAGATCGTGCTGAATTATACAGTCTGTCTAATCCTTCTTCCACTGAATATCCATACACATGGGCCACAGATGCTAAGGTCACTGACAAATTTGCATTTGGCCTCAGTAACTCTGAAACACCTCTGTTATTTCTAGTGTCAGGGTCTTGGTGTTTTTTTCATGTTTAAACTGCCAAGTGTGTGTCTGTATTTGCGTGTTTATTTCTCGATGTGGCTTTGTATTTTTCTCTGACTCCACCTATGTCTCTGTCTGTCCCTATGTTTCCACACTGCCTGTTTTAATTTGTATACACCTATCTCTACAACTGTGCTAGACTTTGTATCTGTGTCTTTGAACATCTGTCACTGTCTCTCCCTTCCTTTGTTTCTTTCCTTCCCTTACACCCCTCCTTTCTTCCTTCCCTTCCTTTCCCATGCCCCTCTCTCCATCTGCATCATCTATCTTCCTATCCTTTATCTGAATTTAGTTTGTAATTCTGAATCTGTTGGCAGTGGCATCAGATTATTATTTTCATATCAGGGTGAAATTCCTCTTATAAAGACTCTCAGCTGAAGGAGATGAGTTCTTTTTGTGAGACATAATGAACCATTTATTTCAAGCCTATCTAGAAATGACAGTGTTAAAAAAAATAACTCGGCATTACAGCAAAGCCAAAAGTCACATGGATCCCACTCATCCCAATCAGTATATCCAAAAGGTGGAAAAGAGGAAAAGCGGGTTATGCCTGCGGTCTCCAAAGCAGAGAGAATTTTCAAGAGATTGTGTCAGATTATTCTCCAGGAGGCAGCTATAGTTCATAGGTATGTGTTGTGTAAACACGAGCGCGATGATGAACCAAAGAAAATGTACTTATCCCTATGTTTTTCTTTTGTATTATCATTTTAAGAAACATTGTGTATATAGAATTTCTTCATGACATGTCATAAACTATTGTTTAATGAACTCATATCTAAGTTATTCATTGTGTCAAACAATGTCAAGGAATCATGATTTGTTATGACCTGCTACAGATAGGTGATGTGAAATAGCAAAATGAGAGCATACAGAAAGGGCAGATCATGGTCTGAGAACCTCACCAAGAGGTTCAGGTGAGCTGAATGCATGTCAGGGATTCAGAAAAAGATATTTGTTATTATGGGCTTTGAAGCCAAAGGAAGTACTCTTTGTACATTCGTTTAACTCATTTGGGGAGTTTGGTTTATTATTTACACTGTTCTCTTTGCCCTTTCTCATTGTTTTCTCCAACTGGGGCTGTTACTATGTGAAAGCTGGTTTCTTTCATCAGATCTCATAGGCTCTCATGATGTTTCATTTATTTTTATTCTCCTCACACTACATAGTTTTAGTTTACCCAATTTGACTCTTTTTTGTTGGTTTGTTTTCTGAGAATGAGTCTTACTCTGTCTCCTAGGTTGGAGAGCAGCACCATGATCTCAGCCCACTGCAGCCTGGACACCCCACACCCATGTGATCCTCTCAACTCAGACTCTCACATAGCTGGCACTACAGGTGCATGCTACCCCTCCCAGCTACATATTAATTAATTAATTACTTTTTAGACATGGGCCCATGTTACCCCAAGTTGGTCTGGAACTCCTGAGTGCAGGCAGTCCTGCCACCTCACCTGTCAAAGTGCTGGGATTACAGGTGTGACCCAGGGCCCTGGCATGGCTTTTTGAGTTTTTTGCTTTTTTCTTCTGCCTCCTCACATCTTCTTTTGAAACATGCAGTGAAGGTTTCAATTCATAGACTATAGTCTCCAAGCCTGTAATTTCTATCTTTCAGTTGATCATCTACATTGGGATTTATTTTTATTTTTATGTATATGTTTTAACTTACCAAACGACATTGCATTCTTTCCTGTGTCATGAAAAATACATTGATACAGATAGAAAGGAATAGCACTTCTTTATAATACAATACTTTATTGACATTTATTCTCTTAAGGTATTTAAAATTTTATGTTTATTTTTTTAATTGTCATATGAAATGATACATATTTATAATTTAAGGGGTGACTTTCAAAAGGTCATATGTGTTATGCATGAGATACATCCAGCTGATCAGCACATGCATGATCTCACCTACTTGTCATTTTTGAGGTGATAAAACTCGACATGCACTGTCTTAGAATTTTGTAGAGGAAGTATGCATTATCACTAGTTATAGTCAGCATGCTGTAGAAAAGTTTTTAACCTATTCCTCCTTTCTAATTAGAAATATGTATTATTGATCCAACATCCTCTTCACTAAACACCACCCCACCAGTGGAGTCACTACTGCTGTGAGGTCCGCTTTTTAGATTTCATGTAAGAATGAGGTCATGTGTTATTTGCCTTTCTGATATATGGCTTATGTCACTTAACAAAATGGCATGCATACATTCAGCAGATTCAGACATACTGTCACAACTGGCTATAGCGAAACTGTAAAAAGTGCAGCAGTAATTGCATGTGTGCATGCACCGCTTCAACATGCTGATTTGTGTACTTCTGGGTGTGCCCCGGTATTCTGATTTGCTGCATCACATGGTGGGTGGTTCTACTTGTAGACTTCTGAAGAGCTTTTATACTTAAATAAAAGCCATAAAGTTTCTTGTAATGCCTGCACTAATTTACATTCTCACCAAAAGTGTGCAAGGATTTCCTTTTCTCTGCATCCTCACCAGAAATGAGGTGGTCTTTTTTTTTGTTTTTTGTTTTTTTTGTCTTTTGGATAATAGGCATTCTGACTGAAGTGAGATGAAATATCACTGTGGTTTTTATTTGCATTTTCCTGATGCATTAGGGATGATGAGCGCTTTTTACTGTGTCTTCTGGGCAGCCGTATGTCTTAGTTTCACAAATGACTATTCACATCCTTAGTCCATTTGTTTTCATGCTATTGAGTTGTTGGAGTTCCTTATGTACTGTAAATATTCACCCATTAACAGATGTATGGTGATCCAATAATTTTTCCCATCCTATAAGATGTCCCTTCCCTCTGTTTAGTTTCCTGTGGTGTGCTGAAGCACTTTAGATTGATATAACCCTATTCTCTATTTTTCATAGTGTTTACTTTGCTCTTGAAGTCACTTTGAGACCATCATTGCCCATACCAATGTCATGGAGCTTCTTCCTTGTGTTTTATTCTGGTATTTTTATCATTTTAGGTCTGACATTGGAGTTTGGTGAGAAATAATCTACTTTTAAAATCCTTTATGTGGACATTCAGGTTTTACCCAACCTAGTTTATAGAAGATATTCGATTTTCCATTGGGTGTTCTTGCTTCTTTGGGAAAACGTCGTGAGCTGCAAACGCAGTGAGTTAGTTCTGGGCCCTGATTGTTTTTAATAAGCTCATGTCTCTCCTTTTCTGTCAGTATTGTTCTATTTTGGTACGTAAAACTTTGTTATATATTGTGAAGTTAGGTAGTGTGATACCTCGAGATTTGTGCTTTTTACTGGATTGCTCTGGTTCTTCAGGATCCTCTGCCATTTCATAGCAAATGGAGGATTCTCAGATTGTTTTTCTATGAAGAATGGGTCATTGATATTTTTACAGGGGTTGTATAGAATCTGTAGATCACTTAGGTAGTGATGATGTCAATCACATTTAGACAATGTGTGTCTGTGTGCACAGGCTCAGGGCCAAGAGACACTGGGTGTCATCACCAATAGTGAGATGGGCCTTAATGTCCAGCCAGATTTCCTTCCTGGACACACACAGAAGGTCCCCTTCCATTTTGCCATCTCTTCACATTTCCTCCCCAGTGAACCCTGTGTGGTCCTCCAGATTGCCTGTGTGATGGCCTGTCTTTTCTGAGGGTGGGCAGGGGCTGAGTGAATGAGCATGGCAGAGGGGCAAAAGCATGTCAGCAGAGCCTGGAATCATCGAAACGGAACTTGACAGACCTGGGAGAGCCATTCTGGGAGGGTGTAGACCGAGACAGACCTCAGGTGGGCAACTGTGTGGAGGGTGAGAGCACCCTGGTTGAGTTCAAACTGAGCCTCAGGTGGTAGCAGGCCTCAGGGCAGGGAAGCGAGATTACAAGGGATAATGAGGCAGCTATCCCTTGAGCCTGGCTTCTCACCCATTGACCTTAGTTACTTATGCCTCTTAAGCAGCTTAGGGTTCCCCAATCCTGAAATGTGGGTACTACAGTTCCCTGATGGGCCTTTCTCCCCCAGCCCATGCATGGTCTGAGTATGCTTACCGCAGTCTCCTCCCTGAGCCTTGGCTTCACTATGTGTCCTAGCTCCAGGACCCACAGGCCTCTCATCCCCCAGCCCTGGGCTGCTCCCCAGCCTCCTCTCTGTTCCCTCTCTGAGGGCCTAACTCCCTTGGGTAGTGCTGCATGAGATTGAGCCACGGGCCCTGGCTGATGATCTGGGGGACTGGGCAAAGTGGTCATGACAGGTCAGGTTCTGGTTCAAAGCCAATTCCTCCGACACCAAGCAATGACCAGCAAGGTCCTTTCCCATGATGCCCCACCGCCACCCCACCTCAGCAACCCTTCATACCCTGGGCAGTCACCATCAGCCAACCAGCTGAAGAAACTCAGTTAGGTGTATCCTGCCTGAAACTGGGGCCTTCACTTGCATAACCCTAGAACCACTGGACACAGTGGAGCCAGTCACCCTCTATCCTGGAGCGAGAGGAGTTGGGAAGGCTCATGCCAAACCTAGCTTCCCACATACCACCCCCTCTACCATGCGGGGAGGCACTCCTTATTGAGAATTCCAATGCAGTACTCCTTAATGATCACTTCGTTGCAGAAGTAAATGTTGCGATGAAAGGCAAACTTCATCCTTCCACCAGTACTCAGGATGGCTGAGTTCCTCCACCTGCCTGTCCAAGAAGGAGAAAGAGGATAGTCAAGGGACAGTTTCATCTAGGTGGGCTGAGGTGGCCTGCTAGCTGGGGTGAAGCATGTGTTTCCCCTTCCCAGCTCTCCCACTGAGACACCCCCATGCTCCAGGAGGACCTCAACCTGACCAGGACCTTGGAACCCTCCCCAAGACCCAGGCTTCCCATCCTGACCTGCAAATCCATCATGTGGCTTTGCAGGACTTCCTCATGGTTTCTGAGCTACTTGCTCTCACCAGAAATAACCATAACTTTTAAACTGTTCTTTATGTCAAATTAAATTTTTCATTTTTACTACCTCATGTGTTGGATGAGGCACATATTTTTAAATTTATTTTCACCCTTATTGTACCTCTGTGATAAACAGTTTACTAACATTCATACCATAATTATCTTTCAGTTTTACTTGTCTGTTCCTAAAGATTCACTGACACTAAGAATTCTATTTATGCTTGTCTCTTTCAGCAACCATATGTCAGATAATGATGCATATTACTGCAGAAATCACATATACAGGTCCAAAGGGAGATGAAGAAGAAGAAAGTAAGCTTTAAAGTCCATACATTCCGCATACTGCATCAGAATCATAGTGAAATCAAAGAATGATCACAGTCAATTCCATCTCATATCTACACTAAAATGTGAAACTTCAAAAGAAAAGAAAGTTAAGAACTTTTGGCTTGTAAAAATTTTCCTATATATATAAAATTATTGGTAACCCTATCTCACTAGAAAATATAAATAAAAATCCATGTTTTGTATATGTGTAAATATAAATATTTTTATTTCCATCAGTTATGACACACAAGCAAGTAGTAAAGCAAAAGTACAATACAATGATATATAGAAATTTCTGTCTCAAAATATTCAGTTGAGACTACTAATATTATGAAAACCATAAAGAATGCTTCATGAAACTACATTATACATTACTTTTTAGTATATTAGTTATGTTTTAAATAAACGGCAAATTAAAGGGAATTCTTCAACATTATTTATTACTAGTACCGTTTATGTACTTGAGTAATCCTTTTGAAATTAAGTATTTAAATAAAACATTAAAAACAAATTATATTTACTGATTTCAGCTTTTGATGAAATCATGTCTGTTTGTAGTAATGTGAAGTATAACTTTCTCCCCACAATTAATCTTTTATGACACCCTTGTTATTGTTTGCTCTGATACAAACACTGTGATATCTCATGGCTTTAATGTACCATATATTACATGCCTCCAGAGAGTAGGCTTCAGACAGTTGGAAAAATTACATTTGTGACAAAATTCTAGGAAAGAATGGTAAAATGGGAGAATAATTTCTAATTGTTGGTTAATGGATTTGTATATATTTAGATATAGACACATATTTGCACATGGCAAGTTTGCATATGTACATATAAATTTATATGACATACACGTAATATATGGCTTGTGCAATCTTTTAATTCACAATTTTATATGTTTGAAATTTGATAAGCGGTTACCTTAGCTATACTCAATTTGATGGAAAGCCAACACAATCTCTGTGAACATTCATTTTAATTAATCCAATAATGTTAACTGCTGATAGCTTCATTCTCCTTGTTAGTTGTTGGCAACCGGAAGGTTGATTCTCACTCTAATTACCTCTCAGGGTGAGATCCACAAGAGACTGTCACCTTGCTGTGCGTTGTGACCTCTGACTCCTCCTCTTTTTTCCTATAGCAGTCTTACCATTGCATATTTAATAAACTTTGTACATGGTTAAAAGGATAAAAGTTTAGTGAAATATCAAGCCATGCTGTCAAATGTTCCATTGTTTCTATATCTCTAATTGACCTTTCATATTATAGAGGACAAGAAAAATAATTTAGTAGGTTTCTTAGTATCCAGTCCAGTGCACTGTTTCTTACTAATACGCCAAAACCATCCCTTCAAGGCACAGACATTTAAACACAGCTGGACATCTCAAAATCTCTTCTCATTAATAACCAGGATGTTAATCACTGTTGCCCAGAACTGGAATCTGACTGTGAAATCCCTGGGTGGAAATTGCTCTAATATCTCAAACTATGGGAATGACTATTTCTCGGCATAATTACTGCTGCCATCTTGCTGAAACATATCACATTAGATGGCACCTTTTAGTTACATAAATCCTGTTATTAATTTTTAATGTCTCACATTTATATGATATTGCACAAGTAAAGAACTTTGATAACTTAAATGGTTAACTGAGCAATGGTTAACTAAAACAACTCACAGGAATTCAGACATTCATTTACTTACTAGGAGTTCCATACATCATTAACTTCTGATTAAAACAAAGTTGGGAAATTGGTTACTAAAGTATGTATTTCAGGGTATTTTAAGAAACTACCCATGCCATATAGGATGCCTCACCTGCAGGGATAAAGCTTTAGCATAAATGTTTGAAAGCAAAAAAAATCTGAACAATACTGGCAACATGGCATCCCAATCGTGTGATCAAGTGCATATTTGTGCATCTAAGGAGGCAACTTAAATGATGTATAATAATACCATCTTCATCCACCCCAGTACCTCTTTTATTTAAAACTAACAAATGTTTCACTATTTGCAAGAAAAAAATGAGTTCTTACTCTTTTGTGTAATTGGTATTTCTACTGAGTTGTTTTAATCTTCCTATGAACTGTGAATGCTTACTAACTTTATCGGTAAAGTGAGAATGCAACTGTACTTAGCTCGTAATACTATACTGAGATAATATGACTCAAGAAATATAGATTTGCCTAGATAACACCTGGGATGTACTAAGCAACACATAATTCTTCTCATATCAATTGCCTATCATAATTCTTCAAATATATGGCCATAATAAAAATACAGGTGTTTTATATATAAAATAAATGTCTTTTGTCCTTAATATCTCTCTACATTTGCCTTCATAACCTCAACACAAAACACCCAGGGAATCCGTTTTCAGCTGAGCTGACTAGCAGTTATTAGGGTTTAAACAAACAGAATAAAGATTTCAAAAGTAGATGACTAGATACAAGAAATCACACTTTTACCATAAAAATAATTTTTCTCAAGCTACTGCAACTGCAAACTTGAAAAAAAATTAAGTCTAACATATTGCAGCATTCTAAAATCTAAAATTTCCTCTTTGAGATCCAGTGGTTCATGCCTGGAATCCCAGCTTTTTTGGTGGCTGAGAAGGGAGGACTCTTTGAAGCCCAGAGTTGGAGACCAGCCTAGGCAACCTAGTAAGACCTAACTCTACAAAAGTAATTAATTAATTAATTAATTAATTAGGGCATTATGACACACATCTGTTGTTCTAGTTAGGAGCTCAAGGTTGCAGTGGGCACTGATGGCACACTGCACTTCAGCCTGGGCCACAGGGCAAGAATTTGTCTCTAAAAAAATACAATAAAACAAAACAAAACAAAACAAAAACACTTTCAGGTGTTTTTTGGAAGTTTGTATAATTGCTCCAAAAGCATAGACATTGTTTAAAGTTGAGCAGTTCATGAGGAATGGGCAGAGAAAATTGTTTATATTTTTTTCCAAAAATCAGGATAAATGTCAGAATATTATGTATAAATATCTAATAATCCTTTGTAAAATAAATACTGACAAATGTCAAGCCATTATCTTTATAGTCTTTTCCTTCAAAACATTCATAGCTTAATTGGAGAATGAAGAGAAGAACAATAATTGCAATGTACTGTGACAAGTGTTACAACATATTTAGTAACTTAGTAGGAGAGGAAGAAAGTTCTTAACTGGGTTTAGAGGGGTTTTGGGAACCTTCTTAGGGTAGGAACAATCTACTAGATCTGTAAGAATACAAATTTGCAAGAAGAATGTTTGGGGTAAAAACACTGTGGGAGAAAAGAAATATTTTTTCTGTCAATGATAGAAGCACTAACAGACCATATGATGCCATCCGCCCAAATATTAGACCATACTAGCTCAATAAATATTTCTTGAATGAATCAATGAATGAAAGATATTGGGAAAGGGTCCTGGAAGGGATTTTAAAAATCCTAAAGGGAAAAGTAAATACCCTTGACGTTACAATTTTGCCATTTTTGCTTTGTGTCCTTGTTATGATTACTACTGCATAAGCTCTGATTTACTTTTTTCAGTCTTCACAAATATCATGCATGAATAGTTCCTCATACTACTCCTCTCTTGATCCTCTGATATTATATTTTTCTCTGATATTCCTTTGTGTGTGCTGGGTTTATATGCCCATAAATACATCAATCGCTCTCATGGCACTGTTTGGTAATAGAGAGGCCTAGCCCCTGGGAGACGTGGTTCCTAGGCTCCCATAAAAATTACTTCCTGTTTCAGTTCAGTCGTGGGGTGACACTGCAGAGATTAGAGAACAAGAAGAGGAGATAAGTCAGTTTGTGTCCAGGGGAGACACTGCAGAGTTTGGAGAACAAGAAGAGGAGAGAAGCCAGTTTGTGTCCCTCTCCTTCTCTGTAGGGAATATGTTTCCGCAGTGATTCCATGGCCTGCAGGAGAAGCTCTCTGTGTTTCCATTTCCTATACCCTAACCCTAGACTCTTCTAATGCCATTTCCTCCAATAGTCTTCTCTAAAGAATTTGGGTATTACTATTGGAGATTTAAATTAAAACTATTGATATGGAAGGGAAGGCAGGCAAGTGCTGGGTAGAGCACGGCCTGGTCCTTGGCTAGGGCTCCACCCTCAGGCCTGTGCTCACTGACCTAGGTGAGGACGCGCACTTCTGTTTTCTTGCCCAAATGTTGCATTTCCGAAGACCACCCTGGCCTGCCACACCTCCATCCTGTGATAAAAGAAACCCCGAGACCCCAGTAGGCATTGACACAGCAGCTGGGCGTCGAGAGGAACCATCAGCAGAAAAAGACACAGCAACTGGACCTCGAGAAGACACTGGAGGAAGAAGAGCACAAAGACAGAGGCGGCAGACAATCCACCGCAGAAGAACACGGAGTTCTGCCCGGCTGTGGAAGGACAGTCCTAAGCTGCCTCATTCCAAGGGAAACCACTTTCCTGCTCCATTTCCCTTCTGGGTCCCCATCTGTCTGTTGAGAACTTCCACTCAATGAAACCTGCACTTATTCTCTAAGCCCACGTGTGAACCATTTCTTCAGGTTCACCAAGGCAAGAAACCCCTGAATTGAGATAGCTCTCTGTCTTTCCAGTAAGACAGGGTGTCTGATGGAGCTGACTAACACAAGCCACCTACAGATGGATAAACTAAAACAACACCGTGTAACACATGACCGCTGGGGATTCTGGAGCTGTGAACATTTATCCCTAGATACTGCCTGGGATCAGAGCCCCACAACCTGTCCTCATTGCACGCCCAGTGGGGGAGGGGAGACAAGGGACGTTTTCTCATTTCAATATGAGTCTGTTTCCAATGCAGCGTGCTTTCTATAATCCTGCAGTATTACCTCATTGCATATATTTGACAAAATAAGTTACAAACTATAAGTAATGTGAGAAGAAAATAAATGCTGGAGAATAAGGAAAACAATGAAACTTTGTGTCAGTAAGGAATGTTTTTTACTTCATACAACAGAAAAAGTAAACATGAATTAAACCAACAGGGATTTCTAGTTTTCACTTGTGAAGTAGCCATAGTTAGAGAGTTGCTGCCTTTAATCAGTTGCTCTGCTGCATGGTAGTAGCAGAGAATTTTTTGGCTTTCTCTAAGGTGAAATCTAGCTGAAATTCAACACCATGCTGGCTCCAGTTGTTCCTAGCCAGCTTTGCCCACACCCTGGTTTTCCACAGTCTTATCAAGTCCTAGTTTATGCAGCTATTTTAATAGTGTATTTTTGTTAGTCATGTGAAACAGCTGCCTGAGATTTTCTATGCTCCTGCAGTCACCTAGTATTTTTCCTGTCTCAAATTACGTGCCTTGCTCACTTTTTTCCTCAGGACACTATAGGATGTTCCTTAGTTAATTTTTTTTAAAGAGAATTGTTACACCAGTTTCATTTCCCTCAAATACTTCTGAGAATTTCTGAGAAACTTACACAAGTCTCAGCTAAACACCTGGCACTAGACCACTGCCCATTCAGCTGCCTGTTACTGACTTCTTTCGTTGGATAAGATTCCCCCGGCAGCAACTGCCTGTGTCCTCCCACCTCCACTTGGTGTCCTTTAGACCAACATCTAATGTTTTAACTCTTAGATATAGCATAAAGCGTTTATAGGATACAAAACAACAATCAGATACAAAAGATTGAGTCATTCTTTTTTAAACTCTTATTTTACTTTATAGTTTGTCTTATCGGAAATTAGAGACCCAGAGAGTAGAAACAGTGCTTCCTCTTCATCTACCCTAATGCATCTCAAACGTGTCTCATGACTTGCTTTGTATGAGATGTCCATGTATGAGTTCCCATAAAATGTTGCATAATTTATACATGCAAATGGTCCTACAAAACATTACTAATTTTTAAAGATAAATCCACATTCAAAAGTAAAGATTTTCAAAACCAGAAATAATTTACAGAAATGCTACATATTGTAGCATAATTATCATAATGTGGAAATGGAAATTCAGACAAGCTTTCACATTGTTACTGAGAGTACTTTTTCTTGAAGACCTATAGTTCTGGCTATCTGCGTTCCAGGAATATTTTTATTATTTTTTAACCACCTCATAACCAAATGGCCCACAAGGTTAGATTTTTCATGATAGAGTGTTTGACTAAAGAGTCAAAAGCTCTTGCAACAGAGAACATCCTTAGCAATTAGTTGACCAAAGTCTCAAAGTTCCCAAGGCCAATCCTTAGGGTTCAATCTCAGACTGTCACAGTGTTTTCTGTAGAACACTGGCTTTAAGTAGGCAGCAATTTTCACATTTATAATCTATTGGTGGAAAGTCTGGTCCTAAAGTAAGAGTAGCAGATGTAACTCTCCTTTCATGACAAGTTTGACACTCAGGAGATGATAAACTTATAGGAAAAAAATGGCTTTCTCCATTTTCCAGATGAAATTAGAGTAAATATATGAACAATATTTCAAAACATTCTAGAAAAAATTAAAGAAGAATATATTAGAAAACAAAACTTTAGCCAGTATCAGTCTTTGACAACAAAGTTAACCATTTTACCTATACAGTATAAATGTATTTACAAATAAAGCGTATGCAGAGGGAGATGTTTCTTGCATTGTATAAACTTTCTCCAGTCATATCCTAGGCACTCGTTTAAAATAGGTCATTGATTGAGTTACAACTATAACCTTAATGCAAATAATACAGTAGAAAGTTTTTTAAAACAGAACACATGTACACATTTGTTGGTCTTCCAGTTGTACTGTTTCTTTTGTATGCATGTGTGTATGTCTATGTAATTTTATATAGTTATAGAGAATTGATTTCATGCAAGTAATTCGAAAGTAACCAGATTTCCTTTGTAATAAAAAGGAAAATGATTAATTGAAATTTTAGTTGAAGAGTAAAACTGTGTAAGAATTTATCCTTCTCAGGGAAAAGAAGTGTTGTGCTTTGCAGACTGAAAGAGTTCTTTCCTGAGTAAGCCAGTGTTGGTATTTACTGCAGAAATAGATTTGTTTTCGTAGACCCCTGTAGCCAGCTACCTGCAGAGAAGGAAATCCTGCTACAGAGAATTATAAATAGAATAGTTAAATATTCTTTCATTTGGGTGAAGCTTTCACATATGATATTCTTTTATATTCAGCATAATTATAAGCATTTAGTTTTAATGCACTTTCCAAAAAACTAAATTTATTATAAAAATTAACAAGATAATTGTATATCCCTCATTTAAAATTTTTAGCCTATTCAAATCTAAGAAGTCCACTCTGGAATACATGAAAATAAGATATGAAATGAATAAGAAAAGAAAATACAGCAGAATGTACCAGATGTTTTTCATGTGTTGGATGTACATATGTCTGTTAGCTTTTAGTGGCAGACAGAGTGCAGTCTACATAATTTTATTCATAGTAGATGCCTATGCATCATATAGTCACAGATAAATATTATTTCTCTGAAGATTTAAATAGAAAGCTAGGAAAACACACCACGGCACATATGCTGAATTACATTTAAGCAAAAGTGAATTATACAGTTAAATGATATCTTCAAGGAGCTTCTGATGACTCTCTCACTCAGTAGTTTAGGGATTAATTAAAGTTCCTAGGCTCTTTCAAACTTAGAAACACTGTGTAAGTGCTATGCATTATCATGGTAAAACGAGAGTGAAGCATAAGTGATTTGCAGCCTCACAGGCTCTTTGAAATGTGTGTCTAGCCTGATGGACAGTTTTTACCAACAGTGTTGGAAAGTGCTTATCAGATTTGAAGATGAAATTTGCTCCATTAAAATTGTGCTAATCTGCCAAAGCAATCTTTGTTCTATATATATGTAGAGTGATGTTTCTCAAAATAGAAGAAAACTTGGAATATGATTTCAAAGGTAATGTAATAAGGTAGAATTTTGACATCAGTTGTAACTTGTCTATTCTCGTTTCATTGACTCAGCTGTTGCTCTTTTAATTAGTGCAACTAAAGTCTAGTTAATTTGCATAAAGGTAGCCATCCCATTTTTATACTTTTAAAGACACTCAGGAGACTTTTCACTGTTTCCATAAAGCTTATATAGATTTTATTAGCATGTTTCAATTATGTAGCACTGCAATAATGTCAATTCTATAATGTAATATATCATTTCCTTTAATAATGTTTTTTTATTTTTATTTCCATTTTTATTATAGATTCAGAGGACATGTGCAGGCTTGGTTCAAAGGTATATTGCATGATGCTAAAGTTTAGTCTTCTACTGATCCCATCATCTAGATAGTGAACCATGTACCCAATAGGAGGATTTTCAGCCCCTGCCCCTCTCCTTCTGTCCCAACTTTGAAGTCCTCAGTGTCTAATGTTCCTATCTTTATTTCTGTGTGCACCCAAGTTGTAGATCCTATTCATAAGTGCAAATATTCAATATTTGATTTTCTGTTTCCTCGTTAATTTGCTTAGGTTAATGACCTCCAGCTGCATCCATGTTGCTGCAAAGGACATGATTTTGTTCTTTTTATGGCTGTGGACTATTCCAGCGTTCATATGTACTGCATTTTCTTTATCCCATCCACGATGGATGGGCTCCTACGTTGATGCCATGTCTTCGCTATGGTGATGAATATGAGAATTCTTATGTCTTTTGGTAGCTTTAATGATTTATTTTCCTTTGAGCATATACTGAATAATAGGATTGCTGGGTGGAATGGTACTTCTATTGTTAGTTCTTTTAGAAATTCCCAAACTGCTTTCCACAGTGACTGAACACCCTCATCACCAGTGTATAACAGTTCCTTTTGCCCTGTGACCTTGCCCACATTATTCTTCTTTTTATTATTTTGGCCTTTTAATAATAACAGTCATTCTGACTGGGTATGAGATAGTATCTTGTTGTGATTTTGATTTGGATTTCTTTGATGATCAGTGATGTTGAGCACTTTTCTTATGTTTCTTTGCCACTAGTATGTCTTAAGAAGGTATTTTATATAAACATACAATTATTTCCTGTACCGATACGTGAAATTCTGCCTATGTCCTTCTCCTCCTACTACATGATTTTACATGGATAATGAGTCAAAAAAAATAATATATTTTATTTCATACTTGTAAAATGTTTGTCTTTGAAAAATACCACATGTTCTAATTTTTAATTTTCTTAATTCCTTGGAAGTGGCAATGGGGACAGGGGAATTTTAAAGCAATTACTTAACAAGGTGATTCCAATGTAAACAGTATATTGTTCATTATAAAGTTATTTTGTTTTTGAGTAAAATTTAAAAAAATACAAATACAAAATAATATAACATACCAATTTAACCCACTTAAAAATAACAGCTATTAAGATATTCCATGTTCTATTTACATTACCTCTGCTTGTAATTGGAATATATGCCCTCAGGTTCATTTCCTTTCTTCCATTTCCTGAGGTACCATTATCATGAACTTGGTATTACCTTCATATTTTTAAATCTATTAAAATATTTATTTCTAAATAATACTGGTATTTTATAACTTTTTAATGATTATGTGAATAAGGTATGATTTCACATATTTTATTCTGTTAACATTCTTGTTGAGAGTTGCCATTATTGATGGCATAGTTATCAGTCTACTGAATTCTCATATTCCATGATGTGTTTATTGAAATGCTGCAGTGAAAAACCTTCCCTATGCCTCCAGGTACACATGTGTGAGAGTTTCTAATGAATATACTAGAAGAATGGCTGGACTGCAGTGTGTGTACAGTTTTAACTTTGAGGGGATGAAACATTCTCATTAGCTCCCTGGACTACCACTTTACTACTGTTGTTGATCCATGCTAATCGGCTTAGCATATATCTTAGATTTTTCTTAGATTTTTCATTTTTAATGAAGTATTATTATGTTACATTGATTAGAACCAGCAAGCATGTGTTAAATGTTCATTTTGTTTAATAATTACAGCTATTGTCAGGCCTCTATCAGTATGGGAGAAAAATAAAATGTTAACAGAATGATGACTTTAGTAGGGAGATAAATCTGAAAATCAACTTTATTTTCCTGACACAGTTCACACAGAACACAGATACTGCTACTTTTTCAAGGGCAGCATGCTGCAGAGTGAGTGATAATAAATATGCACTGGGTCAGTAGTGGCTGGGGATGAGTAGTTTCTTCCAGTCTTGCCTGGTGATGGAAGAAGTATCTGACATAGTTTTTTTTTTTTTTTCCTACATGGTCCACTTACATGACACTCCCAGGTCATCATATGGTAGGTCTGGGGAAAATGAAGGAAATAATAGGCTAGATATATGTAAATTATGTGCTGGAAATAGAAGCTTAGCACACAGAGAGTAGTTGATTCATCTGGCCACAGTGGTTTTGTCATCTCTTATACACTTACAACTACCTATTTATGGGCTGTTTGCTAATGACTATTTAAAAAAATCTGTTTCAGCAGCAATAGCCTAAAAATGCAACTAGGTATTTAATTAAAAACTACTCAGTTTCCCTTTCAATCAAATTATGTGTTGAAAAGTGCCAATAAACACATGGTGTAATCATGAAGCCTTGTAGTCCATATTGGGACCACAGGCTAAAAGTGATATCCTGAAATCCAGAATACAGATGGCTGAGGGGAAAAAGCAGCTGCTATTTCAGAAGGTAATACTTAGTTACATTAAGAAAACTAAGCCTGAAGATGACATTTTCACAGGTTTAGTGTGTGAATTCGAAAAAATTAAGCATATAATTCTGAGATGCCTGGCTTTTTATTTATATTATATTACTATTTTTAAAAATCAATTGTGTACATTTTAATTCTAATTTTTCCACACTTAAGAAAAATGCATCAGTAATTGTTAGTATGTTAGCTCCATTAGCTACAGAAGAAATTCCAAAAGAATTGAATAATGCCATTTAGATGTTTCAAATAGAAAATTAAATTAAAAAATGGTTTGAATTTTTAATCAATCATTGCAAAAAAGATAAAGCTGTTGAAATTCTATCGTACCAGAAATAAAACATTGAACAATGTGTGATAAATGATTTTTAATGTTGAGTGAAAAAGCTACATATTGGTGATAACTTTTATTGCTGACAAGAAGAAACAACTTTGGAAAAACTTGCAAGTAGCTTTATTTAAAAATCAATATAAAATTAAAAGAAATGCATTTTCCAGAAAAGAACTATGTATAATTATTGTTAAGAAACAGATTAATTCATATAAATATGTTCCAGAATCGTTATTCTGCCTACTATTTCTAATATTTAAATAATAAATTTAAAGAAGTTATTTTTCTCTTTTGCTTCAAGATATATAATTGTGGTTTTAAATTTTTGAAGAGATTTCATTTTCAAAAATAGTTGGAAGATAACTATTTTATAGATCCATCCATACAGTAAAAACAATTTGCCTATAAGGAAATAATATATTAAATAATACCTGATTTTGTATATGTTAGTACTCTTTTATCCTAAAAAAGTTTCCATTGGAACAATAAAGATTTTAGTCACCCTAATTTTACTAAATATCATTAGATAGTCCTGTGGATTGATGGGAAAAAACTATCATTCCTTACATTCTTGACTACACTCAGTACTTATTATTTTAATAGTTGACAAACTAATGAATGAAAGTGGGAACCTAATGTGGTTTTGATTTATATCCCTGGATTACTAATAAGCTCAAGCATCTAGCCATTTTTCGTTGGTCATTTGACTTTCCTCTTTTCTAAAAATGATCTAATTATTTACCTGTACTTCTTTCTTCTACTGGGCTAGATTGTGTATATTTTTTCTTGTACATTTGTATGAGTTATTTTGATTATTTTGGATACTGGAGTTCTTATTTATATATTTTTTAGTGATGTTCTGGAGTTTTATAAACACCCAAGATAGTTTTTAGAATTTATCATCTGAAGATTTTCAAAAAGCTAACTCAGAAGTCATTTGGGGCTATAATGCTGACTTCAAATGAAAAAATTATTTTGCCACTTTAGCAAAACATGTTTTAAAGATACTAATTAGAAAGCACTGAAGTGCTCACTTCTATCTTTTTAATAAAACTTGCATTTAAATAGTCATTTCAACAAAATCCTTTACCCTTACAGTAAGAACCAATTATTAAATATTGATTACCTAGCTCCTGTATGGTTTTCTAAATATTTCACAATTGTCATTTTGGTAATAATCACTTAGCATACTCATGAGAATTACTCGTTCTCCAGGTCTCATTCCAGGTGATTGAACCAGGATTTCGAAGGAAAATAGCTACAAATTTCTGGGTATATATTTTATTTATGACCCATGTAATTATTTGAGGATATTTGTGAAACTCTGATCTGACACATAAGAGAAAGTAAAACAAGAACAACAAAAACCAAAAACAGAACAACAACAATAAAAAAAAAAACCCAAAAATAAGCCACACACAAAGAATATCAAGCCAGGTGTCAGGAATAAATATCTTATCTTTTCCTAACTGCAGCCTTCTCAATTCATATGGCCCTATCTTCTTTTTCATTCTTGGTAAGTGCTACTACAACTGTCTAGCACTTCACGGTAGTAATTAACCTGTTAGTTTGCAATTTAGCAAAATATATGAAACCTATTTCTGAACATATTCTTTAGGATCATTTTTCTAGCTATACAACATGGGTCAGTTAATGCTATGTATGGCTATAAAATAGCAGTATTTAACAAAAATATTTGACCACTGCGGCAAAATTATCTTCTGTAATGATCCACTGCTACTAAGATTACCTTGACATTTTGGAGACTGTACTGACATTTTGAATATCATATACTCAAGGAAGATTGGAAAGCGTCTTCAGATGTCATTGTCTATAATGATAAGAGTTAATACTCGTATTAACTTTCAAATTTTTCTATGTTAAAGCATGCGTGCAGGTATTGGATGAACAGGTAGGCCACTGAGGCATGGCTGTGGTTAAAGTTGTAAAAGTTTTGGCAAAATTGTGCATACCAACATCTCCACAGAAAATTTAGATTTTGGCTCAGCTAGGAGATGTTGAAGAAAATTATATTTTTTCTTCTTAATGATTCCCCGGTTGGTCCTTAAAGGGAGATAGCACAATATGGTGGAAAGAGGTAGTTTTGCAATCTGAAGTTAGACTTTAAGAGAAGTTAATGATTTTGAGAGCCAAATTTCAGATGTATGAAGCGGGGTCTAAAATATCTAGTACCTGTGTGTGTAGTTATAAAGATCATATAATAACAATTGATTCTATTTGCCTTGTACTTTTCCGTAAAACAAAGACATCAGTTAATTGTGTTACTTAGTATAGATTTGTGTGGGCATTTTTAAGGATCATTTATCTCATCATAAATAAAATGGTAATACTGGCAAAGAATGGTACTTACTCCAACATTGACATTGCAGAGCTCCAGCTATTCTGTAGAGAAACTGGTGTGAATTGAAATAAAAAACAAAACTGGACGATTGAAGGTTACTTAGGGGCCACTCTTTATTTACTAAGACTATGTAATTCTTGGAGAGGACACACAACCTGTGAAGAGTTGGATGTAAATGATGAAGAGTCATTGAGAAAAGGCTGCCTCAAGGATCATCCTCTACATTTCTAGCTTGAAATACAGGGTATTTGGTGCTGTGAATTTCTGAAATAGTGGAATACTGTACGAGGAAACATGTTTTGGGGATGAAATGAAGGTCTGGTTTTGGTATGTGGAGATGTAAGGCATGCAGTTGGATATGCCAAGTCTGAAGGCAGAACAAAGATCTGGCCTGAAGTTGGGAATTTCTTAATGGTCAGCATAAAAAGGGTGTTTTAGCCTTGAGAAAACCCAAGAGGATCCATGACTGAAATCTGAACAACTTCAACACCTGTAGATTTAGTAAAGATGCCAACAAAATACACAACAAGTTCATATTAAAATTAATAGGAAAAGACAAACTACTTAGTGAGAGGTATCCAGGCAACTAGCACTAGGTAGCTATTAGGTAGCAAATTTGGGAAAAAATAAAATGTTTAAAGAATCTTTGATCAGGTTTCCAAATATACAAAATAAAAACCACTTACATGTTAGAAGACAATATACAAAATGATATTATGTTAATGGTACTATTTAATGCTAATAGACAAAAATGAAAATTATTGTGAATTAAATCAACAGACAATATATTTTCCATCACTGTCTTTTCTTCTCAATGTGTGTGTTGTTTTAATTCACTAAGCAATGACTCCTCTTAATTCCATTACTTTTTATTTAACACTGCATTTTTTTGCATATGTGCAATATTACACTGCCCAATAGAGAGGAAATGAAGAATTTGGGCTAGTGTATCAGAAACACCTTAGCTTTTCAGCTTTGGGCTTCTGGAGTGTGGTTAATTTAAATATTCTCATCAGGCCTTGATTTGTCAGATTTCTGTAATCACTTCTCCAAAATAAACAATGTCTGAAACTGATGTCTACAATTAAATTAAAATTATGCTGGCTTTCAAGATAATTATGTAAATTTGATGCTTTTTTTGGGGGGGGTGGGGTGGTGGAGACAAAGTTTTGTTCTTGTGACCAGGCTATAGTGCAGTGGCGTGATCTTGGCTCACTGCAACCTACGCCTCTCGGGTTCAACAGATTCTCCTGCCTCAGCCTCCCAAATAGCTAGGATTACAGGAACCTGCCAACACACAGATAATTTTTGAATATTTAGTAGAGATGAGGTTTCACCATGTTGACCAGGCTGGATTTGAACTTCTGACATCTGGTAATCCACCAGCCTTGGCCTCCCAAGGGGATTACAGGAGTGAACCACCCCGTGTGTGGTTAAAACATATACATAAACATATACATAAGAACTGTTTACAAAAATTGCTGTGGCCTGTAGAAAAGATTACAGTGAAAAATGTTATTGGGAAATTAATTAGGATACTTAAGCATTTCTGAGAAATTACCTGAAGTACTATATTAAGATTCGTTTTTTAGGGGCACGTCTAAGGCAATGTAAGAAATGAGTAAGGCAAGAAAACTTAATGAGATCAAACAAGGATCACATTTACAGAAACATTTTTAGAGTCAATATAGAATTGTAAATCATATGGGGACATTTTATCTAAGTGTTAGCAAATCCAACAAGAAACAACCCATAATGAGTAATGTGACTAATCACGCTGAAAAAGTAAGCTCATTTTTTTTAAAATGACACAAGTTTCGTTGGGACACTGCAACTTTCAAATCAGTGATGTGAATACGAAGATGAAGTGGATTAGATATTGTAAAAAACAGATGTGCCACATTCTTCCACAAAATGTGTGATGGGTCAATTTTTTTTAATGTTTGAGTTTCTTTTTTAAATAATGGAGGAGTTTTCAAGGAATTTGAATAATAGAATTTGTGTTTGATCCCTTAATGGAAGGCGTGTGCTCAGGAACTATCTCAAATTTGGCATTGCGAAAGATGTGTTCATTTTAGGAGAAAAAAAAGTTTCCTTTTGGGAGAAAATACCTCGAATTGAACTACAGTTTGATGTGAAAATGTTATTAAAATGTGCTTACGTTAAATGTGCCAGTGTTATTGATAGTACCCTTAATACTTCTAGTCTTTGCATGGAAAAGCAATAAAAGTAGAACAAGCCAAGAAACCATCTTTTCAAAGTGGTGGTAGGCGGAGACCACCAACTTCTTCGAGAAACAGAAGCCCTTCAGGAAGTCTGAGATCTGCAAGAGGAAGCAGTGGAGGAACAAGAGGGTGGCTTCCCTCACATGAAGGGCACCTGAGTAATGTTTTAAAATATAAAGATGGAACCATAGGACTGAAAGAAAATAAGTTTGACGATATCGAAATTTCTCAAATTTTATTTCGTGTATGAAGAGAAAATTAGCTTATTGATAATAAGCAAACTTATTTCTAAGTACTATAAAGGTGTATTATAAGAATGATTGAACTAATATCTAAAATTTGTTTAACAATTATAATAAGTTTGCACTGAAGTAACACACATTTGAAAGTGAGTTGTGTTTGTGAATGCTGATTGCCTGTACTCAACCGGTTTTCTGCAGAACTCATTTATATTCATTATACTTTAGAGTTTTCTACTTTAGGGCCCAGAACTTCGTGTCAGTTGTATTATCAAAGTACGATGTAATATTTAAAATTTTCCAACAGGAAGAAGTAACTGAATACTGAAGATTGATTTTGCAGTATTTGTTTTCTTGTGTCTACATGTGGAAACATCTATGCAAATGTATTGCTTTGTAATTTTGATACAGAGAGTTTGTACATTGGCCTGCCGTAAAGCATTTTCAATTTAAGAAATGTAGAACTTTAATTTCTGAAAAGAGTCTGTGACTCTGGAAAGATCTAAAAACCACTGCTTCACAGATATGTATGAATCTTTCTTTGCTGGAGGCTGAGTCACTGAAAATGATATTTATGAGTGATTTACTTAATAGAAATGAGGGGTCCATCTTTACATATAAAAGAAAAACAAACCATATATTTAAAAAAAAGGAAAAAGAAAAAACTATTGGATGGGCTGTGCGAGGTGGCTCACGCCTGTCACCTCAGCACCTGGGGAGTACAGGGCAGGTGGACCACGAGGTCAGGAGTTCCAGACCAGCCTGGCCAACATGGTGAAACCCTGTCTCTCCTAAAGATACAAAAAAATTTGCCTGGGCCTGGTGGCATGCACCTGTAATCCCAGCTACTCAGGAGGCTGAGGCAGGAGAATCACAGGAACCTGGGAGGCAAAAGCTGCAGTGAGCCAAGGTTATGCCATGGCACTCCAGCCTGCGTGATAGGGCAAGAGTGCATCTGAATAAATAAATAAATAAACCTGTTGGTTAACTTGTATTATCTATTAACCAACCTTCAAAACTCTAACAATTAGCTTGGAGTTTTAATAACCAGACATGTAATTAATTGGAGATTGTTTTCAAGTTGAAATTGCAGTGTTTGCTCCATTTTAAGATGCGTAGCTTCACGGCTGTTTTGCCTCCACTGATCTTGAGGGTGAGCTTCAATTATACTCTGCCACGGACGAGAATGTATACATAAATTCTAACCTGTAACACCACCTGGCAATTGGCATATATCTACGTTTTTGTAGATGTATAAAAATATGTTTATATTACCGAATATGCAATTCTTAAAGACTGTTAAAATTCAGCATAGTCTCATCTGAAAATTAGTGTCTCATAAGGGAATTTTAAGAATTCTATATTGTGTTAACAAATTTTAGAGACAATGTATTTTCCTGATATGTGATTTCTTGGTATTGGAAATATTTGAGTTTCTTTGAATGGAAATTAGTTTATCTTTATGATGTGCTTTGAAAATTTTTCCTCATTACAGAATGATATAAACAGTCATTTATCATTTTTCTTTTAATATTTTTATGTATATTATATTTGGATATTTTAGTGATAGATTTCTGCCCCCGTTCACTCCCCATTTTCCCACATCTCTCCTTCATACCGATATATTATGATACTTGAGTTTCTTTCTAGATTTTCTAAATGAACTTTTAATGCTTGAAGTGTACTAATACCTTGTAGGAATGCTAATTTTATTAGTTTAGACAAAATGTGAATTTGTTATAAAATGTAGAAAATATTTGTAAACAACTAAAACTTAGCCATTTAAGAAACAGTGACGTCAGTTAACTAAAAAGATTTTGTTTGAAATACAGATGATGGTGGATACACTCCTGATCTCAAGATGAGTTATTCTAGGGGACTCATTCCAGTTAAAAGAGGTCCATCTTCAAGAAGTGGAGGTCCTCCTCCGAAAAAATCTGCTCCTTCTGCTGTGGCAAGAAGCAATAGTTGGATGGGAAGCCAAGGTAAATGCTGCCTGACAGAAAGACCGTAGTTTTTGTATGACTAAAAATGAGCCGTTTTAGCTGAATGCTTAGCTTTAAGTTCATTGAACAAAAGAGAAGTGACACATACGTGAGCATAATTACTGATTGATAGCTTTTATTATAGTTTCTATCTCACTAGGTACATTTCAGATTTATGTTGAAGAAATACTTGAGCTTCTCATTGCAGATCAAAGAAGTGATTAGAGTGAGGCCAACATTCCTTTTAATCCTGTGTTGGCTAGAAAATTCCCCTTAATTTTTCTAAAAGTTCCTAGCAGTATTCTTTGATGGTAGGCTTCTTGATCTAATTAACTCTTCCATTTCCTAAGTCCCCTGGTGTCCCATTCTAAAAATTGCTTGTTCGGTGACTTTGCTGGGTTGGAGTCTTGCTCTTACTAGGTGAGAGTGCACTATGTGAGACGACGGCTTACTGTAGCCTCAAATTTGTGAGATGACGGCTTACTATAGCCTCAAATTCCTGGGCTCAAGCAATTCTGCTGTTTCAGCCTCCCGAGTTTGTGCAACTACAGGCATGCAGCAGCACACCTAGCTACATTTTTTTCCCTATGTTTTTGTAGAGAGAGGATCTGACTACATTGTCAAAACTGATGTTAAAGCCTGGGGCTCAAGCGGTCCAGCTGCCTCAGCCTTCCACACTCACTCACAGTGTGAGCCGCTAAGCCTGGCCGTCCAGCTTCTGAGACCTCAGTAATGCGTATGTGCAAGGCATACTCACTGCTTGCATGAAGATTCAAAAGAACTACAAGAGCATTTAGCAGACAAGGAGTCATTGGGCTTAAATATGATTTAAAAATAAATTTAAGGCTCGAGAGGTAGACACGTAGGAGTCCAAAATTCTTAAATTAAGTGGATATCACAGAAATGCAGAGTTGTGAAATATAGGTGTATGTAAATCAGTAATTGAGATTGTACCGGGATGTTTAAACATTAACACAAGATCCTTAGTGTAAGATTTGAAATTATTTGAGGAGAGAATTTAGAACTCAGCAACATGAGGTGAGCGGTAGGGTTGAATGCAAGTAATACTTTTGAGAAGAATTGTAAGACTGCAGACTGAACAGAAGAAAATAAGACAATAAATAAAAGTTCTTAGCAAGGAAGTTTAAGCAGAGCAAATTAAAATTCTTTCTTAGTCCTCCATCCGCATACGGAGGAAGTTAAAAACTGCCATTTTCAATTTTACATTTCATACGTAGAGTATCGGTGAAGGGAGGTATTTATTGGCTTCAGGATACCCAAGCCAACACATTTCCATTGGAAAATTAGCCAGTGAAGGTATCATATGTGAAACACTGACCGCTAAGGAATAGCAAGTGAAGAATATATTAGAGGAGAAACTTTCTATTTTGAAACAGCAACAATGTTGTAATGACCCCTTGCATAGCATTGCTTTCTTTGCAGTAAAAGCAAATCTTGACCATCATTAGAAAATCTTCACTAATACATTTTAATTTGTCAACATTTAAGATAGAGCCAACCAGTTAAAGAACTTTTATGTAAACATTTAGCATATAGTCATTTAAAGGTAGCTGTATTTATGTGTCTGTGAGATGGACTGAATGATATTGGAAAATCTACCTTCTTTGGCTGAGAAAGAACAATGTATGTAAACTTTAAAATCAGTGAAGAGTTTGATGGTTTTACGTGTTTTCCCTGTGTCACTCACAGTCATCAGTAATTTATATGGAAAGGAAAATAATAACTAAGTAGTTATTAACCATTACAAATGAACTTTTACCTAAGCATTAATGTTTGCCTTCAGCTTCATTAGAAGAACTGGCCTTGTGGGAGCCATGGGATTATCCAAAGCCATGAGAAATATTCACAGTGTCATGTCTGTCTAGTAATTTAGGAAACAAAGAATGGAGTCATAGAAGAAATAATTTTAAAAAGTTGTTTGAGAGAAGAGAAAATAGCGTTTCAGATTTGGTGTTCTTTACGTAATGTTCCATCATTTGAATGTTAAAGGTCCCATGTCACAAAGAAGAGAGAATTATGGAGTTCCTCCACGCAGAGCGACAATATCTTCCTGGAGAAATGATCGCATGTCAACAAGACATGATGGTTATGCAACTAACGATGGGTAAAGGAAAAATTAAAAAGCACAGTTGATTTTTTTTTCCTGTGGTGATGAAATTCACATAACAAAATTAAATATTATAAGGTGAACAGTTAGGTGGTGTTTGATACATTCTGTGCCATGCAACAACTACCTCCATCGAGTTCCAGAACATTTTCATCACTCCAAATTGAAACTCCTACTACCAGTTAAGCAGTCCCTCCCATTTTCTCCTTTTCCTCAGCTGCTAGATAACACCAGTCAGTGTTCTGCCTCTGAACTTACCTGTTGTGGGTATTTAATGTTAATGTGCTCAAACACTACATGACTTTTTGTATTTGTCTCCTCTCCTTTTGCATGATGTCCTGAAGGTTCATTTACATCATAGCACTTCACTCCTTCCACAAGCTATTAACCCATTATTTTATCTGCGTTGTTTCCACCCGAGTATTTCTACGCACCAATATTTGTTTGAGTATGCTTACTCGGTTCTGGGTGTATATGAGTGGAATTGCATGGTCCTATGATAATGATGTTTGTTTTCTTGAGGAACCACCACATTTCTCCATAGTAGCTGCATCATTTTCCGTTCCAACCTAGCATTGTATCAGCAATCCAATTTATCTACATCCTCTCAAACACTTGTTATTTCCTGCTGTTTGAAATTTATTGCCATTCAAATGTGTGTTTGAAATATGATATCCCATTTTCGATTTGAAATGCATTTTCTGCACCCA
This sequence comes from Homo sapiens, assembly GCF_000001405.40. Taxonomy (NCBI): domain Eukaryota; kingdom Metazoa; phylum Chordata; class Mammalia; order Primates; family Hominidae; genus Homo; species Homo sapiens. Next base: position 21,498,601 of record NC_000024.10, read on the forward strand.
TTAACTCATCATGCACATGTATCCTAGAACTTAAAGTATAATGAAACAAAAAGAAATGCATTTTCTGAATCGCTGAATATGAGTATCAGTCCCGTGTGCTTTTTGGGCATTTGCCGATTTTATTTGGAGAAATATCTGTTTAGATGTTTGGCCTTTTAATTTTGTTTAAGTTGTAAGTTAGTCATGTATTGGATACTAGAAGTTGAAAATTTAAAATTTGTTGCTTAAACTTATGCACACAGAAATCATCCAAGTTGCCAAGAAACGAGGGATTATGCTCCACCATCTAGAGGCTATGCATACCGTGATAATGGTCATTCTAATCGGGATGAACATTCCTCTAGAGGATATAGGTACTGTAACTTTTTCTGAATTTGTCAAATAGATTTCTTAAATTGCTCATTCCAACTAACGTTCTATCAGGGCTCCAATTTATCTACATCCTCTCAAACACTTGTTATTTCCTGCTTTTGAAAATTTATTGCCCTTCCAGTGTGTGCGTATGAAATATGATATCTCATTTTGGATTTGAAATGCATTTTCTGCACCCATTAACTCATCATGCACATGGACCCTAGAACTTAAAGTATAATTAAAAAAAAAAGAAATGCGTCTTCTGAATCACTGAATATGAGTATGTGTCCCATGTGCATCTTGGGCATTTGCCCATTTTATTTGGAGAAATATCCATTGAGATGTTTGGCCTTTTAATTTTGTTTAAGTTGTAAGTTAGTCATGTATCGGATACTAGAAGTTGAAAATTTAAAATTTGTTGCTTAAACTTATGCATACAGAAATCATCGAAGTTCCCGAGAAACTAGGGATTATGCTCCACCATCTAGAGGCCATGCATACCGTGATTATGGTCATTCTCGTCGGGATGAAAGTTATTCTAGAGGATACAGGTACTGTAACTTTTTGTGGATTTGTCAAATAGATTTCTTAAATTGTTCATTCCAACTAACATTGTATCAGGGCTCCAATTTATCTGCATCCTCTCCAACACTTGTTATTTCCTGCTTTTGAAAATTTATTGCCATTCATCTGTGTGTGAAATATGATATCTCATTTTGGATTTGAAATGCATTTTCTGCACCCATTAACTCGTCATGCACATGGACCCTAGAACTTAAAGTATAATAAAAAAAAGAAATGCATTTTCTGAATCACTGAATATGAGTATCTGTCCCATGTGCTTTTTGGGCGTTTGCCCATTTTATTTGGAGAAATATCTATTTAGATGTTTGGCCTTTTAATTTTGTTTAAGTTGTAAGTTAGTCATATATCGGATACTACAAGTTGAAAATTTAAAATTTGTTGCTTAAACTTATGCATACAGAAATCGTCGAAGTTCCCGAGAAACTAGGGAGTATGCTCCACCATCTAGAGGCCATGGATACCGTGATTATGGTCATTCTCGTCGACATGAAAGTTATTCTAGAGGATATAGGTACTGTAATTTTTCTGGATTTGTCAAATAGATTTCTTAAATTGTTCATTCCAACTAACATTGTATCAGGGCTCCAATTTATCTACATCCTCTCAAACACTTGTTATTTCCTGCTTTTGAAAATCTATTGCCATTCATCTGTGTGTGTGAAATATGATATCTCATTTTGGATTTGAAATGCATTTTCTGCACCCATTAACTCATCATGCACATGTATGCTAGAACTTAAAGTATAATAAAACAAAAAGAAATGCATTTTCTGAATCACTGAATATGAGTATCTGTCACTTGTCCTTTTTGGGCATTTGCCTATTTTATTTGGAGAAATACCTATTTAGATGTTTGGCCTTTTAATTTAAAGTTGTAAGTTAGTCATGTATTCGATACTAGAAGATGAAAATTTAAAACTTGTTGCTTAAACTTATGCACACACAAATCATCCAAGTTCCCGAGAAACTAGGGATTATGCTCCACCATCTAGAGGCTAGGCATACTGAGACTATGGTCATTCTAGGCAGGATGAACATTCCTCTAGAGGATATAGATACTGTAACTTTTTCTGGATTTATCAAATAGATTTCTTAAATTGTTCATTCCAACTAACATTGTATCAGGGCTCCAATTTATCTACATCCTCTCAAACACTTGTTATTTCCTGCTTTTGAAAATTTTTTGCCCTTCCAGTGTGTGTGTGTGAAGTGTGGAAGCTCCTTTTTTATTTGAAATGCATTTCCTGAATCACTGATTATGAGTATCTGTTTCATGTGCTTTTTGGGCATTTGGGCATTTTGGGCATTTGGGCTCTGTGGGCATTTTATTTAGATGTTTGGCAATTTAATTGTGTTTAAGTTGTAATGTAGTTATGTTTTGGATACTAGAAGGTGACAATTTAAAATTCCTTGCTTCAACTCGTGCACGCAGAAATCATCCAAGTTCCCGAGAAACCAGGGATTATGCTCCACCACATAGAGACTATGCATACCGTGATTATGGTCATTCTAGTTGGGATGAACATTCCTCTAGAGGATATAGGTACTAACATGTTATCTGGATTTATCAAATGGATTTCTTAAATTGTTCATTCTGAAATTGAAAAGACTTTTTTTTTTTTCAATTTAGTTATCATGATGGCTACGGTGAGGCCCTTGGTAGAGATCATTCTGAACATCTAAGTGGAAGTTCTTATAGAGATGCACTTCAGAGATACGGTAAGGGTCCAGGATGGATTTGTAAATTACAGAATTTTATTTAATAGACCAGATTGTTATTTTAATGAAATTCTAAGGAAAATTGTAAAGGCCATATGCAACATGTTTAAATATTGAGTATTCTTAACAGTATAAAGCCTAGGGAATGATATGAAGGTGAGAACTTCAGTTAACGTTAAGAAAATGTGACTGAGCATTTACTTTAGAATTAAGTTTGTTAAGCTGCAAAATACTACTCTTACACTTCTCTTAAATAAAACCTTCTGACTATTAAAGCCTTGATTAATATCCTGTCAACAAAGGCGGAGGAAAGCAGATATTTCCAAATAGTACTTTAACTAATTCATGCTTTAATGATAGCAGTAAAAATGTTTAAATGTAGTCCCACATATTATTTTACCAACCCTGCAGGGACCTCTCATGGTGCACCACCTGCAAGAGGGCCTCGGATGTCTTATGGTGGAAGCACCTGCCACGCATATAGTAATACACGAGATAGATATGGCAGAAGTTGGGAGAGTTACTCGAGCTGTGGTGATTTTCATTATTGTGATCGTGAGCATGTTTGCAGAAAAGACCAAAGGAATCCGCCTTCTCTGGGTAGGGTGCTCCCTGATCCTCGTGAAGCATATGGTAGCTCAAGTTATGTGGCATCTATAGTAGATGGTGGGGAGAGTCGATCTGAAAAAGGAGACTCGAGCAGATATTAAAGCAAGCATTGAAAGTAATAGTTATTGCATACCAATCCTTGTTTGCAAATCAAAAATTGAAATGTTATTTCTGCATTGTTACCTGCATATTACTGAAAGAAACATGTTGGTTTTGTGGAGAGAGGTAGATACTAACTTCCTCCATGAATTTTTTGAGGTATTCAAAGGAAAAGGAATTGTTTTCAAAGTAATTTCATACTTGTTGATGCTATTTGAAAAGTGTTTAGATGTAATATCTACCTTAAAATTTTCACAATAAAATTTGACATGTACTGCAAGATGCCTGGTGTTATTGGTTAGCCGCGCATGCTTAAAGCAAATTCAATAGGAGAGTAAATTGTGTAGTCTGTTGTACATTTTCCTTTGTTTCTTTGAACATAGGTACAAAATTAGGGATGTGTTATGTCGCCCTTGCAAGCTGCTCAAGTTTTGTAATTAGGCTGTTTCTCTTTAAAAACTAACAAGGTTAAAATGTTGGAGAAGTCTTCAGAAAGACTACAAAACTGTCTGCCTCACCATAAAACGTTTATTTTTTAGAGGAATAGTACAGGTCAAAGGAAATCATTAGATGTATTGATACTAAAGTTTAAGACATCCGGAACATTCTATGTGAAGCATTCTGTGACTGAAGAGGATAACGGTAATGAAAACTTTTTTTTTCACCTAAATCAGAAGTGAACCAGCTAAGTTTCTCAGGTGCGTAGCATAATGAATTTAAATGTTCGTAGTTTAAATAGTGGAAAGTAAGTGTTTTGTCTTGTGAGGTTCCCACGTTAATTTTTTCTTGAATATTTTGACAGTGGATGTTGTAAGTAATGGTTTAGTAATATGTTCTTACAGATAGGAATAATCTAGAGTGGTTGGGATAGTATCAGTTTTTTTTTGAGATGAAGTGTATAGCTTTGTCGCCGAAGCTGGGGTGCAGTGGCTCTGTCTTGGCTTATGGCAACCGCTGCCTTCTGGATCCAAGCTATTCTCCTGCCTCAGCATCCTGAGTAACTGGTATTAGATATGTGTGCCGCACAGCGGGGCCAATTTTTGTATTTTTAGTGCAGACAGCGTTTCACCTTGTTTGCCAGGCTGTTCTTAAAATCCTGATCCACCCTCCTCAGACTCCCGAAGTGCTAAGATTATAGGCGTGTGCCACCACTGTCAGCCTATCGTATTTAATTGATAATATGAATGGAAACGCTTTAAACCTCATACTTAGGGGAAAGTGAAGTGTATAAAACATAAACAACAGCATAAAGTTTCCGACGGGATTGCTTAAAGTTTTAAGACATCACTGAATGATACAAATATTTAGACCGAAATAACTAAATGAATTAATTTTCCTGATTATACAAACTAAAGAAATGAAATACATCAAGTTCCAGAAGTTTTGCAGTCCATAATTCTTACAATTGACAGACTAATCTGCAAGGAGGAAGTATTTTCTTGAAAAATTTTGACAGAATCATCAATTTTTACAGGGTAAGGGTACAAATAATTTTAAAGGGAGAAGTTACCAACTTTGATTTTCAAGTGAGTTATTCATGTTATGGAGTGTTTTCATTCACCTGTAGCATTGTGAGGATGAAGTGAAAAGATAAATCTCCCGAGTCTTGTGTATCTTACTGTCCATGTGTGATGGCTCAGGTCTCTAATTCTAACACTTGGGGAGGCCGAGGCTTGCAGAGCACTTTAGGACAGGAGTTGAAGACCAGGCTGGCCAACACCATGAAACCCCATCTCTACCAAAAATACAAAAATTAGCCGGGCATGGTGGTGCCTGCCTGTAGTACGTTGCAGTTAATTGGGAGGCTCAGGCAGGACAGTGGTTTGAACCTGGGAGCCTGATGCTGCGGTGAGCCGATATTGCACCATGCACTCTAGCCTGGGTGACAGAGTGCGACTCCAACACAAAAATAATTATATCAATCAACAAATATATACATAATAAATAGGGTATCCTTCAGTTCAAGCACTTACCGATTCTTTTTTCTTTTTTAGAGACAAGGTCTCACACTGTTGTCCAGCCTAGACTGCAGTGGCACCATCATAGCTCACTGCAGCCTTGAACACGGGCTTGAAATGTGCAAGCCTTCCATTTCAGCCTCCCAAGTAGCTGGAATTACAGACACACACCAACCACCGTGCCCAGCTTTTGTGTTTGTGTGTGTGTGGTAGGGACAATGCTTTGGATATATTGTTCAGGCTGGTCTCAAACTCCCAGACCGAAATAATCCTCCTTCCCTGGCTTCCCAAAGTGTTGTGATTATAGCCGTGAGCCACTGAGTCTGGCATATCTTTTCTCATTATGAGCGACATTCCACCTCACTGAGTCTGGCGTATCTTTTCTTGGTATCAGCGACATTCCACCTTCGCTCTATTAATTATTTTGAGATGTACAATAAATCATTATTAAGTGTAGTCATCCTGTGCCACTGAACACTAGATATTATTCCTTCTAAGCAAGTATAATTTAACCCACCCCCATCCCCTCTTTGATCCCTCGCTTACCAGTTCACATTACTTGTATCAAAATATCACATGTATGCCAAAAGTATCTACAACTGTTAGGTACAAATTTTCATTCCCTTCCTCCTTCCCTCCCTTCCTTTCTTCCTTCCTGTCTTTCTTTCTTTTTGTCTCTGTATCTTTTTCTCTCACTGATTTTTTTTTTTTTAAGAAAGAATCCTGCCCTGTCACCTAGGCTGGAGTGCAGTGGCGTGATCTCAGCTCACTGCTCCCTCCTTATCACGGGTTCAAGCAATTGTCCAGTCACACCCTCCTAAGCAGCTGCGACTGCAATCATATGACACCAATCCTGGCAAATATTTTGTATTTTCAGTAGAGACCAGGTTTCACAATATTTGCTCAGGCTGGTCTTGAGTTCCTTTCCTTTAGTGATCCACCCACATCAGCCTCTCAAAATGCTGGGATCCAGGCATGAGCCACACTGCCCACCCAGTTGTATGCATTTCTCTCTCCCGTGATCTCTCCTATTTTATTATTTTATTCTCTTTTTATTTCTGAGACAGCGTCTCGCTCTGGTGCCCAGGCTGGAGCACAGTGGTGTGATCTCACTTTACTGCAAACTCCATCACCAGGGTTCAACGGATTCTCCTGCATCAGCCTTCCAAGTAGCTGGGATAACATCCACGGGCCACCAAGCTTGGCTAGCTTTGGTATGATACTAGACGTGGCATCTTGTCATGTCTAATTTCGTATCTGTTTTAAAGCTCGATTGATAAGCAATATTGACTTCCTGGAATGTTTTATGTTTACAAAACAATTATAGTACTACTATTTAGCCTCCTCAGATAAAATATGGTAACACACAAAACATACACACACAGACAAAGACACAGTCAGTGATCAAAAAAAATCAGTGTAGGCCACGACCTAAATGAAAGGTGAGCTGCTGCAGTTGCCTAGAATTAAAGCAGACCAGAGTTGACCCATACCAGGCTGAGAGATGTGAACAGAGGCTTTCCAACAACTCTATCAGATACATGTTAGATTATTCTCCAGCCATAGCGAAGGGACATTAAAGATCTGTTGTGCTTAGAAGAGTCTCGATGATTTGACTTTTCCAGGGTATTAGCATTCATGATGTTGGCCTTTACAGCTCTCTGCAATGAAGTCAGTAGACGACACAGTTTTTCTAGGAGTCTAAAGTGCTTTTCAGAATTATCTAAAACTTAGTGGCTTAAAACCATAATTATAATTTACTAACTGTCAGTCTCTGCAATCGCCCTCAGTCTCTCAGCCAAATGAATGTGGTTCAGGGGCGCTCAGGAGGATGCAATCTAGTGATGGCCAAAGATGGGGACATTGGCGGGTGTCTTCTCATCTCCCTGGTGCCATGGCTAGCGTGACTCAAATAGCAGGGGCTGGACTGCTGAGATGCTCAGACATCTTGTTCTGTTTCTTTGAGTCTCTCCATTGGATGTCCCTTCTGCATAGTGTTATCAGGGTGTTAGACTGCGTGATGTACTGGTCGGGGGCTCCTAAGGGGTTTGTCCCCATGAGAGCAGGAGACCTAGGCAGAGCCGTGTCACCGTCTCTAAACTAGGCCAGAGGTGGTCCAGTATCCAGAAACTGCTTGCAGTGTTTTCTATACATTAGAAGCAAGTACTGTGTTCAGTTCCATCAGGAATATTTTCAAATGGGTTTGAGAAGAATTTCAAAGTGTGTTTCAGACCACTACAGTGGCCATGCCTAATAATTCCTTATTTTTACAAGTGCTGGATGGGTTTTTCCCAAAATAATGCTTTCTTGGGGGGTGTGGGGTGGTGGAGACAAAGCTTTGGTCTTGTGACCCAGGCTGTAGTGCAGTGGCGTGATCTTGGCTCACTGCAACCACCGCCTCTTGGGTTCAACCGATTCTCCTGCCTCAGCCTCCCAAATAGCTAGGATTACAGGAACCTGCCACCATGCCCAGCTAATTTTCGAATATTTAGTAGAGGTGGGGTTTCACCATGTTGACCCCGCTGGTCTTGAACTTCTGACGTCTGGTAATCCACCAGCCTTGGCCTCCGAAAGTGTGGGGATTGCAGGCGTGAAACACCCCGTCCGGCCTTCAAATTATATTTTCATACCCACTCACTTCCACAATTTTTTGGACCTATCTGCGTGTTCTCCTCGGAGGCGGGGGGACGGAAACAGTATCAGCGTTCTTGAAAAATTTATGAAAGAGAGAATGACAATACTATACTAGGTTTAACCTATTCACAATACTGTATTTACTGAATAAAAACATTGCGTTTAAAATTCTACTATTGACTAAATAAATAAAATACACTCTTCCATTCACTCTAAAATGTGTGTACATGAAGAGTATACAAGAAGGGTTCTAATACAGAAACAAATAAATGAGGCTGGGCATGGTGGCTCACGCTGTAAGCCTGGCAGTTTGGCAGGCAAAAGTGGGTGGATCAGTTGAGGTGAGGAGTCGGAGACCAGCCTGGCAAATATGGTGAAACCCAGTCTTGACTAAAAATACAAAAATTAGCTGCACATGGTGGCATGCACCAGTAATCCCAACTCCTCAGAAGGCCGAGGCAGGGGAATTGCTTGAAGCTGGGAGGCGGAGGTTGAGGTTGAGCCGAGATCCTGCCACTTCACTCCAGCCTGGGTGACAGAGCAGTACTCCTCAAAACACACACAGACACCCCAAAACAACTAAAAAATGAAAATAAAAATTTTGTACTCACAGTTCAACTCGCATATCTAACGGAAAACAGAAAGTACATTAAAACAAAGTTTCCACAAAAGGCAAATAAAACAAATGAATCACCTTGCACATAAAATTAAAATAATAAACTGAAGAGAACTATACGGAAAAAAATTCAAAATTTACAAGTAAGTACTCTACAAGAAGCTGAAAGTCACTCAAAACTTTTCTGGATTCCATGTCTCTACAGTGCAAACATGATCGTAAAATTTGCTGGGGGCAGAACCATCAAAATGTATCTTACAACTCAATAAACACTTCAAGTCTCACATAAGAATTGTAATGGAAAAGGGACGCGTCTGCAGTATTTCTACACAAATCTGAACAAACACTATTTCTTTGTACACATTGTTTCACTGTTCCAAGAAAATAACTTCCATATTAATATTAGGGGATGTGACAAAGCAGGTCTTCATCATGATAAGTAACACTGGGTGTCCACACCACTACTCAGGTGGGCCTTAATTCCCAGCCAGGTTCCCTCCCTGGACACACAATGAAGGGCTCATCCATTTTGCAATCTCTTCACATTTCCTCCCCTGTGAGCCCAGTGTGGTTCTCCAGATTCCCTGTGTAGCGGCCTCTCTTGTCTGGTGGGGCAGGGTGGGGCAGGGAAGTGTGGGTGATGATGGCAGAGGGCAGAAAGCATCTCAGGGAAGCCTGGGATCATTGTAACAAAAAATGATGGGCGTGGGACAGCCCATCAGGGAAGACATAGAGAGGGGCCTTGGGAGGATATCTGCGTGGAGGGTGAGAGGGCCCTGGTTGAGCCCAAACTGAGCCCCAAGTGGTAGCCGGCCTCAGGCCTCAGCCGGTGAGGGATGATGAGACAGCTACCACTTGAGCCTTGCTTCTCACCCACTGACCTTAGACACTTATTCCTCTTAGGCGGCTGAAGGTGCCCCAATCCTAAAATGTGGGTGTTACAGTTCTTTGATGGCCATTTCTCCGCCAGCCCATGGATGGCGTGGGATTGCTCACTGCAGTCACCTCCCTGAGGCTTGGTTTCTCCATGTGGGGCACAACTCCAGGAATCAACCGCCTCTCAGTCCCCAGCCCCAGACTGCTCACCTGGCCTCCTCTCTGTTCACTCTCTAATGGCCTCCCTCCCTGGAGAAGTACTGCAGGGGATTGAGCTACAGGCTCTGGCTGATGATCTAGGGGACTGCAGAAGTGGGTACAGGTTAGTTCAGGTCATGGCTCAAAGCCAGTTCCCCAGAGGCCAAGGAATGACCAGCAAGATCCTTTCCCATGATGCCCTACCTGGCGCTCACCTCAGCAATCCTGCCAGAACCTGGGCAGTCATGGTCAGCCAACCAGCTGAAGAAGGTCAGGTAGGAGCTGTACGGCCTGCAGCTGGAGGCTTGACCTTCATGATCCCACAACCACTAGACTGCAGTGGAATGAGACATCCCGTATCCTGCAGAGAGAGGAGTCAGGAAGGTTCATGCCAGACCTACCCTCCCACACACCAGCTCCCCTACCATGCTGGGAGGCGCTCCTTACCGAGGATGCCAAGGCAGTACTCCTGAATGATCACTTCATTGTGGAAGTAGAGACTGTGATAAAAGGAAAACTTCATCCTGCTGCCGGTACCCGGAAGAGTTGCTTTCCTCCCCTTACCTGGCCAAGAAGGAGAAAGAGGACGTACTCAAAGGAGCATTTCATGTAGCTGGGGTGAGGTGACCTGTTAGCTGGGGTGAAGCATGTGTTTCTCCTTCCCAACTCTCTCATTGAGACACCCCCGGGTCCCAGGGGTACCTCAACCTGACCCAGACACCAGACCCCTCCCGAAGACTCAGGCTCCTTAGCCCGACCTGCAAATCCATCACGTACGTAGCTTAGCAGGACTTCATCATCATTTGTGATCCCGGCCAACATCTCGGTGTGCCGCACAATCTGCCTCTGGTCAAGGAGCCGCCGGATGATTGGGTGGGCGTGCAAGGAAACACCCTGCAACTTTGCAAGAGCACGGAGAGTGTGGGGCAGGGCACCTTCCCTTCCAGGTCCTCTGTCTCTGTCTGGCGTGGAGGGCACCATCAGAGCTGTGGTGGTCTTGGTGGTGGGTGGAGGCAGGCCCAGACAACCTGCTCTGACCAGGGGCTGGCACTGAAGAAGTGGGCAGGGGGTTGGGGGCGGGGTGTTGTTGTGTGAGGCGACTACTTGCTCGGCGTTTCTGAGCTGCAGGAGGCCCTCCTGTGCTGGGTGCTGGACAGGCTCTGCTGCTGTCTGGGTGTGCCGTCTCTCCTTCTCCTGGTCTCCCTGAGGGGTGCACGTGTCCACCCCAGGCAACCGCTGTGGGTAGAAGTAGCTACGGGGCTGTGCCTGGCTCTCCCCGTGGAGCTCGAGTGGTTTCAAGGGAGCTTATATATACTCAGGGCCTAAACATCTTTGGGTGCAGCGCTGGCAGAGGGAAGAAATTGTGTCTGGGGAGATAGTGCCTGCCTTGCATAGGACAGCAGCCCCGTGCACAGTGACACCGAGTCTTGAGCACCTTGTGTTTCTGGGGTAAGCTTGCTGGACACAGGCAAGGGGAGCAGGGAAGTTCCGTGGCTGGCATGGGCATGCAGACTCCCCTTCCTCCAGGGACTTTCCCGGTGAATCGTATCCTTCAACTTTCTGCTGTTATGATGGGTCCTTGGCGCTGCTATTCTCCCTGGTGAGTGCTGTGCTTGGCTTCCTGTCCCTACCACATGCCCTCAGGGCACATGCAATTAAGCTGCCCTCCTATCCGCATGAGCCTGTTCTCAGTTCCCCTTGTTGTCCCCCATGCCCTGAATCCTGGCTGACCGCCAGTGCCTACCACCTTGTTTCCCCCCACCTCCGCTCCCGGGAGCTCCGCGCCCATCCCCTGCTGCCAACCATCCCGAATTGGCAGCTGCAAGGATATGGCTCTGGCCCAGAAGCCGGGGATGCCCTGTGGCCTGGGACATTCACGTAGCCGAGCTCCAAGTGAAGGACGTCCAGCGAGTCTGTTGCTGGCCGGGGCGTACTGGGGCCAGGGCCAGGCTGTGCCTGCAGGTCCTCCTGCTGTGGCTCCACATTGGCCTTCCTCCTTGGCCACCACCTCCATCTCTGCAATGATGTCATCCCCCACTAGCATGCCTCTCCCCCCAGGGTTGTCTTCCTGCTCTGTGCACAGACCATCCTCTCCTGCACAGCCTCCAGCCTTAACATGGTGCCCTCCTTGAGGCTCCAACAGAGCAAAGCCTGTGCCTCCCACCCCACCCCCCCGGCACCCGTCAACTCTGGGGGCAACTCCAGGAGAGGCCTGCGGGCCTTGCCCTGCTGAGAACCACATCCTACACCTATGTGGAACAGGGTTCCTGGGGGGCCCCACAGGGCCCTTAGCCTGTCACACTCACACTGGGGCTCAGATACCCAGCAGGGTTAGCTGCGCACGGCAGCCCTGGAGTCGGATGCCAAGGCCCTGGCTTCCAGAGCCCCGCTAGCAGGCACACGGCCACCACTGCACTTGTGAGAGCCTCTGCACCAGCAAAGCAGTGCACACGGATCACTGCATTGGCGACCATGGCGGTAGGCCTCCCGTGTGCCCAGGGCACAGGATGAGAAGTCCTTTGGAATGCCCCTGTGAGTACAGCATCCTCAGGGAGGAACCATGGAACTCGGAGTATGTATTTGCCTAGACCTGACAGAATCCTTGCAGGGTTTCAGCTTCTGGTGCAGATGAATTCCACCTCAGCAACGTACCAGTCGACTTTAGTCCCACGCACCCGCCCTGCCCCAATCCCCCCAAGCCACCGCTGCTGCCCTCGCCCCAGCAGCAGCGCTGGTCCCTCTCTCTCCCCTCTGGATCCGCAATATTCAGTACCATCAGCCTAGCCTGCCTAATGAAGTGAGATGTTTCATGTGTTCCCTGTGGGTTAGTTAATGTCTTGCCACACTCAGGATGCCAGTTAGGGTGTAGGTCTTCCATGCCCACAATTGCAAAGGGCTCACAGTTCGCGTGTGCCTTAATCCACCGCGGCCCGCCACGTGGCACAAGCGTGGTCTCGGAAGAGTTACCGCGAGATGATGGAGCCGCAGGCCTGCTGGGGCGGAGCGGCCTCAGGACACGCCCACAGCCTTTGCAGTAACTGGCTGACGCCCACCGCCTTCGCAATGATTGGCCGCTGGAGGTAGGCGGGATTTCCGGGCACGGCTTCCGGCGTCCTTCCCTCTCAGGGAAGCTCCAGCTGTCCCTCCCGCAGTTGGCCCTGTGGTGTTCCGAAGCCGGTTACGTACGGCCTGAGGGCCAGGCGAACCTCAGGCTCTTTGTCCTACTAAAAAGCGCAGGTATTTTCTGTTTCTCTGGACAGCTGGGTCTCTCGGCAAGAATAGAAAGCGAAGGTTTGGGATTTTGTCTATAAAAGGGGATGGGTTTTCTATGTGTGGGTGTTGAATTACGGGAGGAGTCAGTGGGGAAAGAACTCCTCAGTGCTATTAAGAGACTCACTTTCGTTAAACTCATTGATTTTTCCTGAGGATTCTACCTTTAACTGCCTAATGTGTCCGACTAGTTGTGGGAGATGGTGCTAAGCCGCCATTGGTTTTCATGTGCACTTTTTATTAAAGCGGGTTTTCTCTGTGAATGTGGTGATAATTCAGAATACAGGCAATACACTTAACCACTGCGATTAAAAAGTCACACTTTTGGTTAGCACATGTCGCGTGTCTGATTTGCTTGGAAGAATTATCAAATTTTGACATAAATTGTGTTACTTTAGTGTATGTAGAAATATGGGGCCACAAATAATGTGAGTTTCAGTTTGCCTCTGTAAAGCCTGTGATCGTCTCCTTCGTTGTATGGCAGTATTTGAAACGTTTCATGTGTCTTTGGCACCGTAAATAATTTAAACCGAATAAGTGGGTGTAATCGAGACAAATGGAGTTAGATAGCCGAAAACTGGAACAAAATAGATGCGCTTAAGTTATTCTGTTAACCTGGCACACTGCCTTACTCCTGTAGTCCTAGCATTTTGGGAAGTGGAGGTCGGAGGATGGCTTGAAGTCAGGAGTTTGAGACCAGCCTGGGTAACGTACTGGACTCTTTCATTGCTATTTTCGCATCAGGGACTGGTTTAGTGGAAGTCAGTTTTTCCTCAGAGAAAGGTTGCGCAGGGGAAGAAGGCGGCGAGGTGGACAGGTTTGGGAGTGGGGGCTGGCGGCAGGTCTCCGAGGGGCACGTGGTGGGGCGGGTCTTCCGGTAGGAGCAATGTGACAGAGGCCAGGTGGGGCAGTGAGGCTGTCACGGGGACAGGGAGGGCCAGCGAGGGAGTAGGGAGGATGGTTTCCGGATAAAACTGTACCACCTCAGGTCATCCTCAGGCGTTACATTCTCCACAGACAGGTATTGCAGGTCATCCTCCGGCATCACATTCAGGCCACAGATAGGTACGGGTTGAAGGCTAGGGTTTGGGGATCTTTGACCTATTGTATATTTCAAATCACTAAAAGATGGTAAAATATTTAAAATATTCTCCTCCTAGAACATTTTAAGTAGCTTGATTTAATCTCTTATCCAAATATCATGCTGAGTGTGGTGAGTCACCCTTGAAATCCCATCACTTTGGTAGTCCCAAGCCGGCAGAACACTTGAGCCGAAGATTTGGAGACTAGCTTGGGCACTATGGGGAAACCCTTGTCTATTTTTAAAAATACAAAAAATTGCCCAGCTGTGGTAGAAAGCGCCTGTAGTACTAGCTACTTGGGAAGCTGAGATGTAGGAAGATCAGTTGAGGCTGGGTGGAAGAGCCTGCAGTGAGCAGTTCACTTTGGCGACAGGAGACAGACATCTCAAGAAAGAAAATATGCAAAACATCACACTGTACCTCATAAATAGATTCTTTTCAAATAAAATTATTTAAATGGGGACATTCTTCATATTGCAACTGAGGAAAATTACAATAGCTTTTCTTATCTAATTTTTAGAAATGAGATTTTTGTCAGGTACATACTAAAATGCAGCATTTGTCCATGAAGTTAGTGCCCCTTTGCTCTGAGTGTTACAAATTTTACATATATAAAGTAAGAAATACTAAAAAGATGTCAGCCTCAGGAAGGGAATTTTACTTGGGTTTTCAGCACAGTATGTAATAAAATTTTATCTTTTTAGCTTATTTATATCTAAATATAGATAATTTTTTACCATTTACAGCACAATGGTAGAAGCAGATCATCCTGGCAAGCTTTTCATTGGTGGCCTCAATAGAGAAACCAATGAGAAGATGCTTAAAGCAGTATTTGGGAAACATGGTCCCATATCAGAAGGTAACTCTTAAAACCGTGTGTGTGTGTGTGTGTGTGTGTGTGTGTGTGTGTGTGTGTGTGTATTTTCACATGTATATTTCAATAGGTATGTTTAAAATATGTATGTTATATATATATGTTTTGAAAAAATATATTTTTTCAAAGTTCATTGTATACCTACATTAAAATGCCTTATGCATTTTAAACTCTTATTTTGTAGTATCTGTTTGATATTTGGAAAATTCTCATAGTAGTAGGTTAAGGTTCTATGGAAAGGATAACCTACTACTTAGAAAGGAAAATGAGGGAAAGTAAATGTGCTGTGGAGTTCCGAAACAAACTGGAATAAACTAGACTGACTGTAGGGGTGACTGAGTATCGAGAACCATAATAGTGATGTGAAATGCAATTATTTTTTAGTTTGATGTAACCTTTAGATGGTGAGTACCTTGATGAGTCCATTATATGAATGTAAAATGTTTTCATATATTTTAGTTCTTTTGATAAAGGATCGAACCAGCAAATCCAGAGGCTTTGCATTTATTACTTTTGAGAACCCTGCAGATGCTAAGAATGCTGCCAAAGATATGAATGGAAAGGTAAGAGTCCCTTATTACTAATATTCTAACTCTGTTCTTCAATTAACAATATTTCTAGGTCTTTTTAATATTGCTAAACTTTTGAGGATAGTAGAATGACACATGAAGCCATCCTCTTTTTTGTGCCATATACGTGCAAGTGTAGTTGGAAGGGTATTGGAATTAACATTACATAAATTAATATTTGGTAACCTTTTTCTATGTTTGTATTTCGATATGAGTGCAAATAGATTTTAAAAGGTTTTGAAGAGCTTTAAAACTTATAAGGAACCCTCATGTAAATGAAAGTAATAAGTCAATATTTATTAAATGCTATTAATTGAAGTACATCCAATTCATGGAAATACTTTTAGAGCGTAGACAAACTGGATAGACATCTAGACAGACGCACAAGAAGGAAAGACTCTTTCCTTCTTGAAGAATATATTTTATGAAAATATATTCTTGCGAAAGTGTATTTAAATAAGACCTTTACATTTACGGAAAGGTTAAGTAGTTGAAAATAGAAAATAATATGAGAACATTGAAGTCAGATAACAGAAGAAGTAACTGGCATTCTTGGCTCCATGCTTGCTTTTTCTCCTAAGGACATTTCTTTCCTGTCACCAGAGTGATTTATGTAACATGAATAGCTAATTACTCATTTCCCCAGTGTGTTTGAGGACTTGTTTTGATTGAACCAATGGTCTCTTGTCCTGTTGAGTCTTAAATCTAGAGATTGTGTGTTTACTTAAGCTTTAAACTTCTATGTAATGATATTAATTATTGAATTCCTTTACATTGTAGTCAAGAGCATTCCATTCTGTGCTCTTTAGTGTTTTTTGCTTTATAACATTATCCCAATCATGCCGGGCATGGTGGCTCATGCGTGTAATCCCAGCGCTTTGGGTGGCCAAGGCGGGCAGATCACAAGGTCAGGAGAAAGAAACCATAATGGCCAACATGGTGAAACCCTGTCGCTACTAAAATACAAAAAAAAAAATTAGCTGCATCTGGTTGTGTGTGCCTGTAGTTCCAGCTAGTCAGTAGGCTGAGGCAGGGGAATCGGTTAAACCCAAGGAGGCAGAGGTTGCAGTGAGCCGAGATCACGCCGATGCACTCCAGCCTGGCAACAGAGCAAGAATCCGTCTCAAAAAAACAAAAAATAAATAAAATAAATAAATAACGTTATCCCAATCTGTTTTTAGGTCCTGTTAGTCTTCACGCTATTCCCAAAGTGCTTTTTTAGACTTCTTGAGAATTATCCTTCCCTGTGTATGGCTCATAAATAAAATTTATGCTTCAAAAACCACTTAGATTTCATAATTTTCTTCCTCATTGCGTATTGTAGGTATTTTCTACTCGCTGTACTATGTATTAATCTATTGATCGTGAAATTGTATATAGTGCATATTTAAGTCTTGCTAGTTGCTTTTCTTTCTGTTACATCTAGCACACTTCCTGTCACATAGCAGAAAGTACATTTTTATTCACCCTTATAAATTAGTATTTCAAGCTGTGGTAGAAACCGAGAGTTGCTTTTGGTTCATGGCTTTGTGGTAGGTATGGAGATAATTTTGACTTCTGTATAGGAAGCTATGATAATTTCTTTTTTCCCTCTAGTTTTCAAGCAAAAGGGCAGGTAATTTGTGTAAAGTTTTTGTTCGTTTGTTTGTTTTTTAAGATGGAGACTCGCTGTGTGCCCTAGGCTGGATTGCAGTGGGGCCATCTTGGCTCACTGCAACCTCCGCCTCCCGGGTTCAAGCGATTCTCCTGCCTCAGCCTCCCAGTACCAGGGGCTACAGAGGCGCGCCACCACGCCCAGCTAATTTTGTACTTTGAGTAGGGATGGGGTTTCACCCTGTTAGCCAGGGTGAGCTCTATCTCTTCACCTCATGATCCACCCGCCTTGGCCTCCCAAAGTATTGGGATTACCGGTGTGAGCCACCGCGCCCAGCCAACGTTATTTCTAAATTACTTCATCTCACGTATTTTATTGTGTTAAAATAACTATGAATGTTGTATGCACATTAATGTTAAGATGGCCAATAAAGGAGGTTCTTTGAGTTTTCAGGGGGAATTAACAGTTAAGGAATTTTGGCTGACTTCAGAACACTGGGAAGGAAGCAGCCGTGGGCAAATCTGGGGAAAATATTTTGAGCCCAGAAATAACAAAAGAAGTTTCAAGGTAGGAACAACGGGCGATGTGGCTGCAAGCGGTCTTGTTCAGGGATTTAAGTCCTTCCTCCAAATAACAAAAGCCATGTAATTTTTAAATCGCATTATTAGCTGAACTGTTTTCAAAAATTGCTGTGGCCTGTAGAAAAGATTACAGTGAAAAATGTTATTATGAAATTAATTAGGATAGTTAAGCATTTCTGAGAAATTACCTGAAGTACTATATTAAGATTCGTTTTTTAGGGGCACGTCTAAGGCAATGTAAGAAATGAGTAAGGCAAGAAAACTTAATGAGATCAAACAAGGATCACATTTACAGAAACATTTTTAGAGTCAATATAGAATTGTAAATCATATGGGGACATTTTATGGAAGTGTTAGCAAATCCAACAAGAAACAACTCATAATGAGTAATGTGCCTAATCACTCTGAAAAAGTAAGCTCATTTTTTTTTTAAATGACACGAGTTTCATTGGGACACTGCAACTTTCAAATCAGTGATGTGACTACAAAGATGAAGTGGATTATATATTGTAAAAAACAGATGTGCCACATTCTTCCACAGAATGTGTGATGGGTCAAACTTTTTTTTTATGTTTGAGTTTTTTTTTTTTTTAATGATGGAAAAGTTTTCAAGGAATTTGAATAATAGAATTTGTGTTTGATCCCTTAATGGAAGGCATGTGCTCAGTAACTATCTCAAATTTGGCATTGCGAAAGATGTGTTCATTTTAGAAGAAAAAAAAGTTTCCTTTTGGGAGAAAAATACCTCAAATTGAACTACAGTTGATGTAAAAATGTTTGTAAAATGTGCTTACGTTAAATGTGCCGGTGTTATTGATAGTACCCTTAATACTTCTAGTCTTTGCATGGAAAAGCAATAAAAGTAGAACAAGCCAAGAAACCATCTTTTCAAAGTGGTGGTAGGCGGAGACCACCAGCTTCTTCGAGAAACAGAAGCCCTTCAGGAAGTCTGAGATCTGCAAGAGGAAGCCGTGGAGGAACAAGAGGGTGGCTTCCCTCACAAGAAGGGCACCTGGGTAATGTTTTAAAATATAAAGATGGAACCATAGGACTGAAAGAAAATAAGTTTGACGATATTGAAATTTCTTAATTTTTTTCTTTCCTGTATGAAGAGAAAATTAGCTTATTGATAATAAGCAAACTTATTTCTAAGTACTATAAAGGTGTATTATAAGAATGATTGAACTAATATCTAAAATTTGTTTAACAATTATAATAAGTTTGCACTGAAGTAACACACATTTGAAACTGAGTTGTGTTTGTGAATGCTGATTGCCTGTACTCAACCGGTTTTCTGCAGAACTCATTTATATTCATTATACTTTAGAGTTTTCTACTTTAGGGCCCAGAACTTCGTGTCAGTTGTATTATCAAAGTACGATGTAATATTTAAAATTTTCCAACAGGAAGAAGTAACTGAATACTGAAGATTGATTTTGCAGTATTTGTTTTCTTGTGTCTACATGTGGAAACATCTATGCAAATGTATTGCTTTGTAATTTTGATACAGAGAGTTTGTACATTGGCCTGCCGTAAAGCATTTTCAATTTAAGAAATGTAGAACTTTAATTTCTGAAAAGAGTCTGTGACTCTGGAAAGATCTAAAAACCACTGCTTCACAGATATGTATGAATCTTTCTTTGCTGGAGGCTGAGTCACTGAAAATGATATTTATGAGTGATTTACTTAATAGAAATGAGGGGTCCATCTTTACATATAAAAGAAAAACAAACCATATATTTAAAAAAAAGGAAAAAGAAAAAACTATTGGATGGGCTGTGCGAGGTGGCTCACGCCTGTCACCTCAGCACCTGGGGAGTACAGGGGAGGTGGACCACGAGGTCAGGAGTTCCAGACCAGCCTGGCCAACATGGTGAAACCCTGTCTCTCCTAAAGATACAAAAAAATTTGCCTGGGCCTGGTGGCGTGCACCTGTAATCCCAGCTACTCAGGAGGCTGAGGCAGGAGAATCACAGGAACCTGGGAGGCAAAAGCTGCAGTGAGCCAAGGTTATGCCATGGCACTCCAGCCTGCGTGATAGGGCAAGAGTGCATCTGAATAAATAAATAAATAAACCTGTTGGTTAACTTGTATTATCTATTAACCAACCTTCAGAACTCTAACAAATAGCTTGGAGTTTTAATAACCAGACATGTAATTAATTGGAGATTGTTTTCAAGTTGAAATTGCAGTGTTTGCTCCATTTTAAGATGCGTAGCTTCACGGCTGTTTTGCCTCCACTGATCTTGAGGGTGAGCTTCAATTATACTCTGCCACGGACGAGAATGTGTACATAAATTCTAACCTGTAACACCACCTGGCAATTGGCATATATCTACGTTTTTGTAGATGTATAAAAATATGTTTATATTACCGAATATGCAATTCTTAAAGACTGTTAAAATTCAGCATAGTCTCATCTGAAAATTAGTGTCTCATAAGGGAATTTTAAGAATTCTATATTGTGTTAACAAATTTTAGAGACAATGTATTTTCCTGATATGTGATTTCTTGGTATTGGAAATATTTGAGTTTCTTTGAATGGAAATTAGTTTATCTTTATGATGTGCTTTGAAAATTTTTCCTCATTACAGAATGATATAAACAGTCATTTATCATTTTTCTTTTAATATTTTTATGTATATTATATTTGGATATTTTAGTGATAGATTTCTGCCCCCGTTCACTCCCCATTTTCCCACATCTCTCCTTCATACCGATATATTATGATACTTGAGTTTCTTTCTAGATTTTCTAAATGAACTTTTAATGCTTGAAGTGTACTAATACCTTGTAGGAATGCTAATTTTATTAGTTTAGACAAAATGTGAATTTGTTATAAAATGTAGAAAATATTTGTAAACAACTAAAACTTAGCCATTTAAGAAACAGTGACGTCAGTTAACTAAAAAGATTTTGTTTGAAATACAGATGATGGTGGATACACTCCTGATCTCAAGATGAGTTATTCTAGGGGACTCATTCCAGTTAAAAGAGGTCCATCTTCAAGAAGTGGAGGTCCTCCTCCGAAAAAATCTGCTCCTTCTGCTGTGGCAAGAAGCAATAGTTGGATGGGAAGCCAAGGTAAATGCTGCCTGACAGAAAGACCGTAGTTTTTGTATGACTAAAAATGAGCCGTTTTACCTGAATGCTTAGCTTTAAGTTCATTGAACAAAAGAGAAGTGACACATACGTGAGCATAATTACTGATTGATAGCTTTTATTATAGTTTCTATCTCACTAGGTACATTTCAGATTTATGTTGAAGAAATACTTGAGCTTCTCATTGCAGATCAAAGAAGTGATTAGAGTGAGGCCAACATTCCTTTTAATCCTGTGTTGGCTAGAAAATTCCCCTTAATTTTTCTAAAAGTTCCTAGCAGTATTCTTTGATGGTAGGCTTCTTGATCTAATTAACTCTTCCATTTCCTAAGTCCCCTGGTGTCCCATTCTAAAAATTGCTTGTTCGGTGACTTTGCTGGGTTGGAGTCTTGCTCTTACTAGGTGAGAGTGCACTATGTGAGACGACGGCTTACTGTAGCCTCAAATTTGTGAGATGACGGCTTACTATAGCCTCAAATTCCTGGGCTCAAGCAATTCTGCTGTTTCAGCCTCCCGAGTTTGTGCAACTACAGGCATGCAGCAGCACACCTAGCTACATTTTTTTCCCTATGTTTTTGTAGAGAGAGGATCTGACTACATTGTCAAAACTGATGTTAAAGCCTGGGGCTCAAGCGGTCCAGCTGCCTCAGCCTTCCACACTCACTCACAGTGTGAGCCGCTAAGCCTGGCCATCCAGCTTCTGAGACCTCAGTAATGCGTATGTGCAAGGCATACTCACTGCTTGCATGAAGATTCAAAAGAACTACAAGAGCATTTAGCAGACAAGGAGTCATTGGGCTTAAATATGATTTAAAAATAAATTTAAGGCTCGAGAGGTAGACACGTAGGAGTCCAAAATTCTTAAATTAAGTGGATATCACAGAAATGCAGAGTTGTGAAATATAGGTGTATGTAAATCAGTAATTGAGATTGTACCGGGATGTTTAAACATTAACACAAGATCCTTAGTGTAAGATTTGAAATTATTTGAGGAGAGAATTTAGAACTCAGCAACATGAGGTGAGCGGTAGGGTTGAATGCAAGTAATACTTTTGAGAAGAATTGTAAGACTGCAGACTGAACAGAAGAAAATAAGACAATAAATAAAAGTTCTTAGCAAGGAAGTTTAAGCAGAGCAAATTAAAATTCTTTCTTAGTCCTCCATCCGCATACGGAGGAAGTTAAAAACTGCCATTTTCAATTTTACATTTCATACGTAGAGTATCGGTGAAGGGAGGTATTTATTGGCTTCAGGATACCCAAGCCAACACATTTCCATTGGAAAATTAGCCAGTGAAGGTATCATATGTGAAACACTGACCGCTAAGGAATAGCAAGTGAAGAATATATTAGAGGAGAAACTTTCTATTTTGAAACAGCAACAATGTTGTAATGACCCCTTGCATAGCATTGCTTTCTTTGCAGTAAAAGCAAATCTTGACCATCATTAGAAAATCTTCACTAATACATTTTAATTTGTCAACATTTAAGATAGAGCCAACCAGTTAAAGAACTTTTATGTAAACATTTAGCATATAGTCATTTAAAGGTAGCTGTATTTATGTGTCTGTGAGATGGACTGAATGATATTGGAAAATCTACCTTCTTTGGCTGAGAAAGAACAATGTATGTAAACTTTAAAATCAGTGAAGAGTTTGATGGTTTTACGTGTTTTCCCTGTGTCACTCACAGTCATCAGTAATTTATATGGAAAGGAAAATAATAACTAAGTAGTTATTAACCATTACAAATGAACTTTTACCTAAGCATTAATGTTTGCCTTCAGCTTCATTAGAAGAACTGGCCTTGTGGGAGCCATGGGATTATCCAAAGCCATGAGAAATATTCACAGTGTCATGTCTGTCTAGTAATTTAGGAAACAAAGAATGGAGTCATAGAAGAAATAATTTTAAAAAGTTGTTTGAGAGAAGAGAAAATAGCGTTTCAGATTTGGTGTTCTTTACGTAATGTTCCATCATTTGAATGTTAAAGGTCCCATGTCACAAAGAAGAGAGAATTATGGAGTTCCTCCACGCAGAGCGACAATATCTTCCTGGAGAAATGATCGCATGTCAACAAGACATGATGGTTATGCAACTAACGATGGGTAAAGGAAAAATTAAAAAGCACAGTTGATTTTTTTTTCCTGTGGTGATGAAATTCACATAACAAAATTAAATATTATAAGGTGAACAGTTAGGTGGTGTTTGATACATTCTGTGCCATGCAACAACTACCTCCATCGAGTTCCAGAACATTTTCATCACTCCAAATTGAAACTCCTACTACCAGTTAAGCAGTCCCTCCCATTTTCTCCTTTTCCTCAGCTGCTAGATAACACCAGTCAGTGTTCTGCCTCTGAACTTACCTGTTGTGGGTATTTAATGTTAATGTGCTCAAACACTACATGACTTTTTGTATTTGTCTCCTCTCCTTTTGCATGATGTCCTGAAGGTTCATTTACATCATAGCACTTCACTCCTTCCACAAGCTATTAACCCATTATTTTATCTGCGTTGTTTCCACCCGAGTATTTCTACGCACCAATATTTGTTTGAGTGTGCTTACTCGGTTCTGGGTGTATATGAGTGGAATTGCATGGTCCTATGATAATGATGTTTGTTTTCTTGAGGAACCACCACATTTCTCCATAGTAGCTGCATCATTTTCCGTTCCAACCTAGCATTGTATCAGCAATCCAATTTATCTACATCCTCTCAAACACTTGTTATTTCCTGCTGTTTGAAATTTATTGCCATTCAAATGTGTGTTTGAAATATGATATCCCATTTTCGATTTGAAATGCATTTTCTGCACCCATTAACTCATCATGCACATGTATCCTAGAACTTAAAGTATAATGAAACAAAAAGAAATGCATTTTCTGAATCGCTGAATATGAGTATCAGTCCCGTGTGCTTTTTGGGCATTTGCCGATTTTATTTGGAGAAATATCTGTTTAGATGTTTGGCCTTTTAATTTTGTTTAAGTTGTAAGTTAGTCATGTATTGGATACTAGAAGTTGAAAATTTAAAATTTGTTGCTTAAACTTATGCACACAGAAATCATCCAAGTTGCCAAGAAACGAGGGATTATGCTCCACCATCTAGAGGCTATGCATACCGTGATAATGGTCATTCTAATCGGGATGAACATTCCTCTAGAGGATATAGGTACTGTAACTTTTTCTGAATTTGTCAAATAGATTTCTTAAATTGCTCATTCCAACTAACGTTCTATCAGGGCTCCAATTTATCTACATCCTCTCAAACACTTGTTATTTCCTGCTTTTGAAAATTTATTGCCCTTCCAGTGTGTGCGTATGAAATATGATATCTCATTTTGGATTTGAAATGCATTTTCTGCACCCATTAACTCATCATGCACATGGACCCTAGAACTTAAAGTATAATTAAAAAAAAAAGAAATGCGTCTTCTGAATCACTGAATATGAGTATGTGTCCCATGTGCATCTTGGGCATTTGCCCATTTTATTTGGAGAAATATCCATTGAGATGTTTGGCCTTTTAATTTTGTTTAAGTTGTAAGTTAGTCATGTATCGGATACTAGAAGTTGAAAATTTAAAATTTGTTGCTTAAACTTATGCATACAGAAATCATCGAAGTTCCCGAGAAACTAGGGATTATGCTCCACCATCTAGAGGCCATGCATACCGTGATTATGGTCATTCTCGTCGGGATGAAAGTTATTCTAGAGGATACAGGTACTGTAACTTTTTGTGGATTTGTCAAATAGATTTCTTAAATTGTTCATTCCAACTAACATTGTATCAGGGCTCCAATTTATCTGCATCCTCTCCAACACTTGTTATTTCCTGCTTTTGAAAATTTATTGCCATTCATCTGTGTGTGAAATATGATATCTCATTTTGGATTTGAAATGCATTTTCTGCACCCATTAACTCGTCATGCACATGGACCCTAGAACTTAAAGTATAATAAAAAAAAGAAATGCATTTTCTGAATCACTGAATATGAGTATCTGTCCCATGTGCTTTTTGGGCGTTTGCCCATTTTATTTGGAGAAATATCTATTTAGATGTTTGGCCTTTTAATTTTGTTTAAGTTGTAAGTTAGTCATATATCGGATACTACAAGTTGAAAATTTAAAATTTGTTGCTTAAACTTATGCATACAGAAATCGTCGAAGTTCCCGAGAAACTAGGGAGTATGCTCCACCATCTAGAGGCCATGGATACCGTGATTATGGTCATTCTCGTCGACATGAAAGTTATTCTAGAGGATATAGGTACTGTAATTTTTCTGGATTTGTCAAATAGATTTCTTAAATTGTTCATTCCAACTAACATTGTATCAGGGCTCCAATTTATCTACATCCTCTCAAACACTTGTTATTTCCTGCTTTTGAAAATCTATTGCCATTCATCTGTGTGTGTGAAATATGATATCTCATTTTGGATTTGAAATGCATTTTCTGCACCCATTAACTCATCATGCACATGTATGCTAGAACTTAAAGTATAATAAAACAAAAAGAAATGCATTTTCTGAATCACTGAATATGAGTATCTGTCACTTGTCCTTTTTGGGCATTTGCCTATTTTATTTGGAGAAATACCTATTTAGATGTTTGGCCTTTTAATTTAAAGTTGTAAGTTAGTCATGTATTCGATACTAGAAGATGAAAATTTAAAACTTGTTGCTTAAACTTATGCACACACAAATCATCCAAGTTCCCGAGAAACTAGGGATTATGCTCCACCATCTAGAGGCTAGGCATACTGAGACTATGGTCATTCTAGGCAGGATGAACATTCCTCTAGAGGATATAGATACTGTAACTTTTTCTGGATTTATCAAATAGATTTCTTAAATTGTTCATTCCAACTAACATTGTATCAGGGCTCCAATTTATCTACATCCTCTCAAACACTTGTTATTTCCTGCTTTTGAAAATTTTTTGCCCTTCCAGTGTGTGTGTGTGAAGTGTGGAAGCTCCTTTTTTATTTGAAATGCATTTCCTGAATCACTGATTATGAGTATCTGTTTCATGTGCTTTTTGGGCATTTGGGCATTTTGGGCATTTGGGCTCTGTGGGCATTTTATTTAGATGTTTGGCAATTTAATTGTGTTTAAGTTGTAATGTAGTTATGTTTTGGATACTAGAAGGTGACAATTTAAAATTCCTTGCTTCAACTCGTGCACGCAGAAATCATCCAAGTTCCCGAGAAACCAGGGATTATGCTCCACCACATAGAGACTATGCATACCGTGATTATGGTCATTCTAGTTGGGATGAACATTCCTCTAGAGGATATAGGTACTAACATGTTATCTGGATTTATCAAATGGATTTCTTAAATTGTTCATTCTGAAATTGAAAAGACTTTTTTTTTTTTCAATTTAGTTATCATGATGGCTACGGTGAGGCCCTTGGTAGAGATCATTCTGAACATCTAAGTGGAAGTTCTTATAGAGATGCACTTCAGAGATACGGTAAGGGTCCAGGATGGATTTGTAAATTACAGAATTTTATTTAATAGACCAGATTGTTATTTTAATGAAATTCTAAGGAAAATTGTAAAGGCCATATGCAACATGTTTAAATATTGAGTATTCTTAACAGTATAAAGCCTAGGGAATGATATGAAGGTGAGAACTTCAGTTAACGTTAAGAAAATGTGACTGAGCATTTACTTTAGAATTAAGTTTGTTAAGCTGCAAAATACTACTCTTACACTTCTCTTAAATAAAACCTTCTGACTATTAAAGCCTTGATTAATATCCTGTCAACAAAGGCGGAGGAAAGCAGATATTTCCAAATAGTACTTTAACTAATTCATGCTTTAATGATAGCAGTAAAAATGTTTAAATGTAGTCCCACATATTATTTTACCAACCCTGCAGGGACCTCTCATGGTGCACCACCTGCAAGAGGGCCTCGGATGTCTTATGGTGGAAGCACCTGCCACGCATATAGTAATACACGAGATAGATATGGCAGAAGTTGGGAGAGTTACTCGAGCTGTGGTGATTTTCATTATTGTGATCGTGAGCATGTTTGCAGAAAAGACCAAAGGAATCCGCCTTCTCTGGGTAGGGTGCTCCCTGATCCTCGTGAAGCATATGGTAGCTCAAGTTATGTGGCATCTATAGTAGATGGTGGGGAGAGTCGATCTGAAAAAGGAGACTCGAGCAGATATTAAAGCAAGCATTGAAAGTAATAGTTATTGCATACCAATCCTTGTTTGCAAATCAAAAATTGAAATGTTATTTCTGCATTGTTACCTGCATATTACTGAAAGAAACATGTTGGTTTTGTGGAGAGAGGTAGATACTAACTTCCTCCATGAATTTTTTGAGGTATTCAAAGGAAAAGGAATTGTTTTCAAAGTAATTTCATACTTGTTGATGCTATTTGAAAAGTGTTTAGATGTAATATCTACCTTAAAATTTTCACAATAAAATTTGACATGTACTGCAAGATGCCTGGTGTTATTGGTTAGCCGCGCATGCTTAAAGCAAATTCAATAGGAGAGTAAATTGTGTAGTCTGTTGTACATTTTCCTTTGTTTCTTTGAACATAGGTACAAAATTAGGGATGTGTTATGTCGCCCTTGCAAGCTGCTCAAGTTTTGTAATTAGGCTGTTTCTCTTTAAAAACTAACAAGGTTAAAATGTTGGAGAAGTCTTCAGAAAGACTACAAAACTGTCTGCCTCACCATAAAACGTTTATTTTTTAGAGGAATAGTACAGGTCAAAGGAAATCATTAGATGTATTGATACTAAAGTTTAAGACATCCGGAACATTCTATGTGAAGCATTCTGTGACTGAAGAGGATAACGGTAATGAAAACTTTTTTTTTCACCTAAATCAGAAGTGAACCAGCTAAGTTTCTCAGGTGCGTAGCATAATGAATTTAAATGTTCGTAGTTTAAATAGTGGAAAGTAAGTGTTTTGTCTTGTGAGGTTCCCACGTTAATTTTTTCTTGAATATTTTGACAGTGGATGTTGTAAGTAATGGTTTAGTAATATGTTCTTACAGATAGGAATAATCTAGAGTGGTTGGGATAGTATCAGTTTTTTTTTGAGATGAAGTGTATAGCTTTGTCGCCGAAGCTGGGGTGCAGTGGCTCTGTCTTGGCTTATGGCAACCGCTGCCTTCTGGATCCAAGCTATTCTCCTGCCTCAGCATCCTGAGTAACTGGTATTAGATATGTGTGCCGCACAGCGGGGCCAATTTTTGTATTTTTAGTGCAGACAGCGTTTCACCTTGTTTGCCAGGCTGTTCTTAAAATCCTGATCCACCCTCCTCAGACTCCCGAAGTGCTAAGATTATAGGCGTGTGCCACCACTGTCAGCCTATCGTATTTAATTGATAATATGAATGGAAACGCTTTAAACCTCATACTTAGGGGAAAGTGAAGTGTATAAAACATAAACAACAGCATAAAGTTTCCGACGGGATTGCTTAAAGTTTTAAGACATCACTGAATGATACAAATATTTAGACCGAAATAACTAAATGAATTAATTTTCCTGATTATACAAACTAAAGAAATGAAATACATCAAGTTCCAGAAGTTTTGCAGTCCATAATTCTTACAATTGACAGACTAATCTGCAAGGAGGAAGTATTTTCTTGAAAAATTTTGACAGAATCATCAATTTTTACAGGGTAAGGGTACAAATAATTTTAAAGGGAGAAGTTACCAACTTTGATTTTCAAGTGAGTTATTCATGTTATGGAGTGTTTTCATTCACCTGTAGCATTGTGAGGATGAAGTGAAAAGATAAATCTCCCGAGTCTTGTGTATCTTACTGTCCATGTGTGATGGCTCAGGTCTCTAATTCTAACACTTGGGGAGGCCGAGGCTTGCAGAGCACTTTAGGACAGGAGTTGAAGACCAGGCTGGCCAACACCATGAAACCCCATCTCTACCAAAAATACAAAAATTAGCCGGGCATGGTGGTGCCTGCCTGTAGTACGTTGCAGTTAATTGGGAGGCTCAGGCAGGACAGTGGTTTGAACCTGGGAGCCTGATGCTGCGGTGAGCCGATATTGCACCATGCACTCTAGCCTGGGTGACAGAGTGCGACTCCAACACAAAAATAATTATATCAATCAACAAATATATACATAATAAATAGGGTATCCTTCAGTTCAAGCACTTACCGATTCTTTTTTCTTTTTTAGAGACAAGGTCTCACACTGTTGTCCAGCCTAGACTGCAGTGGCACCATCATAGCTCACTGCAGCCTTGAACACGGGCTTGAAATGTGCAAGCCTTCCATTTCAGCCTCCCAAGTAGCTGGAATTACAGACACACACCAACCACCGTGCCCAGCTTTTGTGTTTGTGTGTGTGTGGTAGGGACAATGCTTTGGATATATTGTTCAGGCTGGTCTCAAACTCCCAGACCGAAATAATCCTCCTTCCCTGGCTTCCCAAAGTGTTGTGATTATAGCCGTGAGCCACTGAGTCTGGCATATCTTTTCTCATTATGAGCGACATTCCACCTCACTGAGTCTGGCGTATCTTTTCTTGGTATCAGCGACATTCCACCTTCGCTCTATTAATTATTTTGAGATGTACAATAAATCATTATTAAGTGTAGTCATCCTGTGCCACTGAACACTAGATATTATTCCTTCTAAGCAAGTATAATTTAACCCACCCCCATCCCCTCTTTGATCCCTCGCTTACCAGTTCACATTACTTGTATCAAAATATCACATGTATGCCAAAAGTATCTACAACTGTTAGGTACAAATTTTCATTCCCTTCCTCCTTCCCTCCCTTCCTTTCTTCCTTCCTGTCTTTCTTTCTTTTTGTCTCTGTATCTTTTTCTCTCACTGATTTTTTTTTTTTTAAGAAAGAATCCTGCCCTGTCACCTAGGCTGGAGTGCAGTGGCGTGATCTCAGCTCACTGCTCCCTCCTTATCACGGGTTCAAGCAATTGTCCAGTCACACCCTCCTAAGCAGCTGCGACTGCAATCATATGACACCAATCCTGGCAAATATTTTGTATTTTCAGTAGAGACCAGGTTTCACAATATTTGCTCAGGCTGGTCTTGAGTTCCTTTCCTTTAGTGATCCACCCACATCAGCCTCTCAAAATGCTGGGATCCAGGCATGAGCCACACTGCCCACCCAGTTGTATGCATTTCTCTCTCCCGTGATCTCTCCTATTTTATTATTTTATTCTCTTTTTATTTCTGAGACAGCGTCTCGCTCTGGTGCCCAGGCTGGAGCACAGTGGTGTGATCTCACTTTACTGCAAACTCCATCACCAGGGTTCAACGGATTCTCCTGCATCAGCCTTCCAAGTAGCTGGGATAACATCCACGGGCCACCAAGCTTGGCTAGCTTTGGTATGATACTAGACGTGGCATCTTGTCATGTCTAATTTCGTATCTGTTTTAAAGCTCGATTGATAAGCAATATTGACTTCCTGGAATGTTTTATGTTTACAAAACAATTATAGTACTACTATTTAGCCTCCTCAGATAAAATATGGTAACACACAAAACATACACACACAGACAAAGACACAGTCAGTGATCAAAAAAAATCAGTGTAGGCCACGACCTAAATGAAAGGTGAGCTGCTGCAGTTGCCTAGAATTAAAGCAGACCAGAGTTGACCCATACCAGGCTGAGAGATGTGAACAGAGGCTTTCCAACAACTCTATCAGATACATGTTAGATTATTCTCCAGCCATAGCGAAGGGACATTAAAGATCTGTTGTGCTTAGAAGAGTCTCGATGATTTGACTTTTCCAGGGTATTAGCATTCATGATGTTGGCCTTTACAGCTCTCTGCAATGAAGTCAGTAGACGACACAGTTTTTCTAGGAGTCTAAAGTGCTTTTCAGAATTATCTAAAACTTAGTGGCTTAAAACCATAATTATAATTTACTAACTGTCAGTCTCTGCAATCGCCCTCAGTCTCTCAGCCAAATGAATGTGGTTCAGGGGCGCTCAGGAGGATGCAATCTAGTGATGGCCAAAGATGGGGACATTGGCGGGTGTCTTCTCATCTCCCTGGTGCCATGGCTAGCGTGACTCAAATAGCAGGGGCTGGACTGCTGAGATGC
Source organism: Homo sapiens (assembly GCF_000001405.40). Lineage (NCBI taxonomy): Eukaryota > Metazoa > Chordata > Mammalia > Primates > Hominidae > Homo > Homo sapiens. Next base: position 21,529,404 of record NC_000024.10, read on the forward strand.
TCAGACATCTTGTTCTGTTTCTTTGAGTCTCTCCATTGGATGTCCCTTCTGCATAGTGTTATCAGGGTGTTAGACTGCGTGATGTACTGGTCGGGGGCTCCTAAGGGGTTTGTCCCCATGAGAGCAGGAGACCTAGGCAGAGCCGTGTCACCGTCTCTAAACTAGGCCAGAGGTGGTCCAGTATCCAGAAACTGCTTGCAGTGTTTTCTATACATTAGAAGCAAGTACTGTGTTCAGTTCCATCAGGAATATTTTCAAATGGGTTTGAGAAGAATTTCAAAGTGTGTTTCAGACCACTACAGTGGCCATGCCTAATAATTCCTTATTTTTACAAGTGCTGGATGGGTTTTTCCCAAAATAATGCTTTCTTGGGGGGTGTGGGGTGGTGGAGACAAAGCTTTGGTCTTGTGACCCAGGCTGTAGTGCAGTGGCGTGATCTTGGCTCACTGCAACCACCGCCTCTTGGGTTCAACCGATTCTCCTGCCTCAGCCTCCCAAATAGCTAGGATTACAGGAACCTGCCACCATGCCCAGCTAATTTTCGAATATTTAGTAGAGGTGGGGTTTCACCATGTTGACCCCGCTGGTCTTGAACTTCTGACGTCTGGTAATCCACCAGCCTTGGCCTCCGAAAGTGTGGGGATTGCAGGCGTGAAACACCCCGTCCGGCCTTCAAATTATATTTTCATACCCACTCACTTCCACAATTTTTTGGACCTATCTGCGTGTTCTCCTCGGAGGCGGGGGGACGGAAACAGTATCAGCGTTCTTGAAAAATTTATGAAAGAGAGAATGACAATACTATACTAGGTTTAACCTATTCACAATACTGTATTTACTGAATAAAAACATTGCGTTTAAAATTCTACTATTGACTAAATAAATAAAATACACTCTTCCATTCACTCTAAAATGTGTGTACATGAAGAGTATACAAGAAGGGTTCTAATACAGAAACAAATAAATGAGGCTGGGCATGGTGGCTCACGCTGTAAGCCTGGCAGTTTGGCAGGCAAAAGTGGGTGGATCAGTTGAGGTGAGGAGTCGGAGACCAGCCTGGCAAATATGGTGAAACCCAGTCTTGACTAAAAATACAAAAATTAGCTGCACATGGTGGCATGCACCAGTAATCCCAACTCCTCAGAAGGCCGAGGCAGGGGAATTGCTTGAAGCTGGGAGGCGGAGGTTGAGGTTGAGCCGAGATCCTGCCACTTCACTCCAGCCTGGGTGACAGAGCAGTACTCCTCAAAACACACACAGACACCCCAAAACAACTAAAAAATGAAAATAAAAATTTTGTACTCACAGTTCAACTCGCATATCTAACGGAAAACAGAAAGTACATTAAAACAAAGTTTCCACAAAAGGCAAATAAAACAAATGAATCACCTTGCACATAAAATTAAAATAATAAACTGAAGAGAACTATACGGAAAAAAATTCAAAATTTACAAGTAAGTACTCTACAAGAAGCTGAAAGTCACTCAAAACTTTTCTGGATTCCATGTCTCTACAGTGCAAACATGATCATAAAATTTGCTGGGGGCAGAACCATCAAAATGTATCTTACAACTCAATAAACACTTCAAGTCTCACATAAGAATTGTAATGGAAAAGGGACGCGTCTGCAGTATTTCTACACAAATCTGAACAAACACTATTTCTTTGTACACATTGTTTCACTGTTCCAAGAAAATAACTTCCATATTAATATTAGGGGATGTGACAAAGCAGGTCTTCATCATGATAAGTAACACTGGGTGTCCACACCACTACTCAGGTGGGCCTTAATTCCCAGCCAGGTTCCCTCCCTGGACACACAATGAAGGGCTCATCCATTTTGCAATCTCTTCACATTTCCTCCCCTGTGAGCCCAGTGTGGTTCTCCAGATTCCCTGTGTAGCGGCCTCTCTTGTCTGGTGGGGCAGGGTGGGGCAGGGAAGTGTGGGTGATGATGGCAGAGGGCAGAAAGCATCTCAGGGAAGCCTGGGATCATTGTAACAAAAAATGATGGGCGTGGGACAGCCCATCAGGGAAGACATAGAGAGGGGCCTTGGGAGGATATCTGCGTGGAGGGTGAGAGGGCCCTGGTTGAGCCCAAACTGAGCCCCAAGTGGTAGCCGGCCTCAGGCCTCAGCCGGTGAGGGATGATGAGACAGCTACCACTTGAGCCTTGCTTCTCACCCACTGACCTTAGACACTTACTCCTCTTAGGCGGCTGAAGGTGCCCCAATCCTAAAATGTGGGTGTTACAGTTCTTTGATGGCCATTTCTCCGCCAGCCCATGGATGGCGTGGGATTGCTCACTGCAGTCACCTCCCTGAGGCTTGGTTTCTCCATGTGGGGCACAACTCCAGGAATCAACCGCCTCTCAGTCCCCAGCCCCAGACTGCTCACCTGGCCTCCTCTCTGTTCACTCTCTAATGGCCTCCCTCCCTGGAGAAGTACTGCAGGGGATTGAGCTACAGGCTCTGGCTGATGATCTAGGGGACTGCAGAAGTGGGTACAGGTTAGTTCAGGTCATGGCTCAAAGCCAGTTCCCCAGAGGCCAAGGAATGACCAGCAAGATCCTTTCCCATGATGCCCTACCTGGCGCTCACCTCAGCAATCCTGCCAGAACCTGGGCAGTCATGGTCAGCCAACCAGCTGAAGAAGGTCAGGTAGGAGCTGTACGGCCTGCAGCTGGAGGCTTGACCTTCATGATCCCACAACCACTAGACTGCAGTGGAATGAGACATCCCGTATCCTGCAGAGAGAGGAGTCAGGAAGGTTCATGCCAGACCTACCCTCCCACACACCAGCTCCCCTACCATGCTGGGAGGCGCTCCTTACCGAGGATGCCAAGGCAGTACTCCTGAATGATCACTTCATTGTGGAAGTAGAGACTGTGATAAAAGGAAAACTTCATCCTGCTGCCGGTACCCGGAAGAGTTGCTTTCCTCCCCTTACCTGGCCAAGAAGGAGAAAGAGGACGTACTCAAAGGAGCATTTCATGTAGCTGGGGTGAGGTGACCTGTTAGCTGGGGTGAAGCATGTGTTTCTCCTTCCCAACTCTCTCATTGAGACACCCCCGGGTCCCAGGGGTACCTCAACCTGACCCAGACACCAGACCCCTCCCGAAGACTCAGGCTCCTTAGCCCGACCTGCAAATCCATCACGTACGTAGCTTAGCAGGACTTCATCATCATTTGTGATCCCGGCCAACATCTCGGTGTGCCGCACAATCTGCCTCTGGTCAAGGAGCCGCCGGATGATTGGGTGGGCGTGCAAGGAAACACCCTGCAACTTTGCAAGAGCACGGAGAGTGTGGGGCAGGGCACCTTCCCTTCCAGGTCCTCTGTCTCTGTCTGGCGTGGAGGGCACCATCAGAGCTGTGGTGGTCTTGGTGGTGGGTGGAGGCAGGCCCAGACAACCTGCTCTGACCAGGGGCTGGCACTGAAGAAGTGGGCAGGGGGTTGGGGGCGGGGTGTTGTTGTGTGAGGCGACTACTTGCTCGGCGTTTCTGAGCTGCAGGAGGCCCTCCTGTGCTGGGTGCTGGACAGGCTCTGCTGCTGTCTGGGTGTGCCGTCTCTCCTTCTCCTGGTCTCCCCTGAGGGGTGCACGTGTCCACCCCAGGCAACCGCTGTGGGTAGAAGTAGCTACGGGGCTGTGCCTGGCTCTCCCCGTGGAGCTCGAGTGGTTTCAAGGGAGCTTATATATACTCAGGGCCTAAACATCTTTGGGTGCAGCGCTGGCAGAGGGAAGAAATTGTGTCTGGGGAGATAGTGCCTGCCTTGCATAGGACAGCAGCCCCGTGCACAGTGACACCGAGTCTTGAGCACCTTGTGTTTCTGGGGTAAGCTTGCTGGACACAGGCAAGGGGAGCAGGGAAGTTCCGTGGCTGGCATGGGCATGCAGACTCCCCTTCCTCCAGGGACTTTCCCGGTGAATCGTATCCTTCAACTTTCTGCTGTTATGATGGGTCCTTGGCGCTGCTATTCTCCCTGGTGAGTGCTGTGCTTGGCTTCCTGTCCCTACCACATGCCCTCAGGGCACATGCAATTAAGCTGCCCTCCTATCCGCATGAGCCTGTTCTCAGTTCCCCTTGTTGTCCCCCATGCCCTGAATCCTGGCTGACCGCCAGTGCCTACCACCTTGTTTCCCCCCACCTCCGCTCCCGGGAGCTCCGCGCCCATCCCCTGCTGCCAACCATCCCGAATTGGCAGCTGCAAGGATATGGCTCTGGCCCAGAAGCCGGGGATGCCCTGTGGCCTGGGACATTCACGTAGCCGAGCTCCAAGTGAAGGACGTCCAGCGAGTCTGTTGCTGGCCGGGGCGTACTGGGGCCAGGGCCAGGCTGTGCCTGCAGGTCCTCCTGCTGTGGCTCCACATTGGCCTTCCTCCTTGGCCACCACCTCCATCTCTGCAATGATGTCATCCCCCACTAGCATGCCTCTCCCCGCAGGGTTGTCTTCCTGCTCTGTGCACAGACCATCCTCTCCTGCACAGCCTCCAGCCTTAACATGGTGCCCTCCTTGAGGCTCCAACAGAGCAAAGCCTGTGCCTCCCACCCCACCCCCCCGGCACCCGTCAACTCTGGGGGCAACTCCAGGAGAGGCCTGCGGGCCTTGCCCTGCTGAGAACCACATCCTACACCTATGTGGAACAGGGTTCCTGGGGGGCCCCACAGGGCCCTTAGCCTGTCACACTCACACTGGGGCTCAGATACCCAGCAGGGTTAGCTGCGCACGGCAGCCCTGGAGTCGGATGCCAAGGCCCTGGCTTCCAGAGCCCCGCTAGCAGGCACACGGCCACCACTGCACTTGTGAGAGCCTCTGCACCAGCAAAGCAGTGCACACGGATCACTGCATTGGCGACCATGGCGGTAGGCCTCCCGTGTGCCCAGGGCACAGGATGAGAAGTCCTTTGGAATGCCCCTGTGAGTACAGCATCCTCAGGGAGGAACCATGGAACTCGGAGTATGTATTTGCCTAGACCTGACAGAATCCTTGCAGGGTTTCAGCTTCTGGTGCAGATGAATTCCACCTCAGCAACGTACCAGTCGACTTTAGTCCCACGCACCCGCCCTGCCCCAATCCCCCCAAGCCACCGCTGCTGCCCTCGCCCCAGCAGCAGCGCTGGTCCCTCTCTCTCCCCTCTGGATCCGCAATATTCAGTACCATCAGCCTAGCCTGCCTAATGAAGTGAGATGTTTCATGTGTTCCCTGTGGGTTAGTTAATGTCTTGCCACACTCAGGATGCCAGTTAGGGTGTAGGTCTTCCATGCCCACAATTGCAAAGGGCTCACAGTTCGCGTGTGCCTTAATCCACCGCGGCCCGCCACGTGGCACAAGCGTGGTCTCGGAAGAGTTACCGCGAGATGATGGAGCCGCAGGCCTGCTGGGGCGGAGCGGCCTCAGGACACGCCCACAGCCTTTGCAGTAACTGGCTGACGCCCACCGCCTTCGCAATGATTGGCCGCTGGAGGTAGGCGGGATTTCCGGGCACGGCTTCCGGCGTCCTTCCCTCTCAGGGAAGCTCCAGCTGTCCCTCCCGCAGTTGGCCCTGTGGTGTTCCGAAGCCGGTTACGTACGGCCTGAGGGCCAGGCGAACCTCAGGCTCTTTGTCCTACTAAAAAGCGCAGGTATTTTCTGTTTCTCTGGACAGCTGGGTCTCTCGGCAAGAATAGAAAGCGAAGGTTTGGGATTTTGTCTATAAAAGGGGATGGGTTTTCTATGTGTGGGTGTTGAATTACGGGAGGAGTCAGTGGGGAAAGAACTCCTCAGTGCTATTAAGAGACTCACTTTCGTTAAACTCATTGATTTTTCCTGAGGATTCTACCTTTAACTGCCTAATGTGTCCGACTAGTTGTGGGAGATGGTGCTAAGCCGCCATTGGTTTTCATGTGCACTTTTTATTAAAGCGGGTTTTCTCTGTGAATGTGGTGATAATTCAGAATACAGGCAATACACTTAACCACTGCGATTAAAAAGTCACACTTTTGGTTAGCACATGTCGCGTGTCTGATTTGCTTGGAAGAATTATCAAATTTTGACATAAATTGTGTTACTTTAGTGTATGTAGAAATATGGGGCCACAAATAATCTGAGTTTCAGTTTGCCTCTGTAAAGCCTGTGATCGTCTCCTTCGTTGTATGGCAGTATTTGAAACGTTTCATGTGTCTTTGGCACCGTAAATAATTTAAACCGAATAAGTGGGTGTAATCGAGACAAATGGAGTTAGATAGCCGAAAACTGGAACAAAATAGATGCGCTTAAGTTATTCTGTTAACCTGGCACACTGCCTTACTCCTGTAGTCCTAGCATTTTGGGAAGTGGAGGTCGGAGGATGGCTTGAAGTCAGGAGTTTGAGACCAGCCTGGGTAACGTACTGGACTCTTTCATTGCTATTTTCGCATCAGGGACTGGTTTAGTGGAAGTCAGTTTTTCCTCAGAGAAAGGTTGCGCAGGGGAAGAAGGCGGCGAGGTGGACAGGTTTGGGAGTGGGGGCTGGCGGCAGGTCTCCGAGGGGCACGTGGTGGGCCGGGTCTTCCGGTAGGAGCAATGTGACAGAGGCCAGGTGGGGCAGTGAGGCTGTCACGGGGACAGGGAGGGCCAGCGAGGGAGTAGGGAGGATGGTTTCCGGATAAAACTGTACCACCTCAGGTCATCCTCAGGCGTTACATTCTCCACAGACAGGTATTGCAGGTCATCCTCCGGCATCACATTCAGGCCACAGATAGGTACGGGTTGAAGGCTAGGGTTTGGGGATCTTTGACCTATTGTATATTTCAAATCACTAAAAGATGGTAAAATATTTAAAATATTCTCCTCCTAGAACATTTTAAGTAGCTTGATTTAATCTCTTATCCAAATATCATGCTGAGTGTGGTGAGTCACCCTTGAAATCCCATCACTTTGGTAGTCCCAAGCCGGCAGAACACTTGAGCCGAAGATTTGGAGACTAGCTTGGGCACTATGGGGAAACCCTTGTCTATTTTTAAAAATACAAAAAATTGCCCAGCTGTGGTAGAAAGCGCCTGTAGTACTAGCTACTTGGGAAGCTGAGATGTAGGAAGATCAGTTGAGGCTGGGTGGAAGAGCCTGCAGTGAGCAGTTCACTTTGGCGACAGGAGACAGACATCTCAAGAAAGAAAATATGCAAAACATCACACTGTACCTCATAAATAGATTCTTTTCAAATAAAATTATTTAAATGGGGACATTCTTCATATTGCAACTGAGGAAAATTACAATAGCTTTTCTTATCTAATTTTTAGAAATGAGATTTTTGTCAGGTACATACTAAAATGCAGCATTTGTCCATGAAGTTAGTGCCCCTTTGCTCTGAGTGTTACAAATTTTACATATATAAAGTAAGAAATACTAAAAAGATGTCAGCCTCAGGAAGGGAATTTTACTTGGGTTTTCAGCACAGTATGTAATAAAATTTTATCTTTTTAGCTTATTTATATCTAAATATAGATAATTTTTTACCATTTACAGCACAATGGTAGAAGCAGATCATCCTGGCAAGCTTTTCATTGGTGGCCTCAATAGAGAAACCAATGAGAAGATGCTTAAAGCAGTATTTGGGAAACATGGTCCCATATCAGAAGGTAACTCTTAAAACCGTGTGTGTGTGTGTGTGTGTGTGTGTGTGTGTGTGTGTGTGTGTGTATTTTCACATGTATATTTCAATAGGTATGTTTAAAATATGTATGTTATATATATATGTTTTGAAAAAATATATTTTTTCAAAGTTCATTGTATACCTACATTAAAATGCCTTATGCATTTTAAACTCTTATTTTGTAGTATCTGTTTGATATTTGGAAAATTCTCATAGTAGTAGGTTAAGGTTCTATGGAAAGGATAACCTACTACTTAGAAAGGAAAATGAGGGAAAGTAAATGTGCTGTGGAGTTCCGAAACAAACTGGAATAAACTAGACTGACTGTAGGGGTGACTGAGTATCGAGAACCATAATAGTGATGTGAAATGCAATTATTTTTTAGTTTGATGTAACCTTTAGATGGTGAGTACCTTGATGAGTCCATTATATGAATGTAAAATGTTTTCATATATTTTAGTTCTTTTGATAAAGGATCGAACCAGCAAATCCAGAGGCTTTGCATTTATTACTTTTGAGAACCCTGCAGATGCTAAGAATGCTGCCAAAGATATGAATGGAAAGGTAAGAGTCCCTTATTACTAATATTCTAACTCTGTTCTTCAATTAACAATATTTCTAGGTCTTTTTAATATTGCTAAACTTTTGAGGATAGTAGAATGACACATGAAGCCATCCTCTTTTTTGTGCCATATACGTGCAAGTGTAGTTGGAAGGGTATTGGAATTAACATTACATAAATTAATATTTGGTAACCTTTTTCTATGTTTGTATTTCGATATGAGTGCAAATAGATTTTAAAAGGTTTTGAAGAGCTTTAAAACTTATAAGGAACCCTCATGTAAATGAAAGTAATAAGTCAATATTTATTAAATGCTATTAATTGAAGTACATCCAATTCATGGAAATACTTTTAGAGCGTAGACAAACTGGATAGACATCTAGACAGACGCACAAGAAGGAAAGACTCTTTCCTTCTTGAAGAATATATTTTATGAAAATATATTCTTGCGAAAGTGTATTTAAATAAGACCTTTACATTTACGGAAAGGTTAAGTAGTTGAAAATAGAAAATAATATGAGAACATTGAAGTCAGATAACAGAAGAAGTAACTGGCATTCTTGGCTCCATGCTTGCTTTTTCTCCTAAGGACATTTCTTTCCTGTCACCAGAGTGATTTATGTAACATGAATAGCTAATTACTCATTTCCCCAGTGTGTTTGAGGACTTGTTTTGATTGAACCAATGGTCTCTTGTCCTGTTGAGTCTTAAATCTAGAGATTGTGTGTTTACTTAAGCTTTAAACTTCTATGTAATGATATTAATTATTGAATTCCTTTACATTGTAGTCAAGAGCATTCCATTCTGTGCTCTTTAGTGTTTTTTGCTTTATAACATTATCCCAATCATGCCGGGCATGGTGGCTCATGCGTGTAATCCCAGCGCTTTGGGTGGCCAAGGCGGGCAGATCACAAGGTCAGGAGAAAGAAACCATAATGGCCAACATGGTGAAACCCTGTCGCTACTAAAATACAAAAAAAAAAATTAGCTGCATCTGGTTGTGTGTGCCTGTAGTTCCAGCTAGTCAGTAGGCTGAGGCAGGGGAATCGGTTAAACCCAAGGAGGCAGAGGTTGCAGTGAGCCGAGATCACGCCGATGCACTCCAGCCTGGCAACAGAGCAAGAATCCGTCTCAAAAAAACAAAAAATAAATAAAATAAATAAATAACGTTATCCCAATCTGTTTTTAGGTCCTGTTAGTCTTCACGCTATTCCCAAAGTGCTTTTTTAGACTTCTTGAGAATTATCCTTCCCTGTGTATGGCTCATAAATAAAATTTATGCTTCAAAAACCACTTAGATTTCATAATTTTCTTCCTCATTGCGTATTGTAGGTATTTTCTACTCGCTGTACTATGTATTAATCTATTGATCGTGAAATTGTATATAGTGCATATTTAAGTCTTGCTAGTTGCTTTTCTTTCTGTTACATCTAGCACACTTCCTGTCACATAGCAGAAAGTACATTTTTATTCACCCTTATAAATTAGTATTTCAAGCTGTGGTAGAAACCGAGAGTTGCTTTTGGTTCATGGCTTTGTGGTAGGTATGGAGATAATTTTGACTTCTGTATAGGAAGCTATGATAATTTCTTTTTTCCCTCTAGTTTTCAAGCAAAAGGGCAGGTAATTTGTGTAAAGTTTTTGTTCGTTTGTTTGTTTTTTAAGATGGAGACTCGCTGTGTGCCCTAGGCTGGATTGCAGTGGGGCCATCTTGGCTCACTGCAACCTCCGCCTCCCGGGTTCAAGCGATTCTCCTGCCTCAGCCTCCCAGTACCAGGGGCTACAGAGGCGCGCCACCACGCCCAGCTAATTTTGTACTTTGAGTAGGGATGGGGTTTCACCCTGTTAGCCAGGGTGAGCTCTATCTCTTCACCTCATGATCCACCCGCCTTGGCCTCCCAAAGTATTGGGATTACCGGTGTGAGCCACCGCGCCCAGCCAACGTTATTTCTAAATTACTTCATCTCACGTATTTTATTGTGTTAAAATAACTATGAATGTTGTATGCACATTAATGTTAAGATGGCCAATAAAGGAGGTTCTTTGAGTTTTCAGGGGGAATTAACAGTTAAGGAATTTTGGCTGACTTCAGAACACTGGGAAGGAAGCAGCCGTGGGCAAATCTGGGGAAAATATTTTGAGCCCAGAAATAACAAAAGAAGTTTCAAGGTAGGAACAACGGGCGATGTGGCTGCAAGCGGTCTTGTTCAGGGATTTAAGTCCTTCCTCCAAATAACAAAAGCCATGTAATTTTTAAATCGCATTATTAGCTGAACTGTTTTCAAAAATTGCTGTGGCCTGTAGAAAAGATTACAGTGAAAAATGTTATTATGAAATTAATTAGGATAGTTAAGCATTTCTGAGAAATTACCTGAAGTACTATATTAAGATTCGTTTTTTAGGGGCACGTCTAAGGCAATGTAAGAAATGAGTAAGGCAAGAAAACTTAATGAGATCAAACAAGGATCACATTTACAGAAACATTTTTAGAGTCAATATAGAATTGTAAATCATATGGGGACATTTTATGGAAGTGTTAGCAAATCCAACAAGAAACAACTCATAATGAGTAATGTGCCTAATCACTCTGAAAAAGTAAGCTCATTTTTTTTTTAAATGACACGAGTTTCATTGGGACACTGCAACTTTCAAATCAGTGATGTGACTACAAAGATGAAGTGGATTATATATTGTAAAAAACAGATGTGCCACATTCTTCCACAGAATGTGTGATGGGTCAAACTTTTTTTTTATGTTTGAGTTTTTTTTTTTTTTAATGATGGAAAAGTTTTCAAGGAATTTGAATAATAGAATTTGTGTTTGATCCCTTAATGGAAGGCATGTGCTCAGTAACTATCTCAAATTTGGCATTGCGAAAGATGTGTTCATTTTAGAAGAAAAAAAAGTTTCCTTTTGGGAGAAAAATACCTCAAATTGAACTACAGTTGATGTAAAAATGTTTGTAAAATGTGCTTACGTTAAATGTGCCGGTGTTATTGATAGTACCCTTAATACTTCTAGTCTTTGCATGGAAAAGCAATAAAAGTAGAACAAGCCAAGAAACCATCTTTTCAAAGTGGTGGTAGGCGGAGACCACCAGCTTCTTCGAGAAACAGAAGCCCTTCAGGAAGTCTGAGATCTGCAAGAGGAAGCCGTGGAGGAACAAGAGGGTGGCTTCCCTCACATGAAGGGCACCTGGGTAATGTTTTAAAATATAAAGATGGAACCATAGGACTGAAAGAAAATAAGTTTGACGATATTGAAATTTCTTAATTTTTTTCTTTCCTGTATGAAGAGAAAATTAGCTTATTGATAATAAGCAAACTTATTTCTAAGTACTATAAAGGTGTATTATAAGAATGATTGAACTAATATCTAAAATTTGTTTAACAATTATAATAAGTTTGCACTGAAGTAACACACATTTGAAAGTGAGTTGTGTTTGTGAATGCTGATTGCCTGTACTCAACCGGTTTTCTGCAGAACTCATTTATATTCATTATACTTTAGAGTTTTCTACTTTAGGGCCCAGAACTTCGTGTCAGTTGTATTATCAAAGTACGATGTAATATTTAAAATTTTCCAACAGGAAGAAGTAACTGAATACTGAAGATTGATTTTGCAGTATTTGTTTTCTTGTGTCTACATGTGGAAACATCTATGCAAATGTATTGCTTTGTAATTTTGATACAGAGAGTTTGTACATTGGCCTGCCGTAAAGCATTTTCAATTTAAGAAATGTAGAACTTTAATTTCTGAAAAGAGTCTGTGACTCTGGAAAGATCTAAAAACCACTGCTTCACAGATATGTATGAATCTTTCTTTGCTGGAGGCTGAGTCACTGAAAATGATATTTATGAGTGATTTACTTAATAGAAATGAGGGGTCCATCTTTACATATAAAAGAAAAACAAACCATATATTTAAAAAAAAGGAAAAAGAAAAAACTATTGGATGGGCTGTGCGAGGTGGCTCACGCCTGTCACCTCAGCACCTGGGGAGTACAGGGGAGGTGGACCACGAGGTCAGGAGTTCCAGACCAGCCTGGCCAACATGGTGAAACCCTGTCTCTCCTAAAGATACAAAAAAATTTGCCTGGGCCTGGTGGCGTGCACCTGTAATCCCAGCTACTCAGGAGGCTGAGGCAGGAGAATCACAGGAACCTGGGAGGCAAAAGCTGCAGTGAGCCAAGGTTATGCCATGGCACTCCAGCCTGCGTGATAGGGCAAGAGTGCATCTGAATAAATAAATAAATAAACCTGTTGGTTAACTTGTATTATCTATTAACCAACCTTCAGAACTCTAACAAATAGCTTGGAGTTTTAATAACCAGACATGTAATTAATTGGAGATTGTTTTCAAGTTGAAATTGCAGTGTTTGCTCCATTTTAAGATGCGTAGCTTCACGGCTGTTTTGCCTCCACTGATCTTGAGGGTGAGCTTCAATTATACTCTGCCACGGACGAGAATGTGTACATAAATTCTAACCTGTAACACCACCTGGCAATTGGCATATATCTACGTTTTTGTAGATGTATAAAAATATGTTTATATTACCGAATATGCAATTCTTAAAGACTGTTAAAATTCAGCATAGTCTCATCTGAAAATTAGTGTCTCATAAGGGAATTTTAAGAATTCTATATTGTGTTAACAAATTTTAGAGACAATGTATTTTCCTGATATGTGATTTCTTGGTATTGGAAATATTTGAGTTTCTTTGAATGGAAATTAGTTTATCTTTATGATGTGCTTTGAAAATTTTTCCTCATTACAGAATGATATAAACAGTCATTTATCATTTTTCTTTTAATATTTTTATGTATATTATATTTGGATATTTTAGTGATAGATTTCTGCCCCCGTTCACTCCCCATTTTCCCACATCTCTCCTTCATACCGATATATTATGATACTTGAGTTTCTTTCTAGATTTTCTAAATGAACTTTTAATGCTTGAAGTGTACTAATACCTTGTAGGAATGCTAATTTTATTAGTTTAGACAAAATGTGAATTTGTTATAAAATGTAGAAAATATTTGTAAACAACTAAAACTTAGCCATTTAAGAAACAGTGACGTCAGTTAACTAAAAAGATTTTGTTTGAAATACAGATGATGGTGGATACACTCCTGATCTCAAGATGAGTTATTCTAGGGGACTCATTCCAGTTAAAAGAGGTCCATCTTCAAGAAGTGGAGGTCCTCCTCCGAAAAAATCTGCTCCTTCTGCTGTGGCAAGAAGCAATAGTTGGATGGGAAGCCAAGGTAAATGCTGCCTGACAGAAAGACCGTAGTTTTTGTATGACTAAAAATGAGCCGTTTTACCTGAATGCTTAGCTTTAAGTTCATTGAACAAAAGAGAAGTGACACATACGTGAGCATAATTACTGATTGATAGCTTTTATTATAGTTTCTATCTCACTAGGTACATTTCAGATTTATGTTGAAGAAATACTTGAGCTTCTCATTGCAGATCAAAGAAGTGATTAGAGTGAGGCCAACATTCCTTTTAATCCTGTGTTGGCTAGAAAATTCCCCTTAATTTTTCTAAAAGTTCCTAGCAGTATTCTTTGATGGTAGGCTTCTTGATCTAATTAACTCTTCCATTTCCTAAGTCCCCTGGTGTCCCATTCTAAAAATTGCTTGTTCGGTGACTTTGCTGGGTTGGAGTCTTGCTCTTACTAGGTGAGAGTGCACTATGTGAGACGACGGCTTACTGTAGCCTCAAATTTGTGAGATGACGGCTTACTATAGCCTCAAATTCCTGGGCTCAAGCAATTCTGCTGTTTCAGCCTCCCGAGTTTGTGCAACTACAGGCATGCAGCAGCACACCTAGCTACATTTTTTTCCCTATGTTTTTGTAGAGAGAGGATCTGACTACATTGTCAAAACTGATGTTAAAGCCTGGGGCTCAAGCGGTCCAGCTGCCTCAGCCTTCCACACTCACTCACAGTGTGAGCCGCTAAGCCTGGCCATCCAGCTTCTGAGACCTCAGTAATGCGTATGTGCAAGGCATACTCACTGCTTGCATGAAGATTCAAAAGAACTACAAGAGCATTTAGCAGACAAGGAGTCATTGGGCTTAAATATGATTTAAAAATAAATTTAAGGCTCGAGAGGTAGACACGTAGGAGTCCAAAATTCTTAAATTAAGTGGATATCACAGAAATGCAGAGTTGTGAAATATAGGTGTATGTAAATCAGTAATTGAGATTGTACCGGGATGTTTAAACATTAACACAAGATCCTTAGTGTAAGATTTGAAATTATTTGAGGAGAGAATTTAGAACTCAGCAACATGAGGTGAGCGGTAGGGTTGAATGCAAGTAATACTTTTGAGAAGAATTGTAAGACTGCAGACTGAACAGAAGAAAATAAGACAATAAATAAAAGTTCTTAGCAAGGAAGTTTAAGCAGAGCAAATTAAAATTCTTTCTTAGTCCTCCATCCGCATACGGAGGAAGTTAAAAACTGCCATTTTCAATTTTACATTTCATACGTAGAGTATCGGTGAAGGGAGGTATTTATTGGCTTCAGGATACCCAAGCCAACACATTTCCATTGGAAAATTAGCCAGTGAAGGTATCATATGTGAAACACTGACCGCTAAGGAATAGCAAGTGAAGAATATATTAGAGGAGAAACTTTCTATTTTGAAACAGCAACAATGTTGTAATGACCCCTTGCATAGCATTGCTTTCTTTGCAGTAAAAGCAAATCTTGACCATCATTAGAAAATCTTCACTAATACATTTTAATTTGTCAACATTTAAGATAGAGCCAACCAGTTAAAGAACTTTTATGTAAACATTTAGCATATAGTCATTTAAAGGTAGCTGTATTTATGTGTCTGTGAGATGGACTGAATGATATTGGAAAATCTACCTTCTTTGGCTGAGAAAGAACAATGTATGTAAACTTTAAAATCAGTGAAGAGTTTGATGGTTTTACGTGTTTTCCCTGTGTCACTCACAGTCATCAGTAATTTATATGGAAAGGAAAATAATAACTAAGTAGTTATTAACCATTACAAATGAACTTTTACCTAAGCATTAATGTTTGCCTTCAGCTTCATTAGAAGAACTGGCCTTGTGGGAGCCATGGGATTATCCAAAGCCATGAGAAATATTCACAGTGTCATGTCTGTCTAGTAATTTAGGAAACAAAGAATGGAGTCATAGAAGAAATAATTTTAAAAAGTTGTTTGAGAGAAGAGAAAATAGCGTTTCAGATTTGGTGTTCTTTACGTAATGTTCCATCATTTGAATGTTAAAGGTCCCATGTCACAAAGAAGAGAGAATTATGGAGTTCCTCCACGCAGAGCGACAATATCTTCCTGGAGAAATGATCGCATGTCAACAAGACATGATGGTTATGCAACTAACGATGGGTAAAGGAAAAATTAAAAAGCACAGTTGATTTTTTTTTCCTGTGGTGATGAAATTCACATAACAAAATTAAATATTATAAGGTGAACAGTTAGGTGGTGTTTGATACATTCTGTGCCATGCAACAACTACCTCCATCGAGTTCCAGAACATTTTCATCACTCCAAATTGAAACTCCTACTACCAGTTAAGCAGTCCCTCCCATTTTCTCCTTTTCCTCAGCTGCTAGATAACACCAGTCAGTGTTCTGCCTCTGAACTTACCTGTTGTGGGTATTTAATGTTAATGTGCTCAAACACTACATGACTTTTTGTATTTGTCTCCTCTCCTTTTGCATGATGTCCTGAAGGTTCATTTACATCATAGCACTTCACTCCTTCCACAAGCTATTAACCCATTATTTTATCTGCGTTGTTTCCACCCGAGTATTTCTACGCACCAATATTTGTTTGAGTGTGCTTACTCGGTTCTGGGTGTATATGAGTGGAATTGCATGGTCCTATGATAATGATGTTTGTTTTCTTGAGGAACCACCACATTTCTCCATAGTAGCTGCATCATTTTCCGTTCCAACCTAGCATTGTATCAGCAATCCAATTTATCTACATCCTCTCAAACACTTGTTATTTCCTGCTGTTTGAAATTTATTGCCATTCAAATGTGTGTTTGAAATATGATATCCCATTTTCGATTTGAAATGCATTTTCTGCACCCATTAACTCATCATGCACATGTATCCTAGAACTTAAAGTATAATGAAACAAAAAGAAATGCATTTTCTGAATCGCTGAATATGAGTATCAGTCCCGTGTGCTTTTTGGGCATTTGCCGATTTTATTTGGAGAAATATCTGTTTAGATGTTTGGCCTTTTAATTTTGTTTAAGTTGTAAGTTAGTCATGTATTGGATACTAGAAGTTGAAAATTTAAAATTTGTTGCTTAAACTTATGCACACAGAAATCATCCAAGTTGCCAAGAAACGAGGGATTATGCTCCACCATCTAGAGGCTATGCATACCGTGATAATGGTCATTCTAATCGGGATGAACATTCCTCTAGAGGATATAGGTACTGTAACTTTTTCTGAATTTGTCAAATAGATTTCTTAAATTGCTCATTCCAACTAACGTTCTATCAGGGCTCCAATTTATCTACATCCTCTCAAACACTTGTTATTTCCTGCTTTTGAAAATTTATTGCCCTTCCAGTGTGTGCGTATGAAATATGATATCTCATTTTGGATTTGAAATGCATTTTCTGCACCCATTAACTCATCATGCACATGGACCCTAGAACTTAAAGTATAATTAAAAAAAAAAGAAATGCGTCTTCTGAATCACTGAATATGAGTATGTGTCCCATGTGCATCTTGGGCATTTGCCCATTTTATTTGGAGAAATATCCATTGAGATGTTTGGCCTTTTAATTTTGTTTAAGTTGTAAGTTAGTCATGTATCGGATACTAGAAGTTGAAAATTTAAAATTTGTTGCTTAAACTTATGCATACAGAAATCATCGAAGTTCCCGAGAAACTAGGGATTATGCTCCACCATCTAGAGGCCATGCATACCGTGATTATGGTCATTCTCGTCGGGATGAAAGTTATTCTAGAGGATACAGGTACTGTAACTTTTTGTGGATTTGTCAAATAGATTTCTTAAATTGTTCATTCCAACTAACATTGTATCAGGGCTCCAATTTATCTGCATCCTCTCCAACACTTGTTATTTCCTGCTTTTGAAAATTTATTGCCATTCATCTGTGTGTGAAATATGATATCTCATTTTGGATTTGAAATGCATTTTCTGCACCCATTAACTCGTCATGCACATGGACCCTAGAACTTAAAGTATAATAAAAAAAAGAAATGCATTTTCTGAATCACTGAATATGAGTATCTGTCCCATGTGCTTTTTGGGCGTTTGCCCATTTTATTTGGAGAAATATCTATTTAGATGTTTGGCCTTTTAATTTTGTTTAAGTTGTAAGTTAGTCATATATCGGATACTACAAGTTGAAAATTTAAAATTTGTTGCTTAAACTTATGCATACAGAAATCGTCGAAGTTCCCGAGAAACTAGGGAGTATGCTCCACCATCTAGAGGCCATGGATACCGTGATTATGGTCATTCTCGTCGACATGAAAGTTATTCTAGAGGATATAGGTACTGTAATTTTTCTGGATTTGTCAAATAGATTTCTTAAATTGTTCATTCCAACTAACATTGTATCAGGGCTCCAATTTATCTACATCCTCTCAAACACTTGTTATTTCCTGCTTTTGAAAATCTATTGCCATTCATCTGTGTGTGTGAAATATGATATCTCATTTTGGATTTGAAATGCATTTTCTGCACCCATTAACTCATCATGCACATGTATGCTAGAACTTAAAGTATAATAAAACAAAAAGAAATGCATTTTCTGAATCACTGAATATGAGTATCTGTCACTTGTCCTTTTTGGGCATTTGCCTATTTTATTTGGAGAAATACCTATTTAGATGTTTGGCCTTTTAATTTAAAGTTGTAAGTTAGTCATGTATTCGATACTAGAAGATGAAAATTTAAAATTTGTTGCTTAAACTTATGCACACACAAATCATCCAAGTTCCCGAGAAACTAGGGATTATGCTCCACCATCTAGAGGCTAGGCATACTGAGACTATGGTCATTCTAGGCAGGATGAACATTCCTCTAGAGGATATAGATACTGTAACTTTTTCTGGATTTATCAAATAGATTTCTTAAATTGTTCATTCCAACTAACATTGTATCAGGGCTCCAATTTATCTACATCCTCTCAAACACTTGTTATTTCCTGCTTTTGAAAATTTTTTGCCCTTCCAGTGTGTGTGTGTGAAGTGTGGATGCTCCTTTTTTATTTGAAATGCATTTCCTGAATCACTGATTATGAGTATCTGTTTCATGTGCTTTTTGGGCATTTGGGCATTTTGGGCATTTGGGCTCTGTGGGCATTTTATTTAGATGTTTGGTAATTTAATTGTGTTTAAGTTGTAATGTAGTTATGTTTTGGATACTAGAAGGTGACAATTTAAAATTCCTTGCTTCAACTCGTGCACGCAGAAATCATCCAAGTTCCCGAGAAACCAGGGATTATGCTCCACCACATAGAGACTATGCATACCGTGATTATGGTCATTCTAGTTGGGATGAACATTCCTCTAGAGGATATAGGTACTAACATGTTATCTGGATTTATCAAATGGATTTCTTAAATTGTTCATTCTGAAATTGAAAAGACTTTTTTTTTTTCAATTTAGTTATCATGATGGCTACGGTGAGGCCCTTGGTAGAGATCATTCTGAACATCTAAGTGGAAGTTCTTATAGAGATGCACTTCAGAGATACGGTAAGGGTCCAGGATGGATTTGTAAATTACAGAATTTTATTTAATAGACCAGATTGTTATTTTAATGAAATTCTAAGGAAAATTGTAAAGGCCATATGCAACATGTTTAAATATTGAGTATTCTTAACAGTATAAAGCCTAGGGAATGATATGAAGGTGAGAACTTCAGTTAACGTTAAGAAAATGTGACTGAGCATTTACTTTAGAATTAAGTTTGTTAAGCTGCAAAATACTACTCTTACACTTCTCTTAAATAAAACCTTCTGACTATTAAAGCCTTGATTAATATCCTGTCAACAAAGGCGGAGGAAAGCAGATATTTCCAAATAGTACTTTAACTAATTCATGCTTTAATGATAGCAGTAAAAATGTTTAAATGTAGTCCCACATATTATTTTACCAACCCTGCAGGGACCTCTCATGGTGCACCACCTGCAAGAGGGCCTCGGATGTCTTATGGTGGAAGCACCTGCCACGCATATAGTAATACACGAGATAGATATGGCAGAAGTTGGGAGAGTTACTCGAGCTGTGGTGATTTTCATTATTGTGATCGTGAGCATGTTTGCAGAAAAGACCAAAGGAATCCGCCTTCTCTGGGTAGGGTGCTCCCTGATCCTCGTGAAGCATGTGGTAGCTCAAGTTATGTGGCATCTATAGTAGATGGTGGGGAGAGTCGATCTGAAAAAGGAGACTCGAGCAGATATTAAAGCAAGCATTGAAAATAATAGTTATTGCATACCAATCCTTGTTTGCAAATCAAAAATTGAAATGTTATTTCTGCATTGTTACCTGCATATTACTGAAAGAAACATGTTGGTTTTGTGGAGAGAGGTAGATACTAACTTCCTCCATGAATTTTTTGAGGTATTCAAAGGAAAAGGAATTGTTTTCAAAGTAATTTCATACTTGTTGATGCTATTTGAAAAGTGTTTAGATGTAATATCTACCTTAAAATTTTCACAATAAAATTTGACATGTACTGCAAGATGCCTGGTGTTATTGGTTAGCCGCGCATGCTTAAAGCAAATTCAATAGGAGAGTAAATTGTGTAGTCTGTTGTACATTTTCCTTTGTTTCTTTGAACATAGGTACAAAATTAGGGATGTGTTATGTCGCCCTTGCAAGCTGCTCAAGTTTTGTAATTAGGCTGTTTCTCTTTAAAAACTAACAAGGTTAAAATGTTGGAGAAGTCTTCAGAAAGACTACAAAACTGTCTGCCTCACCATAAAACGTTTATTTTTTAGAGGAATAGTACAGGTCAAAGGAAATCATTAGATGTATTGATACTAAAGTTTAAGACATCCGGAACATTCTATGTGAAGCATTCTGTGACTGAAGAGGATAACGGTAATGAAAACTTTTTTTTTCACCTAAATCAGAAGTGAACCAGCTAAGTTTCTCAGGTGCGTAGCATAATGAATTTAAATGTTCGTAGTTTAAATAGTGGAAAGTAAGTGTTTTGTCTTGTGAGGTTCCCACGTTAATTTTTTCTTGAATATTTTGACAGTGGATGTTGTAAGTAATGGTTTAGTAATATGTTCTTACAGATAGGAATAATCTAGAGTGGTTGGGATAGTATCAGTTTTTTTTTGAGGTGAAGTGTATAGCTTTGTCGCCGAAGCTGGGGTGCAGTGGCTCTGTCTTGGCTTATGGCAACCGCTGCCTTCTGGATCCAAGCTATTCTCCTGCCTCAGCATCCTGAGTAACTGGTATTAGATATGTGTGCCGCACAGCGGGGCCAATTTTTGTATTTTTAGTGCAGACAGCGTTTCACCTTGTTTGCCAGGCTGTTCTTAAAATCCTGATCCACCCTCCTCAGACTCCCGAAGTGCTAAGATTATAGGCGTGTGCCACCACTGTCAGCCTATCGTATTTAATTGATAATATGAATGGAAACGCTTTAAACCTCATACTTAGGGGAAAGTGAAGTGTATAAAACATAAACAACAGCATAAAGTTTCCGACGGGATTGCTTAAAGTTTTAAGACATCACTGAATGATACAAATATTTAGACCGAAATAACTAAATGAATTAATTTTCCTGATTATACAAACTAAAGAAATGAAATACATCAAGTTCCAGAAGTTTTGCAGTCCATAATTCTTACAATTGACAGACTAATCTGCAAGGAGGAAGTATTTTCTTGAAAAATTTTGACAGAATCATCAATTTTTACAGGGTAAGGGTACAAATAATTTTAAAGGGAGAAGTTACCAACTTTGATTTTCAAGTGAGTTATTCATGTTATGGAGTGTTTTCATTCACCTGTAGCATTGTGAGGATGAAGTGAAAAGATAAATCTCCCGAGTCTTGTGTATCTTACTGTCCATGTGTGATGGCTCAGGTCTCTAATTCTAACACTTGGGGAGGCCGAGGCTTGCAGAGCACTTTAGGACAGGAGTTGAAGACCAGGCTGGCCAACACCATGAAACCCCATCTCTACCAAAAATACAAAAATTAGCCGGGCATGGTGGTGCCTGCCTGTAGTACGTTGCAGTTAATTGGGAGGCTCAGGCAGGACAGTGGTTTGAACCTGGGAGCCTGATGCTGCGGTGAGCCGATATTGCACCATGCACTCTAGCCTGGGTGACAGAGTGCGACTCCAACACAAAAATAATTATATCAATCAACAAATATATACATAATAAATAGGGTATCCTTCAGTTCAAGCACTTACCGATTCTTTTTTCTTTTTTAGAGACAAGGTCTCACACTGTTGTCCAGCCTAGACTGCAGTGGCACCATCATAGCTCACTGCAGCCTTGAACACGGGCTTGAAATGTGCAAGCCTTCCATTTCAGCCTCCCAAGTAGCTGGAATTACAGACACACACCAACCACCGTGCCCAGCTTTTGTGTTTGTGTGTGTGTGGTAGGGACAATGCTTTGGATATATTGTTCAGGCTGGTCTCAAACTCCCAGACCGAAATAATCCTCCTTCCCTGGCTTCCCAAAGTGTTGTGATTATAGCCGTGAGCCACTGAGTCTGGCATATCTTTTCTCATTATGAGCGACATTCCACCTCACTGAGTCTGGCGTATCTTTTCTTGGTATCAGCGACATTCCACCTTCGCTCTATTAATTATTTTGAGATGTACAATAAATCATTATTAAGTGTAGTCATCCTGTGCCACTGAACACTAGATATTATTCCTTCTAAGCAAGTATAATTTAACCCACCCCCATCCCCTCTTTGATCCCTCGCTTACCAGTTCACATTACTTGTATCAAAATATCACATGTATGCCAAAAGTATCTACAACTGTTAGGTACAAATTTTCATTCCCTTCCTCCTTCCCTCCCTTCCTTTCTTCCTTCCTGTCTTTCTTTCTTTTTGTCTCTGTATCTTTTTCTCTCACTGATTTTTTTTTTTTTAAGAAAGAATCCTGCCCTGTCACCTAGGCTGGAGTGCAGTGGCGTGATCTCAGCTCACTGCTCCCTCCTTATCACGGGTTCAAGCAATTGTCCAGTCACACTCTCCTAAGCAACTGCAACTGCAGTCATATGACACCAATCCTGTATGTGTGTGTGTGTGTGTGTGTGTGTGTGTGTGTGTGTGTATTTCTATTTTCAGTAGAGACCAGGTTTCACAATATTTGCTCGGGCTGGTCTTGAACTCTTGTCCTCTAGTGATCCACTCACCTCATCCTCTGAGAATGCTGGGATCCAGGCGTGAGCCACAATGCCCACCCAGTTTTATGCATTTGTCTCTTCAGTAATCTCTCCTATTTTATTATTTTATTCTCTTTTTATTTCTGAGACAGAGTCTCGCTGTGCTGCCCAGGCTGGAGCACAGTGGTGTGATCTCACTTTACTGCAAACTCCATCACCAGGATTCAATGGATTCTCCTGCATCAGCCTTCCAAGTAGCTGGGATAATATCCATGGGCCACCAAGCTTGGCTAGCTTTGGTATGATAGTAGACATGGCATCTTGCCATGTCTAATTTCATATCTATTTTAAAGCTCAGTTTATAAGCAATACTGACTTCCTGGAATGTTTTCTGTTTACAAAACTATAGTACTATTATTTAGCCTCCTCAGATAAAATATGATAACACACAAAACATACACACACAGACAAAGACACGGTCAGTGATCAAAAAATCAGTGTAGGCCACGACCTAAAATGGAACGTGAACTGCTGCAGTTGCCTAGAATTAAAGCAGACCAGAGTTGACCCATACCAGGCTGAGAGATGTGAACAGAGGCTTTCAAACAACTCTATCAGATACATGTTAGATTATTCTCCAGCCATAGCGAAGGGGCATTAAAGATCTGTTGTGTTTAGAAGAGTCTCGATGATTTGACTTTTCCAGGGTATTAGCATTCATGATGTTGGCCTTTACAGCTCTCTGCAATTAAGTCAGTAGACAACTCAGTTTTTCTAGGAGTCTAAAGTGCTTTTCAGAATTATCTAAAGCTTAGTGGCTTAAACAATAATTATAATTTACTAACTGTCAGTCTCTGCAATCCCCCGCAGTCACTCAGCCAAATGATTGTGGTTCTGGGGCACTCAGGAGGACGCAATCTAGTGATGGCCAAGGTTGGGGACGTTGGCGGGTGTCTTCTCATCTCCCTGGTGCCATGGCTAGCGTGACTCAAATAGCAGGGGCTGGACTGCTGAGATGCTCAGACATCTTGTTCTGTTTCTTTGAGTCTCTCCATTGGATGTCCCTTCTGCATAGTGTCATCAGGGTGTTAGACTTCGTGATGTACTGGTCGGGGGCTCCTAAGGGGGATGAGAGCAGGAGAGTTAGGCAGAGCTGTGTCACCTTTTCTAAACTAGGCCAGAGGTGGTCCAGTATCCAGAAAATGCTTGCACTGTTTTCTATTCATTACAAGCAAGTACTGTGTTCAGTCCCATCAGGAATATTTTCAAATGGGTGTGAGAAGAATTTCAAAGTGTGTTTTAGACCACTACAGTGGTCATGCCTAATAATTCCTTATTTTTACAAGTGCTCGATGGGTTTTTCCCAAAATAATAGCAGATACAGACTTTTAAACTTGAAACCTATGTATCATAGCTCTGAACATTTGGCTATATGTTGAAATAACTTGAGCAAAAATTGATTTTGAAATGAGAGTTATAAATAAAATACATGAGATAAAGTCATAAATATATGGATGAAATGCTTATAAAGAGATCAGCCTTAAAAATGTCAATAGGTCTAATATGCCACTATTTTACTATTTCTATGGATATTACTTGGATAAGAGGACAAGGACTCAGGGGTGTGCTGCTCTATCTCTTCACCTTGAAACTGCAGCTGGGGCACCAGGAGTAGCAGTTCCCGCTAACACCATGTGGTGAGGACAAGGAGTCCATTCAGGTTAAGGAGGGTGTGAGCATATTGTGATCTGGAAGAGAGATACACCTGGTACAGCAACCAGGATCAAGGTCCCTGGCACATGTTGAAATCCCCCATGCCCAGCTGTGGCAGAGTGAATCCCTCAGCTGGTGCTGTGCCTCCAGGTATGTTCTGAAAGCAGCTGC
This sequence comes from Homo sapiens, assembly GCF_000001405.40. Lineage (NCBI taxonomy): Eukaryota > Metazoa > Chordata > Mammalia > Primates > Hominidae > Homo > Homo sapiens. The sequence goes on from NC_000024.10 coordinate 21,553,838, forward strand.
CTGCGCTGAGAAGGATCCCCTCATTCCCTTGTCATGTGGGAGGGTGAGGCTTGTGGCCCCCGCTCTGTCTGTTCCCGCTCTTTGCCTTCCCATTATCCCACTGCTGGGTAAGGTGGCAGGACCCCGGAATGTAGAAGGGCCCTGGGTTGTTGACAGTGCCTGTGGGTGGCCATGTACTAGGAGGAGAGTCCTCACTGAGCCTCCCACGAGCTTGGAGGCGGGGAAGGAACAGTCCTGGGGCACTGGCTGTTCCAGAGTCCAGGGGTCTGTCCCAGAGAAGGCCAGGGGGAGGTTGTAAGCCTGTGGATCTGCAATCTAGGTGGAAGACCTGTATCTGCCATGGCTGACATCATCAGGGCATGACACTCACTGGGTGGAGAGCTGGGCTTATGCATTTTACCCCTGTCCTGAAGAGACCCTGCATGCCTGGTTCTCCTGGGAACAGTGATCCTAGGGACCCCCCAGTCTGGGTCCACTCATGACCATAAGCTTAGGATCTTGTGTGCCTTGCTTCCTGTCTGCCCAGGTGAGGCATCCTGGAGAGGGTGCATGGGGCAAAGCTCGTGTGCGCACACCCAGCACTGGGACGGGGTGTCACCGGCCAGTTAGGCTCTCCTGGCCCTCTCCTGAGCTCCCACCTGGCTAAGTGGCAAGTGTCCCATCTACCTGAACCCACAGCCCAGGTTTCTCTTCCACCTACTGACCCATGCCCTCTTAGGGAGAATGCCACCCTCCCTGGAGACTCAGGCCCTGCCGGACCCACATGCTGTCCTCTCTCATGGGCCGGAGACTCTGGTGCACAGGGATTCCCGAATAGCGAATCCCAAAGCCCTGCAGGTTTCACTGATTCTTACCTGAATGCCCCAGCCGAACACACAGGTAAACACAGGCAGCTACTAGGTTTTATATCCCTCTGGGTGTCATTTCAGGTTTATGACATCTCCTCTAGGTAGCTTGTGCCAGCCACCCTTTTCCTCCTCCCTCTGCCATTTGTGAGAACCATGAGGACTCTTTGCTTCTCCCTAGCATGCAGACTTCACGGGTCCTGAAGTTGGATTGCCAAACCCAGCGGCACCCTGCTTGCCAGCTTAAGAGCTGAGTTTGAGGCACACCTGTGGGCAGGAGTGTCGGCCCTCCCAAAACCAAGGTACACAAAGGTACACAGGCACACGTGTGCACATGCGTGCATCAGCTTAGACACACAGGCTGGACACGCAAACTGGAATGTGCCCATACCCACACTGGTACGAGGGAAACTGGGTGTCTACACCAATACTCAGGTGAGGCTTACTGCTCAGCCACGTACCCTCCCTGGACACACACAGAAGATCCCCTGCCATTTAATTGATCATCTGCAGTAGGATTTATTTTTACTTTTATACTTTTTTAACTTACCAAAGTATGTTGCATTCTTTTCCCCATCATGAAAAAGACTTTGATACAAGTAAAGAGGAAAAGCACTTTTTATAATGAAATCTTTTATCTGCATCTATATTATTAAGGCATTTAAAAAACTTTATGTCTATTTTTTAATGTCATAGGAAATGTCTTGAGAGCCGGGGAAGCATGAATGAGGATGGCAGAGGGGATAAAGCATGTCAGGGGAGCCTGGGGTCATTGAAACAAAACGTGACAGGGCTGGGATAGCCATTCTAGAAGTACGTAGACCTAGGCACGCCCTGCGTGCACTCTAGTTGAGCCCAAACTGAGCCCCAGGTAGTAGCAGGCCTCAAGGCGTAGAAGGGAGCCAGAGAAGGATGATGAGACAGCTATCCCTTGAGCCTTGCTTCTCACCCATTGACCTTTGCCACTTCTGCCTCAGGCACTTCAGGTTCCCCAATTCTGAAATATGAGTGTTACAGTTCCCTGATGGGCCTTTCTGCCCCAGTCCAGGGATGGCCTGGGATTTCTCACTGCAGGCTCCTCCCTGAGCCTTGAGTTCTCCATGTGTGTCACAGCTGCAGGACCCACAGGCCTTTGAGCCCCCAGCTGTGGGCTGCTTACCTGGCCTCCTCTCTGTTCCCTCTCTGAGGACCTAATCCTTAGGTAGTGCTGCAGGGGATTGAGACGGAAGCCCTGACTGATGATCTGGAGGAGTGGGGAAAGTGGTCTGTGAAAGGTCAGGTCATAGTTCAAAGCCAGTTCCCAAGATGCCAAGGAAAGACCAGCAAGGTCCTTTCCCATGACGCCCCACAGCGGCCCCTGCCTCAGCAGTCCTGGCTGACCCTGAGTGGTCACAGTCAGCCAACTAGCTGAGGAAGCTCAGGTAGGCTGTGTCCTTACTGAAGGTGGGGCTTCTTCTGATGACTCTAGAACCACTGGACTACACTAGAGCCAGTGGCCCTGCATCCTGGAACAAGAGTCAAAAAGGCTCATGCCAGGCCTAGCGTCCCACACTCCACCCTCTACCACACCAGGAGGCACTCCTTACCAAGGATGTGAACACGATATTCCTTAATGATCACTTTATTGTGGAAATAAAGGTTGTGACAAAAGGAACACTTCATCCTGCTGCCGGTACCTGGGATGGCTGAGTTCCTCCACCTGCCATGCCAAGAAGAAGAGGACAGACTCAAAGGATCCATTTCATCTATCTGGGCTGAGGGCCTGCTGACTGGGGTGCAGCATGTGTTGCCCCTTCCCAGCTCTACCACTCAGAACCCCTGTGCCCCAGGAGGACCTCAACCTGAGCAAGACCCTGGACCCGTCCCGCAGACCCCGGCTCCTCAGGCTGAGCTTCAAATCCATCCTGTAGCTTACTTAGCAGGACTTCCTCATGGTTTCTGAACTCTGCCGACATGTAGGTGTGCTGCACAATCTGCCTCTGGTCAAGGAACCTCCAGATGATTGGGTGGGCATGCCAGGAAACACCCCACAACTTTGCAAGAGCTGGGAGAGTGTTTGGCAGGGCTATCCCAAAACCTTTGACCTGGTACCCTGCATTGGTGGTCCTGTCTCTGTCCAGTGTTGGGGGCATGGTAGTGGTTGTGGTGGTCTTGTGGGAGGGTGGAGGGAGGCCCGGAAAGCTCCTGCCAACAAGGAGCGGGCGGCACAAGTAGGCAGGGGATTGGGTGTGGGGTGCTGTTGTGTGAGGCGGCTGTATCTTCAGAGTTGCTGAGCTGCACATGGTCATTGTGTGCTGGATGCTGGACTGGCTCTGCTGAGGGTGTCCAGGTGTGCAGTCCCCTCTTCTCCTGGTCTTCCTGAGGGGTGGGCGTGTTCACTTGAGGGAGCTGCTGTGGATAGAGGGGACTGCAGGGCTGTGCCTGTTGCTCCCCATGGGGCTTCCATGTGTGTAATGGAGGTGTTTGTGCAACGGAGGTTGTATATGCTCAGCTCTTTGGGTGCAGTACAGGCAGAAGGAAGAAAGCGTATCTGGGGAGTTTGTGCCTGCCTTGCAGAGGACAGCAGCCCAGTGCACCGTGAACCCAAGTCTTAAGCACCTTGTGTTTCTGGGGTAAGGCTGCTGGCCACAGACATGGGCAGCCAGGGTGGTTTCTATGGCTGGCATGGGCTTGCAGACTCCCCTTCCTCCAAGGACTTTCTCATGGAAACATGCCCTTCAAGTTTCTGCTGTGAGTGAAGGGTCCATGGGGCTCCTATTCTCCCTTGTGAGTGCTGAGCTTGGCTCCCAGTCCCTACCATGTGCTCTCAGGGCACCCCCAAGCAAGCTGCCCTCCTATCTGCAGGACCCTGGCCTCAGCTCCCTTCGCTATCCCCCATCCCCTGCCTCCTGGTTGTCCCCGTGTGCCCCTTGCTTGGCTCCCCTGCTCCCCACCCCAAGAAGCCAGATGCCCACCCCCTGCTGCCAGTCATTCCGAATGGGCAGCTGCAAAGATGTGCCTCTGGCCCAGAAGCTGGAGATGCCCTGGCTGATGGCCCCTGTGCCATCCAGGCTGGGAAGGCACCTCTGCCAAAGCTTACATCTCAGCTGTGGGCAGGCCATGTGGACTGGTTATTCATGGAACTCTGCTTCAAGTGAAGGGCCTCCAGCGAGTCTGTGGCTGGCTGGGGTGTGCTGGATCCAGGGCCAGGCTGTCTGCTGGTCCTCCACCAGGCTCCATGTCAGGCTTCTCCTCAACCACCACCTGGACCATGCCATGATGTTGTCCACCACCAGCACCTTCTCCTCCCCCAAGAGTGCCTTCGAACTCTGCGCCCTGGCTGCCCTCTCCTGCAGAGCCTCCAATTTGAATGGGGTGCCTCCTTTGGAGGTCCCACTGACCATGACCTGCACTGTCCACTCACTGTCCACTCCACGTCCAGATAAGTATATCCTTATAGTATACTTAAAAAAAAAAAACCTTAAAAGCATTCCCATTTCTCCACATCCTCTCCAACATCTGTTGTTTTCTGACTTTTTAATGATTGCCATTCTAACTGACATGAGATGGTATCTCTTTGTGGTTGCAAGGTCATGGATGAAGCTGAAAACCATCATACTAAGCACACTATCACAAGGACAGAAAACCAAGCACCGCATGTTCTCACTCATAAGTAGGAGTTGAACAATAAGAACACAGGGACACAGGGTGGGGAACACCACACATGGGGTGGTTGGTGGGATGCGGGGCTGGGGAGGGATAGCATTAGGAGAAATGCCTAATGTAAATGATAAGTTGATGTGTGCAGCAAACCAACATGGCACATGTATCCCTATGTAACAAACCTGTACGTTGTGAACATGTACCCTAGAACTTAAAGTATAATAAAAAAAAAAAAAAAGAAAAAAAACTGAAAAGGAAAAATAGCTCTACAAACCCAAATACTAAATAGAAAATTAGTATCAGTGGCCTAGAATCTAACTTGCATTAAGATATCACAAACATTCAGCAGATAGTTTCTAAATGCCACAGTAAGCCTGGCAGTCTGCAAGAAGCTCAGAAAAACATGGTCCTTCTGAGAGTGCAGTTGTTACAGGCACAGAGATAAATGAGGAATAATAAGTGTGATAACTGCTGTAATAGGCAAATACAGGAAATAGAAACCACATTTTCCTCATTTATGAAACACAAGTTTAAAAACCCTTTTGAAGTTCAAATGAGAATATTTGCTGTTACTGTATAAACTGTCAAGTAGCTATACAAATTTTTTTTTCTCACAGTGATTTATATCATGTGTGTATTACATGGTTAGTGAAGCATTCTCATAAAGGAAACCTTGAAATGTGTCCGCTGTTCAGTTTTTGTTTTTCAACTGTTTCAGTCATTGTTATTTATCATATTTTCCCTAGGGGATTTTGAATTTTAAAGAGAATATGTAAAAACTGAAAAGAGAAGGACAATGAAATTGCAAGACTACAGTCATAATAATTTCCTTGATTAATTCAATTGTTTATAGAGCAAGATTAGATTATATTTCTCCCAAAAGATTCTTGGAGAAATTCTAAGATGATGCACTCATTGTTAGAAATTGCCAAGTTGTTGCTTAAGTTAGACTTAACACTTTTTAAGCCTAAAGATACAGTAATAGTTATGTATTTAAACAGGGAAAATAGGATTTTTAGTGCTACTTTCTCTCACCTGGAATAATTATAACTTTTAAATTGGTCTTTATGTCAATTTAAATTTTTCATTATTCTACGTCATGTTTTGGATAAGCCATGTATTTTTAAATTTATTTTCATCCTTTTGGTACTTCTGTGAGAAACTGCAGACTTAAATTCATATCACAACTATGTTTCAGTTTTACTTCTCTGTTCCTAAAGGTTCACAAAAATAAAGAACTCCACTTACGCTTGTATCTTTCAGCAACCTTATTTCAGAAAACGGTGCATATTACTGCAGAAATCACATGGACAGGTCCAAAGCGGGGAGGAGGAGGATGAGGAGGAAGAGGAGGAGGAGGAGGTGAAGAAGAAGAAGAAGAGGAAGAAGAAGTAGAAGAAGAAGGAGGAGGAGGAGGAAGCGGCAAGCTTTTAAGTCTATACATTAGTATCACTGTGTCAGAAACTCAGTAGTCATAGTGAAATAAAAACAATGATCACAGTCAGTCAATTCCATCTCATACCTAGACTGAAATATGAAACTTCTAAAGAAAAGAAAGTTAAGAACTTTGGGCATATCAAAATGTTCCTATACAGATAAAATTATTGGTGACTTTTTCTCACTAGAAAACATACAATTCCATGCTTTGTATATGTGTAAATAAAAATATTTTTATTTCCATCAGTTATGATGTGCAAGCAAGTAATAAAGTGAAAGTACACTAATAAAATGATATAAGGAAATTTCTCTGTGTCAAAAAATTCCATTGAGGCCATTAATTTTACAAAAACCACGGAGAATGCATGGTGAAACTACACTATACAGTACTTTTTAGTATTTTACTTGCATTTTAAATAATCAACAAAGGAAAGGAAATTCTTAATCATTATTTATTACCAATAACATTATTCTACTCGAATAATCCTTTTGAGATTAAGTATTTTAAATAAAACTTTAAAAACAAATTGTATTGACTGATACCAGCTTTCAATGAAATAACACTTCTGTATTTGTAGTCATGTGAAGTATAAATTTCTCCTCACAGTGGATCTTTTATAACACCAGTTTTATTGATTTCTCTGATAGAAACCCTGTGATAGCTCATGCATGGCTTTACTGTAACCATACATTACATGACTCCAGAGAGTAGCCTTCAAATAGATGGAAAAATTATATTTGTGACAAAATTCTAAGAAAGGGAATGGTAAAATGGGAGAATAATTTCTAAATTTCTAACTGTTCATCAGTGGATTTGGATATATTTAGATATAGACAAATATTAGCACACTGCAAGTTTGCACATGTGTATATAAATTTATATGAGATACCCATAATGTGTGGGTTGTGTAATATTTTAATCCTCAATTTTACATGTGGGAAATTTGGTAAGAGTTTATCTTTATCAAATAATCAATTTGAAGTACTATACTCAATTTGATGTAAAACCAACAAAATCTCTGTCAACATTCACTTTAATTGATCCAATAATGTTAACTGATGATAACTTCATTCTCTTTGTCCCCTGTTGGCAGCCTGAAAGTTGATTCTCACTCTAATTCATCACTCAAGGTGCCATCCACAAGACACTAACTTTGCTGTGGATTGTGACTTCTCACGCCAACACTTTTTTCCTGTAACAGTCCTACCTTTGTATATTTAAAGAATTTGTACATGGCTAAAAAAAAATAAAAGTGCTGTGAAATGTCAGGCCATGCTGTGAAATTTTCCATTGTTTCTATATCTCTGGTTGAGCTTTCATGTTATAGAGAACAAGAAAAACAATTCAGTATGTTTCTTAGTATCCAGTCCAATGCACCCTTTCTTATTAATAGCAAACCCGTCTATTCAAGGCACTGACATCTAAAGACAGCTAGATATATCAAAATCTCTTCTCATAAAAAACCTTTATATTAATCACTGTTGCCCAGATCTGGACTCTGACTGTGAAATCCTCCGGTGGAAATTGCTGTAATGGCTCACACTATGGGAATGACTATTTTTCTGCATAATTATTGTTGTCAACTTAGTGAAGAATATCACATTAGATGGTAGCTCTTAGATACATAAACCCTAGTGATTAATTTTTAATGTCCAGCATTTATGATATTGCACAAGTAAAAATCTTTGATAAATGATTAGCTGAGCAATGACTTAAATAACAGCAGTTCAAACATTAATTTACTTACTAGAAGTGCCATACATCATTAACTCCTGGTGAAAACAAAGTTGGGAAATTTCAAGTGCTGAATTGGTTACTAAATTATGTATTTCATGGTATTGTATAAAACTATCCTTGCCGTGTATGATGCCTCACCTGCAAGGATGCAACTTTAGCATATATATATATATATATATATATATATATATATATATATATATATATATATATAGTCTTTGGTTCTTAATATCTCTCTACATTTGCCTTCAAAACCTCAACACAAAAACACCCATGTATTTGACATGTACTTGACTTTCAGCTGACTTGACTACCAGTTATTAGGGTTTAAGTAAACAAAGATTTCAAAATTTGTTGACCAAATATGAGAAATCACACTCTCACCATAAGAAATAATTCTTCTTAAGTGCCACTGCAAATGCAAAATTGAAAGAAGAAATGGAGTCTAACATATTGCAATATTCTAAAATTTAAAATTTCCTCTTTGAGATCTGGTGGTTCATGCCTGGAATCACAGCTCTTTGGGAGGCTGAGAAGGGAGAATTGCTTCAAACCCAGAGTTGGAGACTAGCACAGGCAACATAGCAAGACCAATCTCTACAAAGGTAACTAATTAATTAATTAATTAAATTGGGCATAATGGCACACACCTGTTTTTCTATTTACTCAGGAGTTCAAGGTTCCAGTGAGCTGTGATTGCACACTGCATTTCAGCCTGGGCCATGGGGCAAGACTTTGTTTCTACATAATAATTCAATATAACAAAACAAAGTCAAAATAAAAACACTTTCAGGTGTTCTTTGGAAGTTTGTATAATTGCTCCAAAGCATAGACATTGTTTAAAGTTGAGCAGTTCATGGGGAATTGGCAGTGAACATTGTTTGTATTGTTTTCCAAAAATTAGGATAATTATATTAGAATATTATATGTTAATATCTAATAACCTTTCGTACAATAAGTATTGACAAATGACAAGCTATTGTGTTTATAGATATTTCCTTCAAAATAGTCATAGTTTAATTGGAGAATAAAGAGAGCAGCAATAATTGTAATGTACTCTGACAAGTGTTAAAATAGACACAATTTAGTAACTTGGAGAGGAATGAAGTTCTTAACGGGGTTTGCAGCGGTTTGGGGAACATTCTGAGGGCAGGAACAATTGATTGGATCAGTAAGGATTCGAATTTGCATGAAGAATGTTTGGAAGAAAAACATTGTAGAAAAAAAGAAACATTCTTTTTGTCAATGAAAGAAGTACTAACAATGCATATGAGGCCATCTGACCAATTCTTAGACCATACTAGCTCACTAAATATTTCTTGAATGAATCCATGAAAGGAAGCTATTGGGAAAACGATTCTGGAAGGGATTTTCAAAATCCTATAAAGGAAAGTTAAATACCCTGGACTTTACAATTTTGCCTGCTTTTCTTTATGTTCTTATTATGTCTACTACTTCATAAGCTCTGTTTTATTTTTTGGTCTTTTCACAAATATCATGCATGAATTGTTCCTGATACTACTTCACTCTTAATCTCTTCATACTATATTTCTCTCTGATACTCCTTTGTTTGAGGTCCTGGGTTTGTATGCCCACAGATAACATCACTCACCTCTCCCTGGCACTATTCTGTTATAGAGAGGCCTGGCCCCTGAGAGGCACGGTTCCTAGGCTCACATAAAATTGACTTTCTATTTTAGTTCAGTTAATGGGTGACACTGCAGAGATTAGAGAACAAGATGAGAGAAGCCAGTTTGTTTCCCTTTCCTTCTCAGTAAGAGATATGTTTCCACAGTGATTCCACGGCCTTCAGGACATGCTCTCTGTGTTTCCATTTTCTATGTAGTGACCCTAATCCTAGACTGGTTCTTCTAATGCTGTCTTCTCCAATTGTCTTCTCTAAAGGATTTGGGTACTATTTTTGGAGTTTTAAATTTAAAAAATATTGATATGGAAGGGGGGCAGGGACGTGTCTGGTAGAGGAGGGTGTGGTTCTTGGCTAGGGCTCCACCAACAGGACGATGCTCACTGACCTAGGATAAACTAAATTAACACCATGTAACATATGCCCAATGGGGATTCAGGAGCTGTAAAAATTCACCCCTGGATGCTGCCTGGGGTCGGAGCCCCAAAACCTGTTCTCATTTCTTGCCCAGTAATGGGGGATAAGGAACATTTTCCTGTTTCAATATGAATCTGTTTCCAGTGCAGTATGTTTTCTGCAATACTGCAGTGTTACTTCATTGTATATATTTAACTAAATAAGTTACAAACTGTAACTAATATGAGAAGAAAATAAATGGTGGAGAATAAGGAAGAAAAATGAAACATTGTGTTTAACAATGAATGTAAACAATTATAAGTATGATTAATCAATATGTCAGACCAGCCAGGCAGGTGCTTAACGTCATGAGGGGGCACTGCTTCATCATCTTGGGATTTCATTCTGGGACAGAGAGTGTGAGCAGCAATAAGGTCCGATAAGGAAAAGGATACAATCTGGTGAGGTGTGGATTGTGTCCCACACCTGCACCTGAAAAAAAGGTGAAGACAGATGACACAGAAGTTGCATCCACCTGCATCCCCACATTCCGTTGATTGCACAAGCAGCCCACACCATGGCCCTGTGTTCAAGTGGGTATTCTCCAACCTGCCATTAACATATGGAGTGCAAACTGGGGCTTTGCACTTTGAGGGTTTTCATACCCAGGGCCAAATGGGAGTGGGATGGATTGATGTGGGTGGGATGTGGCCTCCACGCTTGCCTCTTCATTTTCTGACTTTGTGTTCCTCATTGAATTAGGTTTTCCTTGGTCTGGTTCACCATCTTCCACACAAAACATTTCCCAGTTCAAGAAGGATGACCCTCGTGGGAATTCATTGCATGAGTGTTTCCTTCTTAACACTCATGTTTTAGATGGCTGGACAGCCTTGATAGTTTTAAAATGTAAATTCCCACACAGCACCAACAGGGAAACTACTGATCTCCCACTTGTATTGTAGGGTGGCATGATTCCTTTAGGATGAGAAGTAGGCAACAGTGTCTAACTGTTGCCTGGTTATCTAGGCTCTGTTTCATTTCATGTGCACATCCTTTCTCATTGTCGCAGGGCTCCTTCGTTGGGCTGTTGCTGGATAGGACTGCCTCTTGCCACAGATCTTTTGGCTTCCAGGGATTTCAGAGAGGAAACGGGACTTCAGATAGACTGGCTGAACTCCAGGTTGTGGGTCCTGGTTGTGTGTTGGGGGCTGAGGATGTTTGCACTTTGCAGAAGGATTTTTGGTGCTCTGACAAGAATCATTGAACATTGCTTGGACTCCAGCACAAAGCAGCCCATTCTCATAGGTGAGCATTGATTTTTCTTTGCTTTCCTGGGGTGTCCACATTGCCCATCAATAGCTTTACTGGACACCTTTTTCAGGCTTGCCATCGCCACAGACGGCCTCTTAGACACTGTCACAAGCTCATCTGCCCACAAGCGAGGCCAGATCAAGGTGAGAGAACACTGCTCAACCTTGCATTTGCCTATGTCGTGGTTCCTGCCTTTCCCAGATAGGCCCTGTGAGGCCAAGGATGAAGGGAGGCAGTGAGGTAAAGTGATGAGCCATTTTTATTCTCTGAGGTCTTAGGTATGATTCCATCACATAAAGAACCCTCAACTACTCACCAGACTCTATTCCAATCCCCGTCGGACCTGATTCTTGCACACAGACTCTTTCAGGAGTGGAGACAGAAGAGCCATCTCCAGCGACCACCTCACAGTCTCGAAATACCTCCTCCTCCACCGGGACCTGACCAGCGAGATGACCCAGAGGGTCAATAAGGTCAAGACTTTTAGGGTCCCACAGTAGGTTATTGCAGACAGCCTTTTTCTCAATACCAGTCTAGCTCTGCCTGTACCACTTTTGTCTGCTTAGGCAGGCTGACAGTTTTGACAGCCAGGCACCCAAGCCTGCCTCATGAATGCGCCTGTGATAGCCTCAAAGCACCAGTCCTGAGCAGGGAGCTATTGCTAGCTTCACAGTGAATGCCACCATTGCCTAGTGACAAGTCCCTGTGGCTTGACAGAGAAGGAGAACTCCCTGGAGGTGTGTTGGCGATGGAATATTGCCTGTCTTGTCTCAGAGATCCACAGGACAGTCCCATGAATCTAGGAGTGGGTAGATGTGAGTCAGCCTGAAGAAACATCAAGCAGAGCCGCAGGAATGAACTTCAAAATCCCTAAGGATCCATAAGGATCTACAGGATGCCTCAGGCCTAATTAGACATTGTAAGGGTGAGTATTTTTGAAACTTATCCCACGGTGATTACTAGATACAGCCCGCCTGTGTTCCCTGGGGTTGCTCTCTCCCATGTGGGGCTTCCTGAAGAGCCATTCAGCCTCAGGAGCTGCTGGGCTGTGTTTCTGTTGGAGTGTTGCAAGTGTTGGATGTCTGCCTGACTGTGTGGCTTTGTGTATTTGCAGGTGTATGTGTGGGTATGCATGTCTGTAAGCGGAGTCTGCTTATAGTAGAGTGGCTAACACATTGCAGCTCTTCTTTTTTTTCGGTAACTCAACATTCTGGTCGCCTGTGTGTCTGTGGCTCTGCTTGGACTGTGGGTCTCTGTGTTCTTTATTCTTCTGTGGATCGTGAATCTGCAGTGAATTGAGAGTCTGGTTGAGACCCGCCGGAGGCCAAACTACCTCCCCTGCCAAAAAAGAAAAAGGTACTCTTCTGGAAAGAAGAGGGGCACGTCATACCCAGGAATTGACGCCTCCCAGTGTTTCATTGTCCTGTGGCCAACCCAGGGAGGGACACCAGCAGTCTTGTCCACAGGACCCCTTGAATTTACCTCCAATTCGGTTCCCAGCCAAGCACGTGCTTAATGTCATTAGGGGACACTCCTCCATTGTCTTGGGATTTCATTCTGAAACAGAGAGTGTGAGCAGCCATAAGTTCACATAGGGGTGAGCATACAATCTGGTGAGGGGTGGACGGGGTCCTGCAACTTCACCTGCAAAAAAGGTGAAGACAGAGGACATGGACAGTGCTTCCAAATGCATCTCTGCATTCCCTTAATTGCACCAGCAGTGTGCACCATGACCCTGTGTTCACCTGGGAGTACTCCAACGTGCAGGGAACATTTGGTGTGCAAACTGGGGCCATCCTGGCAAACTCCTGATTTGAGGGCTTTCATTCCCATAGCCAAATGGGAGTGAGATGCATTGACGCTGGGTGGGATGTAGCCTCCACACTTGCCTCTTCCTTTCCTGTCTTCCATGATCCCTGTTGGCCTAGGGTTTCCTGGGTCTGGCTAAGGTCTTACACACTAAACATTTCCCCATTCATGGAGGATGACCCTCACTGGAATTCATTGCATGTTTCCTTCTAAACACTGTCACATTTTAATGACTGGGCTCCTTTGATACATTTAAAACCATAAATCAGCATTACAGATGCCATAAAGGAAACTCTTTTTCTCCCACTTCTGTTGGAGGGCTGCATGATTCCTGTAGGATGAGAAGCAGGCAGGCATGCCTGGCTTTTGTTTGGTAATCTAAGCTGTGTTTCATTGTGTCTGCATGTCCTTTCTCATTGTGGAGGAAGTATTTCATTGGACTGTGGCTGGATGCAACTGCCTCTCTCCACAGATCTCTTGGCTGCCAGGGATTTCAGGGAGCAAAAGGGAAGTTGGGTAGGCTGGCTGCACTCCAGGGTGTGGGTCCTGGTCTCTTTGTGGGGACTGGATTTGTTTGCACTTTGCAAGAGGATTTGGGTCCTCTGACAGGAATCTTTGATCATTGCTTGGACTCCAGCACAAGTCAGCTCATTCTCTCAGGTGAGTTTTGATTTTTCTTTGCTCTGCATGGCAGAGCTGCATGGCACAAGGCAGCTCATTCTCTGCAGTCCACATTCACTGTGGGTCCACAGTGACTTTCAACAACACTACTGGACACGCTTTTCAGGCTTGCAATGGCAACAAATGGTCTCTGAGACACTGTCTCAACCTCATCTGCACCTGTGAGTGCCCACTTTGAGGTGTGAGAACACTGCTCCACCTTGGACTTTCCTTTGCCATGGTCCCTGCCTTTCCCAGAGAGCTCTTGCAAGGTTCAGAGTGAAGGAAGGAAGTGAGGTAAATGGCCCGGCCAACTTTCGCTGACAATACCTCTGTGGTCTCAGGTATGATTCTGTCAACCAAAGACCCCTGAACAACCCACCAGACTATATTCCAAACCCCATAGGAACCAATTCTTGCACACAGCCTCTTTTGGGAATGGAGTCAGAAGAGCAGCATCCAGCAATCACCTCACAGTCTTGAAACTCCTCCAGCTGGACCAGGCCACAAAAATGGCCCGACGGAGCCCTAAGGTTGAGACTTACAGGGTCCCATAGTGCGTTATCGCAGAAAGCCTTTCTCCAGATACCAGGCTGGCTCTGCCTGTAGCATTTTCCTCTGCTTAGGAAGGCTCACAGATCTGATATTTGGGCGCCTGTGCCTGCCTTCCGAATGCACATGCGCTCTTCTCAAGCTACCAGGCCTGAGCTGTGAGCTTTGTCTAGTGTTCACAGTGAATGCCATTGTTGCATAGCAGCAAGTCCCTGTGGCTTGGTGGAGAAGGAGACCTCCGTGGAGGTGCGTAGGCGGTGGACTCTGGCTGTTTTCTCTGTGGGATCACGGGATAGTCCCATGATCCTAGGAGAGGGCAGACGTGAGCCAGCCTGACAAAAAGTCAAGCAAAGCCCCAGGAATAAACAGTGAAATTCGTAAGGATCCAAGTATATCTGCAGGATGCATCAGGCCTGCCTAGACGTTGTAGGAGTGAGTCCTTTAGAAACTTGCTCCAATGTGATTTCTAGGAACAGACCACCTGTGTACCCCATGGTTGCTCTCTCCATGGTGGGGCTTTCTGCAGAACCATGCAGCCTCAGAAGCTGTCTGGCTGTGTGATTCTGTGGGATTGTTGTGAGTGTCGGATGTCTGCTTATGTGTGTGGCTTTGCCTTTGTGTGTGTGTGTGTGTGTGTGTGTGTGTATTAGTGAAGTCTGCTTAAATGAATGTGGCTAACACACTGTAGTGCATCCTTTGTTTGAGTCTCCCAATCTTTTGGTGGCCTATCTATGTGGCTCTGCCTGGGCTGTGTGGCTCTGTGTTCTTTATTTTTTTGTGGATAAAGAATCCTCAGTGAATTGGGAGGCTGGCTGTGACCTGACAGGGTCCAAATCACCTACCCCTGCAATAAAAGCCACTCCTCTTCACACAAGAATAGATATCTCCCGCCATGTTTCATTTTCCTGTGGCCAAGCCCAAGAGAGACACTATCCAGTCCTGTCTGCAGGGCCCCTTGAATTTACCTAGAATTCTCTTCCCAGCTGAGCAGGTGCTTCAAGTTGTGAGGGGGCACTCCTCCATCATCTTGGGATGTCATCCTGGGACATAGAGTGTGAGCAGCAATAAGATCAGACAGGGGTGAGGATAAAATCTGGCTAGGGGTGGATGGGGTCATGGAACTTCACCCACACACACAAAAAAAAATGAATGCAGATGACACAGAAAGTGCTTCCAACTCCATACCCACATTCACTTAATTGCGCAAGCAGACCACACCATGGCTCGGTGTTCAGGTGGGAGTACTCCAACATTCAAGGAACATTTGGAGTGTCGGTTTGGGCTATCCTGGCAAACTCTGGATTTCAGGGATTTCATACCCAGAGACAAATGGAAATGGTATGGATTAATGCTGGATGGGATGGGGCTTCTGCAAGCCCTTCTCATTGTGAAGGGGCTCTTTCATTGGGCTGTTGCTGGATGGGACTGCCTCTTGCCACAGATTATTTTGCTGTCAGGGATTTCAAAGAGCAAAAGGGACTTTGGGTAGGCTGGCTGCACTCCATGTTTCAGGTGGTCCTTTTCTCATTGTGTGGGCTGAGGTTGTCTGCACTTTGCAGGAGGCTATTGGGTCCTCTGACAGGAATCATTGAACACTGCTTCAACTCCAGCACAAGGCAGCTTGTTCTCTCAGCTGAGTCTTGGATTTTTCCGTGCTTTCTTCAGGAATCCACGTGCCTCTCAACAGAACTACTGGACATAGTTTTCAGGCTTGCCATCACCACAGATGGACTCTGAGATACTGTCTCAACCTCATCTACACCCATGAGAGGTCAGTGCAAGATGTGAGAACACTGCTCCATCTTGGACTTGCCTTTGTTGTGGTTCCTGCCTTCCCCAGAGAGCTCCTGCAAGGCCGAGGATGAAGGGAGGCAGTGAAGTCAAGAGCCTGTCCGTCTTTTATAGACACCTGCCTCTGGGGTTTCAGGTATGATTCTATCACCCAAAGAACCCTCAAAAATACACCAGAATATATTCCAAACTTCACGGGACCTGATTCTGGAATACAGCCTCTTTCGGAGAAAGAGTGAGAAATGCAGTTTCCAGGGACCACCTCATGGTTTTGAAGCACATCCATCTCCAGGGGGACCTGACCACGGAGAAAGCCTGAACGTGCTTTGAGGTTGAGACTCTTAGGGTCCCACAGTGGGTTTTTGCAGACAGCCTTTTTCCCAATACCAGGCTGTCTCTGCCTGTACCATTTTTCTCTGTATAGGTAGGCTGACAGCTCTGATAGTCAGGCAGTTGAGCCTGCCTCATGAATGGGAATGAGCATGTCTCAGGGCATCATGCCTGATTGTGAGCTCTGGCTGGTGTCACAATGAATGTCACCATTGCTTAGACAAAAGTCCCTGTGGCTGGGTGGAGAAGGAGAACTCCATGGAGGTTCGTCGGTGGTGGACTGTCACTTGTCTTTTCTGTGGGATCCACGGGATAGTCTGATGAATCTAGGAGATGGCAGAGGTGAGCCAACCAAAAAAAAAAAAAAAAAGTTCAAGCACAGCCCCAAGAAAAAACTGCAAAATCCCTAAGGATCCAAAAGTATCTGCAGGATTTGTCAGTCCTGCCTAGACGTTGTAGGGGTAAGTCTTTTTGTAACTTGCCCCACTGTTATTTCTAGGTACAGCCCACCTGTGTTCACTGGAGTTGCTCTCTCTCGGGTAGGACTTCCTGCAGAACCACACAGCTTCAGGATCTGCCGCGTTGCATGTTTCTGTTACAGTGTTGTGACTCTTGGATGTCTGCATGCGTTTTTGTGGCATTTGTGTGTGGGGGGGTGTGTATGTATGTGTGCACCTGTAAGTAGAGTCTACTTAAAGAAATGTGGCTAACACACTACATGGCTTTATTGTTTTGAGTGTCCTAACATTCTGCTGGCCTATATGTGTGACTCTGCTTGGGCTGCAGGGTTCTATGTTTTTTTCTTTTCTCTTTTTTTTTCTGTGGATCATAAATCCTCAGTGAATTGGGAGGGGGTCCAAGAACCTCTGGCATCCTAATCAGCTAACACTGCAAAAAAAGAAAAAGCCATAACAAAAAACAAACATCTCCCAGTGTTTCATTGTCTTGCAGCCAACCCAAGGACAGACACTAGCAGTACTGTCCACAGGGCCCCTTGAACTTACCTCAAATTCAGTTCCCAGCCAAGCAGGTGCTTCAAGTCATGAGGGGGCACTCCATCATCCTGGTATTTCATCCTGGGACATAGAGTGTGAGCAGCAATAAGGTCAGATAATGGTGAGGATACAACCTGGTGAGGGATGGATTGGGTTCCTCAACTTTACCTGGAAGAGAAATGAAGACAGATGACACAGAAGGTGATTCCGACTCCATCCCTGCATTTCCTTAATTGTACAAGCAGTCCACACCATGGCCCAGTGTTCAGGTGGTGAGGAAAGATGCCACCTCTCTTATTGTCTCATAAATCAGAAAAGGAAAGAGGAAGTAAAAACTAAAGAAAGGCAGAAATGAGATCAATAGTCAGAAAGCTGGCACCACACTCCAGGCCTGGTACTTAAAAATCAACACTGACCTAACCGCTTGTATTATCCATAGATTCCAGACATTGTATGAGGAAGAATTGTCAAAGTTTCTGTTCTGTTCTGTCCTGATTACTGATCCATGCAGCCCAGCCACATACTGATGCTTGCTCAATTGATCATGACACTTTCACATGGATCCCCTAGATTTGTAAGCTTTAAAATCTGCAGGGATCTCTGTCTCAGGGAGCTCAGTTTTTGAGACACAAGTCTGCCAATGCTCCTAGCCAAATAAAGCCACTTCCTTCTTTAACCCGGTGTCTGAATGGTATTGTCCATGGCTGCTCCTGCTACATTTTTCAGTTCCTTGACTGGAAGCAAGGTGATTAGCATAAGGTTGAGGCAGCCCATTAGGTGGCTTAGGTCTGCCCTGTGGAGCATCCTTGTGGAGGACTCCATCCAGCTTGAGTGACATGGATCCTGAGAGAGCTCCAGGGTAGGCAATAGACCCAGTGGAATGCCTCACTAGAGCAGTACACAGCAGGCTCCCACAAAGGATTGATGTAGTGGCTGTACACCAGGAAGGAACTGGTACTTGGAGTCTGGACATCTAGAACATGGTATGGCTGGTCTTGGGAACTTGGCTACTCCAAGTGGAAGCATGGCCTGATACCCACGGCATGCCTTTATTGGAACTTTGGTTTAGGTTTTGCTTTTGACTTGGATTGAGTTACTTGATTTAGTTTGAATTAGAGTGTGTGACCTTTACCCTTTCCTTCTTGCAGTGTGACTATTGTCTTTTCTTGGGAGAAAAAAGAATCAGACACGAAGTAAGTCCACCCTGCTAGGAACTATGCTGAAAAATTTCAAGAAGAGATTTAAAGGAAACTATGGAGTTACTATGACACCAGGGAAACTTAGAACTTTGTGTGAGATAGACAGGCAAGCATTAGAAGTGGGTTGGCCATCAGAAGGAAGCCTAGATAGGTCCCTTGTTTCAAAGGAATTGCACAAGATAATCTGTAAACCAGGGCACCCAGATCAGTTCCCATACATAGACACTTGGTTATAGCTGGTTTTAGACCCCCTGCACAGTGGTTAAGAGGACAGGCAGCAGCAGCAGCAGTGCTAGTGGCAATGGGACAGATAGCCAATGAAGGATCCCACTCCACCCGCCAAAGGAAGTCGGCTCCTAAAGTTCTGTCTGACCCAATATGAGAAGACTCATGGCAGGAAATGGCACCAACTATGCCCCTGGCATCCTGGAAGGGTTAAAGAAGGGAGCTCAGAAGGCCAGAAATGTTAAAAAAGTGTCTGAGGTCATTCAAGGAAAAGAAGGGAGTCCAGCACAATTTCATGAAAGACTTTGAGGCCTATTGTATGTATACACCCTTTGATCTTGAAAGCCCTGAAAATCAATGCATGATTAACACGGCTTTAGGTCATCAAAGCACAGGAGACATTATAAGAAAACTTCAGAAACAGGCTAGGTTTGAGGGCATAAACACATCCCTGTTATTGGAAATAGCCAATCAGGGTTTGTGAATAGAGATGCAGCAGGCCATAGAGAAAGCTGCAAAGAAAGCAAGCACCAAGCCAGGTGAAAGGCTGATCTCCTAGTCACAGCTATTAGAGGGGTCCACCCAAAGGGCCAAGGAAGGGGAGGCCCTGAAAAAAAAAAAACACCCAGTTTGACCAACCACACCTGCAACATAACCAGTGTGCATACTGTAAAGAAATAGGGCATTGGAAAGACAAGTGCCCCCAGTTAAAAGAGAAACAAAATGACTCTGAGCCAGAGGTCTCAAGCAAGGATGAAGTGGCCTTGTTTAATTTGGCAGAAGAGTTACTGGACTGAGGGGAACTGGGCTCAGGTGCTCCCTATGAGCCCATGGTCAGTATGAGAGTCAGGGGAAAAGACATTGAGTTTCTTGTCAATACTGGTGCAGAACATTCAGTAGTAACCACCCCGATCACCCCTTTATCCAAAAAGACTATTGATATATTCAGAGCCACAGGAGTCTCAGAAAAACAAGTTTTCTGCTTGCCCCAGACTTGTACTGTAGGGGGGCATGAATCACTATTCATTATGGCCCTTATGGTACACTGGGAGGAGGAATGGAGACTTTTCTTAACTAAGTCAGGCAAAGAGATAGGACCAGCTCTGGCTAAGTGGTAGCCCAGGGTGTGGGCAGAAGATAAACCTCTAGGACTGGCAGTCAACCAAGCCACCATACTCATAGAAGTTAATTTTGGGGGTCCAGCTGGTCAGGCAAAGACAGTGCCCAGTCCCCAGACAAGTTATTGAAGGTAGCCAGGTTCATCTCAAATGCCTCAGAGCCTTTGGAATTATAGTCCCTTGTCAGTCGCCATGGAACACTCCCCTCCTGCCTGTTCCTAAGCCAGGGACTGAGGACTACAGGCAAGTACAGGACTTGTGCTTGGTCAGTCACACTACAGTGACTTTACATCCAACAGTACCTAACCCATACACATTGTTGGGTTATTGTCAGCTGAGGACAGGTGGTTCACTTGCCTAGACCTGAAGGACACCTTATTTAGCATCAGACTATCTCCTGAGAGCCAGAAACTGTTTGCCTTCCAGTGGGAAGAAAGATCCGGGGTTAGGTGTCACCACTCAGTACACTTGAATCCTGCTTCTCCAAGGGTTTAAGCACTCACCCACCATCTTCAGGAGAGGTGCTGGCTTGAGACCTCCAAAAGTTCCCCACCAAAGACCTATGCTGCGTTTTGCTCCAGTACGTGGATGATCTTCTGCATGCTCACCCCATGGCAGTTGGGTGTGCCAGAGGGACAGAGGCCCTCCTTCAGTAGCTGCAGAAGTGTGGATATAAGGTATCAAAGAAGAAAGCTCAAATCTGAAGACAGCAGGTAAGCTACCTGGGATTGAATATCCAACAGGGGGAACACAGCTTGGGGTCAGAAAGAAAGCAAGTCATCTGCAGCCTATTGGAGCCTAAGACCAGAAGGCAAGTGAGAAAATTCTTAGGAGCTGTGGGGGTTGTGCAGACTGTGGATTGCAAACTTTGCAGTACTAGTGAAGCTTCTGTATGGGTCTAAAAAGGGGAAGACCAGGAAGCTTTTGAATGGGGGTCCCAACAAGAGCAAGCCTTTTATGAGTTAAAAGAGAAACTCATGTCAGCTCCAGCCCTGGTTCTGCCTGATCTGACAAAGCCATTTACACCATATGTGTCAGGGAGAGAAAAAATGGCAGTTGGGGTTTTGACCCAGAATGTGGGGTCCTGGCTGAGGCCAGTGGCCTACCTCTCTAAAAAACTAGACAGGGTTTCTAAAGGTTGGTCCTCTTGTTTGAGGGTATTAGCAGCAACTGCCCTGAAAGCACAAGAAGCAGATAAACTAACTCTTGGGCAAAACATGAACATAAAGGCCCCACATGCTGTGGTGACTTTACTGAATACCAAAGGATATCATTGGCTAATGAATGCTAGACTAAGCAAGTACAAAGCTTTCTCTGTGAAAATCCCCACACAATCAATGAAGTTTGTAACAACCTGAATTTTGCCACCTTGCTCCCTGTATAAGAAAGCCCTGTTGAGCATAACTGTGTAGAGGTGTTGAACTCAGCTTACTTTAGCAAGCCTGACGTGGGCATCAGTGGACTGGGAGGTATATGTGGGTGGGAGCAGCTTTGTCAACCCACAAGGAGTGAGGTATGCAGGATATGGAGTGGTAACCCTGGACACTGTCATTGAGGCCAAACTATTGCCACAGAGTACTTCAGCCCAGAAAGCCAAGATCACTGCTTTAATTTGGGTGTGAAAACTCAGTGAAGGTAAGACTAAAAACATTTACACTGACTCTTGGTATGTTTTCTCAACCCTCCAAGTACATGGAGCATTATATAAAGAAAAGGGGCTGTTAATCTCTGGAGGAAAGGACAGAAATCATCAGCAATAAATCTTGTAATTATTAGAAGCAGTATGGAAACCCCAAAATGTGTCAGTCATGCATTTCAGGGGACACCAGCAAGCTTCTACCATGGTTGCTTTAGGGAACTCCAGAGCTGACTCAGAGGCTCAAAAAGCAGCCTCCACCCCTACCAGGCATTGGTCTCAACCCCCCTGCTTCCTCAGGCACCTGACCTTGTACCTACTTGTTGTAAAGAAGAGAAAGACTTCTTTCAGGCAGGAGAGCAAACAGCAAAAGAGGGATGGATCCAGTTACCAGACAGAAGAATAGCCATGCCACAGCTGCTAGGAGGCACAATTGTACTGGCTGTGCATGAACCTACCCCTCTAGTTCAGGAATCACTTAAAAAGTTGTTAGGCTGGTACTTCTACATATCATATTTGTCAGCCCTTTCCAAAACGGTGGCATGGTGATGTATTATATGCTGACAACAAAATGTGAGGGAGGGTGGAGCAATTCTGCCCAGCATAGAAGTTTATGGAGGAGCCCCCTTTGACGATTTCCAGGTGAACTTCACAGAGATGCCAAATTGTGGAGGTAACACATATTTACTAGTTCTTGTGTGTACATACTCTGAGCTGGTAGAGGCTTATCCAACACAAACTGAAAAACCTTGTGAAGTAACATGTGTTCTTCTTTGAGATCTTATTCCTAGATTTGGACTGCCCCTACGAATTGGTTCAGATAAGTGGACAGTGTTTATGACTGACTTGGTGCAGAAGACAGCAAAGGTATTGGGGATCACGTGGAAACCACATGCAACCTACTGACCTCAGAGTTCCAGAAAGGTGGAGCGAATTAATCAAACTGTTATAAATAGCTGAGGGAAAGTGTTTCCAGAAACAGGATTGAAATGGTTACAGACTCTCCGTATGGTATTCTTTAAGATAAGATGTACTCCTTCTAAAAGAACAGGATATTCCCCTTATGAAATATTATATCATAGACCCACTCCCATATTATAGGGACTCCCAGGCACTCTTCGATAGTTAGGTGAAGTTAAGTTACAGCAACAGCTACAAGCTCTAGGAAAAATTACACAAACAATTTCAGGCTGGGAAAATGAAAGGGGTCCTATTAGTTTATTCTCCCCAGTTCACAACTTCTCCCCCAGGTGATCACATGTGGATCAAGGACTGGAATGCAGCCCCCTACATCCATGGTGTAAGGGACCCCAGACTGTCATTTTGACCACTCCCACCTGGTGAAGGTAGAAGGAATCCCATCCTGGATCCATCACCGTCGTGTAACACCTGCAGTGCCTGAGACCTGGGAGGTAAGACAAAGGCCAGACAACCACTGCAAAGTGACGCTCAGAAAGACGACAAGCCCTGCTCCAGTCACACTTTTAAGCTGATTGGTCTACACATGATTGAATCATGAGAAAACTCATCGTGGGACTTACTCTCCTTAAAATTTGGACTTGTATAATAAAGACTGATTATACAATGCTTACTGTGGATGTCTTCCACACTACACGTTTCCCAGTTCATGGAAGAGGATCCTCAAAGAATCCATTGCATGAGTGTTTCCTTCTAAACACTGTCATGTTCCCAAAATGGAGGACTGTTCCCTGTGTATTCATCATGTTACTGAGGTATGGAAACAAGTTAAAACAATCTTTCGGTTTATAGATATTTTGAATGCCTAGGAACTTTAAAAGAAAATTGCCTGTATAACTTCACTCAGATGTGCTATAACACATCTGAATCTCTTATGAACACAGTCTTTGAAATAAGATTAAGAACTCTCCCTTTTCTAAGTGTTACAAGTAAAATAATAGCTAAAACAGAAGAAAAATGAATCCCCAAACACAAAATCTTAAATTCTGATGCTTGTGTCACCATTAATATTAACCATTAATGATAAGGATGTGGCTGTCTTGACTGAGAAAAAAGTTATCCAGCAGAGAATAAGTATATTTGAGTATATTTGCCATGAGTTAGGCCAATGTGATAAAGCATGTAATTACTGGTCCTGTGTCATTTTGGCTACCTGGAAAAATAATGAAAAATATCCAGTATGGCTTCAGAAAGGAAAGGGTGATTCCTCTTGCACAAGCAGCCACAGTAACACCTTAGAACCAATAATCACCAGTCCCCTAGACCCCCCATTGGAAATAGGGAAAACATGTAACTCTTGGGATCCATGTAGCTGGACAGGATCCTTCAGTAAATATTTCAGTCAGACAAGAGGTCAAAATGTATTCTCACAAACCAGGGTTTCAGACCTTCTGTGATGAATTAAATGTGCCCATACCAGAGTTCCCAGGGAAGACAAAGAATTTTTTCCTGCAGTTAGCAGAAAATGTAGTCCATTCCCTCAATGTTTCTTCCTTTTATGTATGTGAGGGAACCACTATGGGAGACAAATGGCCTTAAGAAGCCCAAGAATTAGTGCCTACTGATCCAATTCCCGATATGATTACCATCCAGAAGACCCACACTGGCAACTTCTGGGTCTTAAGAACCTCAATTATTGGGCAGTATTGCATAGCTATAGAAGGAAACAACATCATCCTCCCTGTGGAAAGCTTCACCTGCCTTGGGCAAAACTGTATAACAGCACAGTAAAAACAGCCACATGGTGGGGTTCAAACCACAGTGATAAAAATCTGTTTCATAAATTTCCAAAGTTGCAAACCATCTGGACCCACACAGAGTCTCAGTGGGACTGGACAGCCCATGCTGGACTATGCTGGATATCTGGGCATAGACCCTACACGATGTTACCTGAACAATGGGCAGGTAGTTGTGTTATTGGCACCATTAAACCATCCTTTTTCTAACTGCCCATGAAAACACATGAAATCCTGGACTTCCAAGTCTATGCTTCCTGAGAAAAGAGGAGCATAGCTATAGGCAAATTGAAATATATTGAGTGGCTCCCTAAAAGGATCATACAATACTATGGGCCTGCCACTTGGGCACAAGATGGCTCATGGGGATACTGAAACCCCATTTACATGCTTAACCAAATCATATGGTTACAAACTGTCTTAGAAATAATCACTAATAAAACTGGCAAAGCTTTGAGTCTTTTAGCCTGGCAGGAAACCCAGATGAGAAATGCTGTCTATCAAAATAGATTAGCCCTCGACTACTTGCTAGCAGCTGAAGAAGGGGTCTGTGGAAAATTGAACCTAACCAATTGCTGTCTGCATATAGATCATCAAGAGCAAGTGGTCAAAAATATAGTCAGAGATAGGACACACCTTGCACATGTGCCATCATTTTGGCTACCTGGAAAAAGAATGAAAAATATCAATTGACATTGGTTTGATCCTGGATCAATATTTGGAAAATGGTTTCCAGTGATAGGAAAATTTAAAATTTTTATAGTAGGAAGAAAAATAGTAATAGGAACATGCTTATTTCTCCCCTGCTTGCTACTCATACTCCTTCAAATAATGCGAGCTTTGTTACTGCCATGGTCCCCCAAAATGCTTCAGCACCTGTATATTACGTGAACTACTATAGATCTGTCTTGCAGGAAGACCTAGGAAGGGAGGATGAGAGTGAGAACTCCCACTAATAAGTGAGATTCTCAGAGCGGGGAATAAGGAGGGAGACCACCTCTCTTATTGTCTCATACCTTAAAAAAAGAAAAAGGAATCAAAAACTAAAGAAAGGCAGAGATGAATTCAATTGCCAGGCAGAACATGCACGGCACTCCAGGACTGGCAGTTAAAAATCAACCCCTCACCTAACCGCTTGTATTATCTATAGATTCCAGACACTGTATGAGGAAGCATCGTGAAACTGTTTTGTTCTCTTCTATCCTGATTACCAATAGATGCAGCCTCAGCAACATACCCCATGCTTGCTCAATCAATGATGACCCCTTCACAGGGACCCTCTTAGAGTTGTAAGCCTTTAAAAAGGGTAGAAATCTCTCTGTGGGGAACTTGGTTTTTGAGACAGCTGGCTGATGCTCCCAGCCGAATAAAGTCACTTCTTTCTTTAAGCCAGTGTCTGAAGGGTTTTGTCCATGGCTTATGCTGCTACAATGGGAGTATTCCAATGTACAAGGAACATTTGGAGATTTGGATTGCCAATTGGGGCCATCCTGGCAAACCCCCATATGAGAGCTTTCATACCAGAAGCCAAATGGGAATGAGAGAGATTGATACAATATAGGATGTAACCTCCACACTTGCCTCTTCATATTCTGACTTACCTGTTCCTCATCAGCCTAGGGTTTCCTGGGTCTGGCTCAGTGTCTTCCTCACTAAACATTTCCCTCTTCATGGAAGGTGACTCTCAAAGAATCCATTGCATGAGTGTTTCCTTCTAAACAGTGTCATGTTTTAATGACTGGGCATCTGTGATAATTTTAAAACCATAAGTTCCTGTTACAGCCACCAACAAGGAGACTCTTGCTCTCCAGCTTTTACAAGAGGGCTGCATGATTCCTGTAGGTGGAGAAGTAGGCAGCCATTTCTGGCTTTTGCCTGGTAATCTAGACTCTGTTTCATTCCATCTCCATGTCCTTCCTCATTGTGGAAAGCGTCTTTCACTGGGCTTTTGCTGAGTTGGGCTGCCTCTCACCACAGATTTATTGGCCTCCAGGGATTTCAGGAAGGACAAGGGACTTTGGGTAGGCTGGCTGCAACCCAGGTTGTGGGTATTGGTCTCCTTATGGGGGCTGAGGTTGTTTGCACTTTGCAGGAGGCTTTTGGGTTCTCTGACAGAAATCATTGAACATTGCTAGGACTCCAGAACAAGGCAGCTTGTTTCACTCCTTTCTCTGTGGGAAAGAGAGTTGCTGGGATGCCAGATGAGTTCTTCTCCCCTGTGTGAGACACCCATGGGAGCCATGGGTGGCCTCTGAGGAGAAAAGTCTCCTTATTGCCTTCATGTCTTTATGCTCAAGAGCATAACAGCTCAGCGGCATGCTACAGGTTGCTCAGGGAAATAACACTCCCTTGAAGCAGTGGTGTATAATCAAACATCTTGTCTTCTACTGAAACTCACTCCCACCCATTTCAGTCCTGATAAGTCATTTGTATTATTTCTGTTATTATTTTTTTGTGATGGAGTCTCTCTCTGTCACCCAGGCTGGAGTGCAGTGGTGTGATCTTGGCTCACCACAAGCTCCACTTCCCATGTTCACACCATTCTCCTGCCTCAGCATCCCGAGTAGCTGGGACTACAGGCACCCACCACTGCACCTGGCTAATTTTTTGTATTTTTATCAGAGACAGGTTTTCACCGTGGTCTTGATCTCCTGATCTCATGATCTGCCCACCTCTGCTTCCCAAAGTGCTGGGATTACAGGCGTGAGCCACTGTTCCTGGCTGTTAAAAATCTTACATAGTTTAGACACATGCCTTTGCAAGAGGAAATTCACAGAAACCACCACTGCTATACATCTTATTGAATGACTCACGAGTTCTGCTTCACTGATTAATCATTTTCCTCATCCCTTCCTACCTCTCCCATCTGACCTAAGAACAAAGAGCTTGTAAACCAATAAATTGGGTGGAGGTTGAGAGCTCGGGTCCGTGAGCAAGCCTCCAATTCTCTGGTCCCCTGGACCTGCTTTTTAAACTCTCAATCTTCCTCTTTCTAATTCCATTGTCTCTGCTGGACACAGGGTACCTGCCCAGTGGTGTGGGGCTTGTTTCCTCAACATCTGGTGCCCAACACAGTGCTCCCTATATCTCTACAAATCATCCAGTGAGGGAACACCAGAGCGTAGAAAGTGCAGGATGACTGACAAAGGATGTCCGAGTACCTTTTCCCTTCACGCTCTACAGGTAAGTGGGGCACTCAGAGAATTCCAGGGCAACCTCAGGAAAATATGGGTCAGGCTGGAAACAAGTTTGTTAATTACTTAAGCCTGGTGCAGCAGTTATTGAGCCATAGAGGAGTAATTATGAGTACCAAAAATCTCATATCTTTTTTCCATCTCATAGAAAAGTATTCTCCTTGGTTCCTGGAATACAGAACCATGAATGTAAAAGACTGGGACAAGATCGGACCAGACTTAAAAGGAGCACAACAAGAGGGCCACGATAGTCCCTTCTCCACTTGGTCTGTGTGGTCAGCAATTAAAACAGCACTGGAGCCCTTCCACACTGAGAAGGAGGAGGAGAAGTTTCAGGGTGACATAAAAAAGTTTAATAATCAGGAGTCTGATAATCAGCACAGTCAACCATCACAGTCTAGTTTAAAAAAGGGGGAGAAATGGGAAGGTGTACATACTAACCTCCAAAAACTTATGAAAGAAACAGTTCCCCCTACTGCGCCTTTAGAGGAAGGTGCAGAACAGCCACCTCCACCTCAGCCTTATGAATTTTTGGAAAGGGAGACTGAGACATGGCTTGCCACTCCCATTGTTTCACGGCCTACCATTGACTATGGTAAAGGGAAGCTTCAACAGCCCAACAGCCAATTACGGTGAGGGAATGATCCAGGCTTGTCCACCTGTTAATTATGGGAGAGAAATGCTGTGAGCCAGTCCAAATACAAATTATGGTGCAGGGGCAATTCAGGCATCCATTTGACAGGCACAAGAAATGGGGGATTTGGATGCTTGGCAGTTTCTGGTAATTATTTCTCCAGCTGAGGAGCCCAGAGAACATGCTCGGGCCTGCTGGGAGCCATTTCCTTTTAAAATATTAAAAAGACTTTAAGCAAGCAATTGGACAATATGGGCCAAATTTTTCTTAGGTTCATTCTTCATTATAATTTGTGGCTTATAACAGGCCCTTAATACCTATGGATTGGGAGTCATTAGCTCGATCCACCCTGTCTCCCTCTCAATTTCTCCAATTTAAAACCTGGTGGACAGATGAAGCAACAAGTCAGGCAGGGAGAAATGCTCAGGCCCAACCTCCTATTAATATCACATCTGATCAATTGCTTGGAATTGGGCAGGCATGGGGTACTGTAAATCAACAGATGGTAATGGGTGATGAGTCTGTTGATCAGCTCAGAACTATACACTGAAGATACCAGAAAAAAAATTCATGACCCTGTTACTATTTATCCTTCTTTTAACTCAGTTTGACAGGGTCCAAGGAAGATTTATCCAGATTTTATCACCCCATTTGCAAGAAGCTGCTCAAAAGACTATTTCAAATTCTTGTGCCAGGAAAGTGATCATTCAGCTGCTTGCTTATGAAACTATGAATACAGAATGTCAGGGAGAAATTAGATCTATTAAGGTAAAGGCAGATCTAAATGAGGAAAAAACTGTAAGTGAATATATTACAGCCTGTGATGGCATTGAGGAGCCCTTATATAAGGCCAACCTCCTTTCTCAGGCAATGGCTGGACTAAGGGTAACAAAAAACACATGAGTGTTCCCTGGATCTTGATATAATTGGGGACAGATAGGACATGCAAAAAGAGAGTGTACAAAGAGCCAAAAAAGGCAAAACTCAGGACCAGGCCCTGATTCAAAACAGGGCATTCCCAATTCAGGGTGGGTCATCCCTGACCCCAAACAGAGTATTCCCAGCCCAGTCTATCCCTGCACAAATGCAGAGCAATTGTCCCCCTCCACAGATAAAAGTGGGGCAGTAAATACATGCTGTACTGAACCTGTATCCCTCCTTCCTGGGGAGACTCCCAGGAAGATCCCAACGGGAGTTTACGGCCCATTGCCAAAGGACATGGTGGGACTTATACTTGGAAGGTCCAGCTTAAAATTAAAGGGAATTCAAGTACATACTGGGGTAGTGGGCTCTGATTGCCAGGGAGAAATTCAAATTGTTATCTCCTCCACTGTTCCCTGGAGTGCTAATCCAGGTGACAGAATAGCTCAACTGTTGTTTTTACCATATGTTAAGATAGGAGAAAGCTCAGAATAAAAGGAGGATATAGAAGCACAAATTCAGCAGGCAAGCCTGCCTATTGGGTAAATCAAGTCTCTGACAATAGTCCTATTTGTAGGTCACTATTAAAGGAAAACAATTTGAGGCTCTTGTCGACACAGGAGCAGATGTGTCAATCACAGCGTTTATCAATGGCCCAAAAACTGGCCCAAACAAAAGGCCCCAGTGGGTCTTGTTGGGATTGAGGATTTGCTTGTATCTCACCAGGAGAGAATCAACTTCTTGTCTGGGTACCCACAAGACATCTTAAGCTGTGCCAGGAGCCAGAATTCAAGGAAGAGGAAAAGACCTCAGAAAGTCCCTACACCCCCAGTTCATCAGATGGCTCAGATGAACATCTCTGTTGAGCAGATGGAAACCAGTAAAACTTACCAAGCAACTCCACCGACCTGGGGGCGGATGAAGAGACTAGCTCGCACTGAAGAAGAGAACCTGCGGTCTCAGCACAAGCTGCTGACCACCAGTAATCTAATGGTAGCTACGATGGTGGTAATCCCCTTGGTGGTGAGTCTCCCTGCAGAGGGGCAGATCAAAATTACACTTACTGGACCTACATTGCATTCCCACCACTGATTAGGCCTGTTATAAGTTTAGATGCCCCAGTGGAGGTTATGTTAATGATAGTGTCTGGATGCCTGGACCAATAGATAACCAAGGTCCTACTCATCCAGAGGAGGAAGGAATGTTAATGAAAGTTTCCATTGGTTATCACTTTCCTCCCATCTGCCTGGGGCCAGCAGCAGGATGTTTAAATTATGATAAACAACGTTGGATGGTTTATGTCCCTGAACATAATGGATGAAAGGCCTCTATTCATGTAATCAGTGGAAGAACATTTCAATCTTTGGACACTATTAAATACCTTGAGCATGGCTATGTTATGACACATCATCAGATTAATAAACTTAAACCTTCTTATTGAAGTCCTGCCCCAGGCAGGCCACTAAATGAAAATCTAGAGGTGCTAACCTGGGAAGATTGTATTGCAAACAGCGCTGCAGTATTGCAAAATAATTCCATTGGAATCATCACTGATTGGGTCTCTAGAGGTCACTTTGCCATAAATTGTACCGGACACAGCAAAGATTTTGGAGAGACTCCTTTGCAAAAGACTTCCCAGATAACGCACTAAAATTATATAGAAGAATTGAAACAAACTGCCCTATTAAGTGGGAGGAGAATGGTATGGCTCCTCCAAGGCCAAAAATGATTGATCCAATTACAAGACCAGAACATCCAGAATTGTGGAAATTAATGATGGCTCAAACCCCAGTTGGGATTTGGAAAGGAGAATATAAAACAGAGACTCATAGTGAAAATCTTTGATTTGTTGTAGCCATGATCTCTAATCAGACAGTCCCATTGCAGAGTTGTGTTAAACCTCCTTTTATGTTAGCAGCAGGAAAAGTTAATATCCTACTTGACTCTCAAACCATATCATGCCTCAGCTGTCATATTTTTACCTGCATTAATTCTACCTTTAATAAAGATAACAGCACTTTACTGGTTAGGGCCTGAGAAGGAGTTTGGATACCTGTTTCCCTCAATAGACCTTGGGACGCCTCTTCCTCCATATATATTATCACTGCAGTACTAAAAGAAATACTTAATAGATCAAAGAGATTCATATTTACCTTAATAGCTGTCATCACGGGCCTCATAGCGGTCACAGCTATAGCTGCTGCTGCTGTTGTAGCTTTGGATTCTTCTATTCAAACTGTGAGCTCTGTGGATAGTTGACAGAAAAATTTTTCCAAGCTTTGGAATTCCCAAAGCCAAATAGATCAAAAATTGGCAAATCAAA
This sequence comes from Homo sapiens, assembly GCF_000001405.40. Classification (NCBI taxonomy): domain Eukaryota; kingdom Metazoa; phylum Chordata; class Mammalia; order Primates; family Hominidae; genus Homo; species Homo sapiens. The sequence continues at coordinate 21,584,953 of NC_000024.10, forward strand.
TTAATGATCTTCATCAAACAGTAATTTGAATGGGTGGTCAGATTATGAGCTTGGAGCAGAGAATTTAAATGCAAAGTGATTGGAATACTTCTGATTTTTGTTTCCTCCTAGCTCTTATAATACCACTGAACACCACTGGGAGTTGATTAGACATCGCCTACCAGGAGAAGATAATTTAACATTAGATCCTGCTAAACGGAAAAAACAACTTTTTGCAGCATCTCAGGCTCATCCCAGCTTGTTGCCTGGAGCTGATATTCTTGCTGGAGCCACTGATGGCCTTTTTAACAATAATCCTTTAAAGTGAATTAAAACCATAGGTGGATCATCAACTGCAAATATTATTTTGGTTTGTGTCTGTTTCTGCTTTTTTTTTTTTTTTTTTTTTTTTTTTTTAGTCTACAGTTGCGGACAGCACCTTGGGAGAGAAGACAGACACCGTGAATGAGCTATGATAGCAATGGTGGTTATTAATTTAAAAAAAATGGGGACAAAAAAGTGGGACATATGGAAAAGAGAGTTTCTGGGATGCCAGATGAGTTGGTCTGCCCTGTGTGAGACTCCCATGGGGAGCCATGGATGGCGTCTGAGGAGAAAAGTCTCCTTACTGCCTTCATGCCCTTATGCCTGGAGAGCATAACAGCTCAGCGGCATGCCGCAGCTTGCTCAGGGAAATAACACTCCCTTGAAGCAGTGGAGTCTAATCAAATGTCTTGGCTTCTCCTGAAACCTAGTCCCACCCATTTCAGTCCCGATAAGTTAAATACATTAAGTAGTTTAGACACACACCTTTGCCCAAGGAAATTCACAGAAACCGCCACTGCTATACATCCTATTGAATGACTCACGAGTTCTCCTTCACTGATTAATCCTTCCCCTCATCCCTTTCTACTCCTCCTATCTGCCCTATGAACAAAAAGCTTGAAAACCAATAAATTGGGTGGTGGCTGAGAGCTCCAGGCCATGAACAAGACTCCAATTCTCTGGTCCCCTGGACCTGCCTTTTAAACTCTCATTCTGTCTTTTTCTAATTCCTTTGTCTTCGCTGGACTCGGGGCACCTGCTGGGCAGTGTGGGGCTGGTTTCCCAACAATTCTGTCAAGTGATTTTTTTCTCTCTGGGTATAAGGAATTGCCACAGACAGCCTCTGAGACACTGTCTCAACCTCATCGGCACCCATGAGAGGCCAGTTCAAAGTGTGAGAACATGTCTCCAACGTGGACTTGCCTTTCTTGTGGTTCTTGCTTATCTGAGAGAGCCCCTGTGAGGCCCAGGATGAAGGGAGGCAGTGAGATTAACGGCCTGGCCATCTTTTGCTGACAGCTGCCTCTGGGGTCTTAGATATGATTCTATCATCCAAAGAACACTGAACAACACAACAGACTATATCCTGATCCCCGTGGGATCTGATCCTTGCACACACATTCTCTTTCAGGAATAGAGTCAGAAGAGCTGTTTCCAGCCACTACCTAACAGTATTGAAATGTGTACTCCTCCAGCGGGACGAGACCATGGAGGCTGCCCATGGGTCCCTAAGGTCGAGATGTTTAGGGTCTCACAGTGGGTTTTCACAGGTAGCCATTTTCCCGATATGAGGCCAGCTTTGCCTGTGCATTTTCTTCTGCCTAGGCAGGCTGACATCTCTGACAGCTGGGTGCTTGAACCTGCCCCAAGAATGTGCATGTGCTAGTTTCAGGGCACCAGGCCTGATGGTGAGTTCTGGCTAGCCTTATAATGTCACTGTTGCCTAGCAACAAGTTCCTGCGGCTTGGCAGAGAAAGAGACCTGCTCGGAGGTGCATTGGCGGTGGACTCTCCCCTGTCTTTTCTGTGGGATCCACAGGATAGTCCCATGATCCTATGAGAAGGCAGATGTGAGCCAGCCTTGAAGAAATATCAACCATGATCAGAGGGCTTATGGGAGTCAGCCTGAAGAAACATCAACCACAGCCCCACAAATAAACTGCAAAATCTCTAAGGATCCAAAAGGATCTGCAGAATTCCTCAGGCCACCCTAGAGGTTGTATGGGTTTTGAAACTTACGCCAATGTGATTTCTAGGTACAGCCTGCCTGTGTTCCCTGGGGTTGCTGTCTCTCAGGTGGGGCCTCCTGCAGAACCATGCAACCTCGGGATCTGCCATGCTGTGTGTTTCCGTGGGTGTGTTGCGAGTGTTTGACGTCGAGTGTGTGTGGCATTTTGTGTGTGTGTGTGTGCCTGTAAGTGGGGTCTGCTTAAAGGAATAGGGCTAACACACTTCAGTGCTTCTTGTTTTTAGCCTCACTAACTTTTGGTGGCCTGTGTGTGTGGCTATGCTTGGGCTGCATGGTTCCGTGTTATTTTTCTGTAGATCCTGAATCCCCAGTGAATTTGGAGGTGGGCCAAGACCTGCTAGCATCCAAAATCAACTCCCCCTGCAGAAAAAAACCACTCTTCTAGAAGACGAGCACACCACACCAAAAACCAGGTATCTCTCAGTGTTTCCTTCATCTTGAGGACAACGCAGGGAGAGACACTAGCAGATCTGTCTGCAAGGCCACTTGGATTAACCTCGAATTTGGTTCCCAGCTGCGCACATGCTTCACATCATGAGGGATGCACTTCTCCATCTTCTTGGGATTTTATCCTGGAACATAGAGTCTGAGCAGCAATAAGGTCACATGGGGTGAGGATACAATCTGCTGAATGGAGAATGGGTTCCAGCAACTTCACCTGCAAATAAATAAATAAATAAATAAAGACAGATGACACAAAAGGTGCTTCTAACTCCATCCCAACATTCCCTTAATTTCAAAAGCAGTCCACACTATGGCCCAGAATTCAGGTGGGAGTATTTCAACGTGCAAAGAATATTTGGAGTGCAAATTGGGGCCATTCTGGCAAACTCCCAATGTGAGAACTTTCATACCCAGAGCCAAATGGGAGTGGAATGGATTGGTGCTGGGTAGGATGTGGCCTCTACACTTGCCTCTTCTTTTTCTGACTTCCATGTTTCTCTCCAGCCTAGGGTTTCCTGTGTCTGGCTCAATGACTTCCGCACTAAATGTTTCTCAGTTCATGAGAATGACCCTCATGGGAATCCATAGCATGAACGTTTTCTTCTAAAAATTCTCAATTTTTATTGACTGGGCAGCTCTGGTACTTTAACAACCATTAATTCCTGTTACAGCAGCAAACAAGGAAACACCTATTCTCCCACTTCTGTCGGAATGCTGCAAGATTCCTGTAGGATGAGAAGCTTGCAGCTGTGTCTGGCTTTTGCCTGGTAAACTAGCCTCTGTTTCATTTCATCTGCATAGCCTTCTCATAGTGGAGGGGCTCTTGCATTGCTCTGTTGCTGGATAGGAATGCCTCTTCCCACCAATTATTTAGCTGCCAGAGATATCAGAGAGCAGAAGGGACTTTGGGTCACATGGCTGCACTCCAGATTGTGGATTGTTGTATGTTGTGGGAGCTGAAGTTGTTTGCACTTTGCAGGAGTCTTTGGGGTCCTCAGACAGGAATCATTGAACATTGCTTGGACTCTGGCAAAAGGCATCTCGTTGTTTCAGGTGAGCTTTGATTTTTCTTTGCTTTCATGGAGAATTCACAGTGCTCCTCAACAGCACTACTGGACACCATTTTTAGGCTTGCCGTCACCACAGACAGCCTCTGAGATGGTGTCACATCCTCATATGCACCCATGAGGGGCAAGTTCGAGGTATGAGAACAGTGTTGATCTTATACTTGCCTTGTCTTGCTTCCTGCCTTTCCCAGAGAGCCTATGCAAGGCCCCAGATGAAGGGAGGCAGAGAGGTCAAGAGCCTGGTCATCTTTTGCTGACACCCACCTCTGGGATCTCAGATCTGCTGCTATCACCCAAAAAACCCCTCCAGAACACACCAGACTTATATCAATCCCTATGGGACCCAATTCTTTCACACAGCCTCCTTTGGGAACGGACTCAGAAGAGCAGTTTCCATGACCACTTCATGGTCTTGAAATGCCTCCTCCTCCAGTGGAACACAACCATGGAGATGGCTTGAATAACCCCCAAAGTTGAGACTTTTAGGGTCCTGCAATGGGTTTCACAGGCAGCTTATTTCCTGATACCAGACTGACTCTGCCTCTGCCATTTTCCTCTGCTTAGGCAGGCTGACGGGTCTGAGAGCCAACGCCCAAGCCTGCCTCATTAATGTGCATGCACTAGTCTCAGGGCACCAGGCCTTATTGTGAGCTCTGGCTAGCTTCACAATGAATGCCACCTTTGCCTAGCGACAAGTCCCTGCAGCTTGGCAGATAAAGAGACCTCCGTGGAGGTGTGTCAGCAGTGGACTCTCACCTGTCTTCTCTGTTGGATCCATGGGATAGTCCCGTGATCCCAGGAGAGGGCAGACATGAGCCAGCCAGAAGTAACATCAAACAGAGCCCTAGGAATAAACTGTGAAATCCATGAGAATACAAAACAATCTGCAGAATTCCTCAAACCTGTTTAGACTTTGTAGGGTTGAGTCTTTTTGAAATTGCTCTACTGTGATATCCAGGTATACTGGCTGTGTTCCCTGAGGTTGCTCTTTCCCAAATGCGGCTTCCTGCAGAACCACACAGCCTCAGGAGCTGCCAGCCTGTGTGTTTCTGTGAAAGTATTGAGAGTGTTGGATGTCTGCGTGTGTGTGTGTCTGTGTGTGTGCATGTTAGAATATAAGTGGAGTATTCTTAAAGGAATGTGGCTAACACATTTTAGCACTTCTTTTTTTTGAGTCTCCCAACTTTTTGGTGGCCTGTCTGTACAGCACTGCTTGGGCTGTGGGGCTCCATGTTCTTTAGTTTTCTGTGGATCATAAATCCCCAGTGAATTGGGAGGCAGGCTGAGACCCACCAGTGTCAAACTCATCTCCCACTCCAAAAGAAAGCCACTCTTAGAAAAAAGGGGAGCACACCACATGAAAAAACAGTCATCTCTGAGTGTTTCATTGTCCTGCAAACAATGCAGGGAGATACACTAGCAGTCCTGTCCATAGGGCCCTTGAATTTACCTCAAATTCAGGTCCCAGCCAAGCAGTTGGTTCACATCATAAGGGGGCAATACTCCATCGTCTTGGGTTTTCATTTTGGGACATAGAGTGTGAGCAACAATAAGGTCAGACAGGGGTGAGGATACAATCTGGTGGGAATTGGATGAGATCCCACAACTTCAACTGCAAAAAAATAAAGACAGATGACACAGAAGGTACTTCCAACTCCATCCCAACATTCCCTTAATTGCACAAGCAGTCCACACCATGGCCCAGTGTTCAGGTGAAAGTATTCCAATGTGCAAGAAATATTTGGGGAGCAAACTGGGGTCATCCTGGCAAACTCTCAATTTGCAGGCTTTCATACTGGGAGCAAAATGGGAATGAAATGGTTTGATGGTAGATGGGAAGTGGCCTCCACACTTGCCCCTTCTTTCTCTGATGTCCATGTTTCTTGTCAGTGTAGGGTTTCCTATGTCTGGCTCAATGACTTCCACAATACATGTTTCTCAGTTCACAGAGAATGACCCTAATGGGAACCCATTGCATGAGTGTTTCCTTCTAAACACTTTCACAATTTAATGACTGGGCAGCTTTGATACTTTTAAAACCATAAATAGCCACCAACAAGGAAACTCTTGTTTTTTTTCACTTCTATTGGCATTCTGCATGATTCCTGTAGGGTGAGAAGCAGTCAGCCCTGTCTGGCTTTTGCCTGGTAGTCTAGCCTCTGATTTTTTTCATCTGCATGGTCATCTTATTGAGCAGGTATTCTTTCATTGGGCTGTGGCTGGATGGGACTGCCTCTCACCAAAGATTATTTTGCTTCCCAGGATTTCAAAGAGCAAAAGGGACTTTGAGGAGTCTGGCTGCACTCCAAGTTTCGATCTGTTGTCTCAGGTGGGGGCTGAAGTTGTTTGCAATTTGCAGGAGGCTTTTGGGTTCTCTGACAAGAAGCATTGAACATTGCTTAAACTCCAGCTCAGTGCAGCTCATTCTGTCAGGTGAGCATTGATTTTTCTTTGCTTTTATGGGAAATCCACAGTGTCCTTCAACAGCTCTACTGGACATCATTTTCAGGCTTGCCATCATCAAAGATGACCTCTGAGACATGGTCTCTACCTCATCTTCACCCATAAGAGGTCAGTCCAAGGTGTGAGAATATGGTTCAAACTTTGACTTGCCTTTTTCATGGTTCCTGCCTTTCTCAGAGAGCCCCTGCTAGGCATAGGATGATGGAGGTAGTGAGGTCAAGAGCCCAGACATCTTTGCTAAAAAATGCCTCTGGGGTCTCAGGTATGATGCTATGACCCAAAGAACCATCAACAACACACCAGACAGACTATATGCCAATCACCATGGGACCCGATTCTTGCAGACACACATTCTCTTTTGGGAATGGATTTCAAAGGGCAGTTTTCAGTGACCACCTCAGAGTCTTGAAACACCTCATCCTCCATCAGGACACAACCACAGAGATGGTCCAAATGAGCCCTGAGGTCGAGGCTTTTATTGTCCTGCCATGGGTCTTCACAGGCAGCCTTTTTCTTGATACCAGGCCAGCTCCGACTGTACCATTTTCCTCTGCTTAGGCAGGCTGAATGCTGTTACAGCAGGACACATAAGCCTGTCTCAGGAATCCACATAAGCTAGTCTCAGGGCACCAGTCCTGAGTGTGAACTCTGTCTAGAGTCACAGTGAATGTCACTGTTGCCTAGCGACAAGTCCCCGCGGCTTTGTGGAGAAGACTCCCAAGGAGGAGACCTCCATGGAGGTTCGTCGGCTGAGGTCTCTCACCTGTCTACTCTGTGAGATCCACAGGATAGTCCCATAATCCTAGGATAGGGAGGATGTGAGCCAGCCTGAAGAAACATCAAGAAGAGCCCCAGGAATAAGCTGCCAAATCCCTAAGGATCAAAAAACATCTGCATGCTGTCTAGATGTTGGAAGGGTGTCTTTTTGGAACTTGTCTTAACTGTGATTTTTAGGTACAGCCCATCTCTTTTCCTTGGAGTTACTTTGTCTCAGATGGGGCTTCCTGCATAATCCTGCAGCCTGAGGAGCTGACAGGCTATGTGTTTTTGTGGGAGTGTTGCAAATGTTGGATGTCTGCCTGTGTGTGTGTTATTGTGTGTTTGTGTATCTGTGTGTGTGTGTGCCGTTAAGTGGAGTCTGCTTAAAGGAATGTGGCTAAAGCACTTCAGTGTTTTTTTATTTTTTTAGTATATTAACCTTTTGGTGGCCTGTCTCTGTGGCTCTTTTGGGCTGTCAGGCTTGTGTTATTTATTTTTCTGTGAATCATGAATCCTCAGTGATTTTGGAGGCGGGCCAAGCCTGCCGGCAACCAAGGTATCTCCCCGTACAATAAAAGCCACTCTTCTAGAAAGAAGAGGAGCACACCATACCAAAAAAACAGACATTTCCCGATGTTTCATTTTCCTGCAGCCAACCCAGGTAGAGAAACTAGCAGTCTAGTCCTCAGGGCCCCTATATTTACGTCAAATTCAGTTCCCAGCTGATCAGGCGCTATACATTGTGAGGGGACACTCCTCCCTCGTTTTGGGATTTCATCCTGGGACATAGAATATGAGCAGAAATAAGGTCAGATAAAGGTGAGGATATAATCTGGTGACAAGGGGAAGGGGTCCCGCAACTTCACCTGCAAAAAGATAAAGACAGATGACACAGAAGGTGTTTCCAATTCTATGCCCGCATTCCCTTAATTGCACAAGCAGTCCACAACATAGCCAGGAGTTCAGGTGGCAGAACTCCTACGTGCAAGGAACATGTGGAGTGCAAATTGACACCATCCTGGCAAACTCCTGATTTAAGGGCTTTCATACCTAGAGCCAAATGGCAGTGGAATGGATTGATGCTGGGTGGGATGTGGCCTCCATACTTCCCCCTTCTTTTCCTGACTTCCATGTTCCTGGTCAGCCTAGGGTTTCCTGGGTCTGGCTAAATGACTTCCACACTAAACGTTTGCCTGTTGCTGGTGAATGACCCTCAGTGGAATCCACTGCATGAGCGTTTTCTTCCAAACACTGTCACGTTTTAATGACTGGACAGTTTTGATACTTTAAAACAATAAATTCCCATTTCAGCCACCAACAAGGAAACTCTTATTCTACCACTTCTATCAGAGGCCTGCATGATTCCTGTAGGAGGAGAAGAAGGCAGCTGTGTGTACATTTTACCGGGCAATCGAGGCTCTGTTTCATTAAATCTGCATGGCTCTCTCACTGTGGAGGGGCTCATTCATTGAGCTGTTGCTGGATGGGACTGCCTCTCACTACAGATTGTATAGCTTATCAGGGTTTCAGAGAGCAAAAGGGACTTCGAATAGGCTTACTGTGCTCCACATTTTGGTCTATGGTCACATTTTGGGGGCTGAAGTTGCTTGAACTTTACAGTAGGATTTTGGGTCCCCTGACAGAAATCACTGAACATTGCTTGGACTCCAGCACAAGGCAGCTCGTTTCCTCAGGCAAGCCTTGTTTTTTTCTTGCTTTCATGGAAAACCCACAATGCCCCTTAACAGCACTGCTGGACACAATTTTCAGGCTTACTATCACCACAGATGGCCTCTGAGACACTGTGTCAACATCATCTGCACCAAGAAGAGACCAGTCTGAGGTGTGAGACAACTGCTCCACCTTGGGCTTTCCTCGGTCATGGTTCCTGACTTTTCCAGAGGGCCCCTGTGAGGCCTAGGGTGAAGGGAGGCCATGAGGTCAAGCTCGGGCATCTCTCACTGATGCTCACCTCTGGGCTTTCAGGTATAATTCTATCACCCAAAGAACCCCAACAACACAACAGATTCTATTCCAATCTCCATGGGACCTAATTCTTATGCACAGCCTCTTTCAGGAATAGAGCCAGAAGAGTAGTTTCCAGCGACCACCTCACAGTCCTGAAGTGCCTCCTCCTCCAGTGGGACCCAACTATGGAGATGACCCAAAGGGGCCCTGAGGTTGAGACTTTTAGAGTCTCACAGTGGGTTTTCATAGGCATCATTTTTCCTGATACCAAGGCGTCTCTGCCTGTATCATTTTCCTCTGCTTAGTCAGGCTGAGAGCTCTGACATCTGGGCACCAGAGCCTGCCTCACGAATGTTCATGAGCTAAGCTCAGGGAACCATTCCTGATTTTGGACTCCAGAGGAGACCTCTGTGGAGGTGCGTTGGTGGTGCACTCTTTGCCTGTCTTCTCTGTGGGATCCACAGAATAATCTCATGATCCTATGAGATGGCAGATGTGAGCGAGCCTGAAGAAATGTCAAGCAGAGCCCTAGGAATAAACTGCAAAATCCCTAAGGATCCAAAAGCATCTGCAGGATTCCTCAGGCCTGTCTAGATGTTTTAGGGGTGAGTCTTTTTGAAACTTGCCCCTCTGATATTTTTAGGTAAAACCCACCTGTGTTCCCTGGGATTGCTCTCTCCCAGGTAGGGCTTCCTGCAGAAACATGCAGCCTCAGAAGCTGTCAGGTTCTGTGTTCCTTTGGGAGTGTTGTGAGTGTAGGATTTCTGTGTGTGTGTGTGTGTGTGTGGCATTGTGTGTTTGTGTCTGTGTGCCTGCAAATGGAGTCTGCTTAAAAGAGTGTGGCTAACACACTTCAATCCTCTTTATTTGAGTCCCTCACCTTTTATTTTGGTTGCTTGTCTGTTTGGCTCTGCTTGGGCTCTGGGGCTCCATGTTTTTTTATTTTTCTGTGGATCATGAATACGCAGTGTCTAAATCACCTTCCCCTGCAAAAAAACAAAACAAAACACTCTTCTAGAAAGAAGAGGAACACACCACACCAACACACCAAAAAACAGACATCTCCCAGTGTCTCATTGTCCTACGGTCAACCCAGCAAGGGACACTAGCAGTCCTGTCCTCAGGACCAATTGAATTTACCTTGAATTCGGTTTCTAGCTGAGCAGGTACTTCAGGTTAAAGGGGCACTCCTCAATTGTCTTGGGATTTCATCCTGGGACATAGAGTGTGAGCAGAAATAAGGTCAGATAGGGATGAGAATACAATCTGGTGAGGAGTGGATGGGTCCTGCAATTTCAACTGCAAAAAAAATATGAAGACAGATGACACAGAAGGTGCTTCCAACCCCATCCCCCTATTCTGTTAATTGCACAAGCAGTCCAACCATGACCTGGTGTTCAGGTGGAAGTAATCCAACAGGCAGGGAACATTTTGAGTGCAAATTGGGCCCATCCTGGCAAAGTCTGGATGTATGTTTTTCATACCCATAGCCAAATGGAACTGGAATGGGTTAATACTGGGAGGGGTGTGGCCTCCAAACTGGCCTCTTCTTTTCTTGACTTCCATGTTCCTCATTGGCCTAGGGTTTCCTGGATCTCCACCCAATGACTTCCACACTAAATTTTCCCAATTCTCGAGAACCACCCTCACGGGAATCCATTGCATGAGTGTTTTCTTCTAAACCCTGTGAGGTTTTAATGACTGGGCCTCATTGATAATTTAAACCTGCAAATTGCCTTTACAGCTGCCAACAAGGAAACTCTTGTTCTTTCACTTCTTTCGGAAGGCTGCATGATTCCTGTAGGATGAGAAGTAGGCAGCCGTGTTTGGCTTTTGCCTGGTCATCTAGCTTCTGTTTCTTTTCATCTGCAGGCTCTTCTCATTGCTGAGTGGATCTTTCATTGTGGTCTTGCTGAGTGGGACTGCCTATCGCCACACATCTTTTGGCTGCCAGTAATTTCAGGGAGCAAAACAGACTTTAGGTAGGCTGGCTACACTCCAGGTTGTGGGTGGTGGTCTCATTTTGGGGGCCAAGTTTGTTTGCACTTTGCCAGGGGCTTTAGGGTCTTCTGACAGAAATCTTTTAACATTGCTGTGTCTCCAGCACTAGTCAGCTCATTCTCTCAGGCGAGCTTTGATTTTTCTTTGCTTTCTCTGGGGAGTCCACATCGCCCCTCAACAGCGCTACTGGACAACATTCCAGGCTTGCAATCTCCACAAACGGCCTCTGAGACACTGTCTCAACCTCATTTGCACCCGTGAGAGGTCAGTTCGAGGTGTGAGAACACTTCTTCAACTTGAACCTCCTTTTGTCATGGTTCCAGCCTTTCCCCAAGAGCCCCTGTGAGGGCAGGATGAACGGAGGCAGTGAGATCAAGGGCCCGGCCATCTTCCACAGACACCCGCCTCTGGGGTCTCAGGTGTGATTCCATCACCCGAAGACCCCCAGAAACTCACCAGACTATATTCCAATTCCCATGGGACTTGATTCTTACACACAGCCTCTTTCAGCCATGGAGTGAGAAAAGCAGTTTCCCGCGTCCTCCTCACAGTCTCAAAATGTGTCCTCCTTCAGCGAGACCAGACCACGGAGACGACCCGACGGAGCTCTGAGGTCGACGCTTTTAGTGTCCCACAGTGGGTTACTGCAGTCAGCCTTTTTTCCCATAACAGGCCGGCTCTGGCTGTACCATTTTCCTCTGGTTAGGCAGGCTGACAGCTCTGACAGCCGGGCGCCCAACCTTGCCTCGTGAATGCGCATGCGCTAGTCTCAGGGCACCAGACCTGAACTGTGAGCTCTGGCTGATGTCTCAATGAATGCCACCATTGCCTAGAGACAAGTCCCTGTGGCTTAGCGGAGAAGGAAACATCTGCGGAGGTGGGTCGGCCACAGACTTTCGCTTGTACTGTTTGTGGGACCCTCAGCATAATCTCATGATGCTAGGAGAATGCTGACCTCAGCCAGCTTAAGGAAACTTCAAGCACAGCCTCAGGAATTCACTGCGAAATCTCTAAGTGTCCAAAAGGATCTGCAGGATGCCTCAGGCCTACCTAGACGTTGCAGGGGTGAGTCTTTTTGAAAATCGTCCCACTGTGTTTTCTAGATACAGCCTGCATGAGTTCCCCAAGGTTACTCTCTCCCAGGTGAAGCTTCCTGCAGAACCACGCAGCCTCAGGAGATGCCGGGCTGTGTTTTTCTGTCAGAGTGTTGTAAGTTTTGGATGTCTGCATCTGTGTGTGGCTTTGTGTGTTTCCCTGTGGAAAAGACTGCTAGTGTCTCTCTCTGGGTTGGCTGCAGGACAATGGAACACTGGGAGACCTGTTTTATGGTGTGGTGTGCTCCTCTTCTTTCTAGAAAGGAAAAGTGTTTGTTGTTGTTCTGCTGGCAGAGGTGATTTGGACGCCAGCGGGTCATGGCACACCTACCAATTTGCTGCAGATTCACGATCCACAGAAAAATAAAGAAAAGCCCCGCGGCCCAAGCAGAGCCACACAGACAGGACAACACTAGGTTGGGAGACTAAAAAAAAAAAAAAAAAAAAAAAAGGGTGCTTAAGTGTGTTAGCCTCATTCCTTTAAACAGACTCCACTTACCGGCACATACACACACGCACACACATACACATACACACAGTCAAACATCTAACACTTGCAAGTCTCCCAGAGAAACACACAGTCCAGCAGCTCCCAAGGATGCGTGCTTCTGCAGGAAGCCCCACCTGGGAGAGAGCAAACTCGCGGAACACAGGTGGGCTGTATCTAGAAATCACAGTGGGGCAAGTTTCAAAAAGACCCACCCCTACAAAGTCCACCCAGGCCTGAGGAATTCTGCAGATCCTTTTGGATTCTCAGGATTTCTCAATTTATTCCTGGGGTTGTGCTTGAGGTTTCTTCAGGCTGGCTGACGTCTGCCCTCTCTTAGGATCATGGGACTATCTGGTGAATCCAACAGACAAGACGCAAAAGCCCACTGCCAACGCACCTCCACGGAGGTCTCCTTTGCCGCAAAGCTGCAGGGACTTGTAGTTAGGCAACTGTGACATTCGTTTTGACGCAAGCAAGGGCTCATAATCAGGACTGCTTCCTTGAGTCTAGCGCATGCGCATTCGTGAGGCAGGGAAGGCCTCCAGGATAGCACAACTGTCAGGCTGCCTAAGCACAGGAAAATGTACAGGCAGAGCCGGCCTGGTATTGAAATAAAGGATGCCTGCAAACACCCACTGTGGGGCACCAAAATCCTCGACCTCAGGACCCCTTGGGCCATCTCCGTGGTCGGATCCCACTGGAGAAGGAGGCGTTTTGAGACTGTGAGGTGGTCGCTGGAAACTGCTCTTCTGACTTTATTCTCCAAAGAGGTTGTGTGCAAAAATAGGGTCCCATGGGGATTGGAATATAGTCTGGTGTGTTTCTGAGGGTTCTCTGGGTGATGGAAACATGCCTGAGACCCCAGAGGTTGGTGCCAGTGAAAGATGGTCAGACTCTTGACCTCACTGCTGCCTTTCATCCTGAGCCTCATAGGAGCTCTCTGGGAAAGGCAAATACTACGACAAGGGATGTCCAAGGTGGGGCCGTATTCTCACACCTCAGACTGGCTTCTTGCGGGTGCAGATGAGGTTGAGAGAGTATCTTGGAGACGTGTGTGGTGGTGCCAAGTCTGAAAGTGTGTCCGGTAGTGTTGCTAAGGGGCACTGTGTATTCCCCTTGAAAGCAAAGAAAAATCAAGGCTCAACTGAGAGAAAGAGCTACCTTATGGTGGAATCCAAGCAATGTTCAAAGACTCTTGTCAGAGGACCCAAAAGCTTCCTGCAAAGTGCAAAAAACCTCAGTCCCCACAAGGGGACAACAACCCACAACATGGAGCACAGCCAACCTACCGGAAGTCCCTTTTGCTCTCTGAAATTTCTGGCAGCTTAATGATCTCTGGGAGAGGCAGTTCCAAGCAGCAACAGCCCAGTGAAGGAGCCCCTCCACAATGAAAAGGCCATGCAAATGAAGTGAAAAAGGTGCCAGATTACGAGGCAAAAGCCGACAAAGCTGCCTGCTTTTCATCCTGCAGAAATCATGCAGCCCTCTGTTAGAAGTGGGAGAACAAAAGTGTCCTTGCTGGTGGATGTAATGGAAATTTATGGTTTTAAAATTATCAAATCTGCCCAGTCATTAAAACTGACAGTGTTTAGAAGGAAACTCTCACACAGTGGATTCCCATGAGGATCATTCTCCATGAAATGGGAAAGGTTTACTGTGGAAGTCTTTAAGCCATAACCAGGAAACACTAGGCCTACAAGAAACATAGAAGTCAGGAAAAGAAGAGGCAACTATGGAGGCCACATCTCACCCAGCATCAATCCATTCCATTCCCATTTGGCTCTGGGTATGAAAGCTCTCAAATCGGGAGTGTACCAGGATGGCCTCAATTTGCACTCCAAATATTCCTTGCATGTTGGAATACTCTCACCTGAACACCGGGCCATGGTGTGGACTGCTTGTGCAATTAATGGAATACAGGGATGGAGCTGGAAGCAACTTCTGTGACATCAGTCTTCAATCATTTTGCAGGTGAAGTTGCAGGACCCCATCCACCCTTCACCAATCTGTATCTTCACCCCTTTCTGAACTTATTGTGTCTCACACTCTATGTCCCAGAATGAAATCCGAAGATGATGGAGAAGTGTCCCCTCATGATGTGAAACACCTGATCTCCTGGGAACCGAATTCGAGTTAAATTCAAGGGGCACTGCAGACAGGACTGTTAGTGTTTCTCCCTGGGTGGGCCACAGGACAATGAAACACTGGGAGATGTCTGTTTTTTCATGTGGTGGGCTCCTCTTCTTTCTAGAAGAGTGGTTTTATTATGCAGGGGGATGCAATTTGAAAGCTGGTGGGATTCAGCCTGGCTCCCAATTCACTGCAGATTCAGATCCACAGAAAAATAAAGAACATGGAGCCCTGCAGTCCAAGCAGAGCCACACAGACTGGCAACCAAAAGGTTTGGAGACTCACAAAAAGAAGAAGAAGAAAAGAAGAAGAAGAAGAAGAAGAAGAAGAAGAAGAAGAAGAAGAAGAAGAAGAAGAAGAAGAAGAAGAAGCAGAAGCAGTGCTGAAGTGCATTAGCCATATTCCTTTAAGCAGGCTCCACTTACAGGCAAACACACCCACACACATAAGCACTCACAAACACATAATGCCACACACACACACACACACACACACGCAGACATCCAACACTCAAAATAATTCCAGAGAAATTCACAACCTGGCAGCTGCTGAGGCTGTGAGGTCTGCAGGAAGCCATACCAGGGAGAGAACAACCCCAGGGAACACAGGTGTGCTGTACCTAGAAATCATAGTGGAGCAAGTTTCAAAAACACTCACCCCTACAAAGACTAGGCAGGCCTGAGGAATCCCGCAGATAATTTTGGATCCTTATGGATTTCATGGTTTATTCCTAAGACTGTGCTTGATGTTTTTTCAGGCTGCTTCATGCCTGCCCTCTCCTAGGATTATGGGAATATCCCACGTATCCCACAGAGAAGACAGGTGAGAGTCCACCGCCGACTCACCGCCACGGAGGTCTCCTTCTCTGTCAAGCTTCAGAGGCTTGTCCCTAGGCAGCAGTGACATTTGTTTTGATGCTAGCCAGAGCTCACAATCAGGCCTGGTGCCCTAAGACTGGCACATGCATATTCGTGAGTCAGGCTCTGGTGCCAGGCTCTCAGAGCTATAAGCCTGCCTCAGCAGTGGAAAATGGTACAGGCAGAATGAGCCTGGTATTGTAAAAATGGCTCCCTGTCAAAACCCACTGCAAGATGCTAAAAGTCTTGAACTCAGGGACCCTTCATGCCATCTCCATGGTTGGGTCCTACTGGAGAGAAGGCATTTCTACAGTGTGATGTGGTCACTGGAAACTGCACTTCTGACTCCATTCTTGAAAGAGGCTGTGTGCAAGAATCAGGTCCATGGGGATTGGAATATATTCTGTTGTGTTGTTGTGGGTTCTCTGAGTAACAGAATCATACCTGAGACCCCAGAGGCAGGTGTCAGTGACAGATGGCTGGGCTCTTGCCCTCACTGCCTCCCTTCATCCTAAGCCTTGCAGGGGCTCTCTGGGAAAGGCAGGAATCACGACAAAGGGAAGTCCAAGGTGAAGCAGTGTTCTCATTCCTCAGACTGGCCTCTCATAGGTGCAGATGAGGTGGAGACAGTCTATCAGAGGCTGTCTGTGGTGATGGCAAGCCTGGAAATGGTGTCCAGTAGTGTCACTGTGTGTCACTGTGGATTCCCCAAGAAAGCAAAGAAAAATAGAGGCTCACCTGAGAGAACGAGATGCCTTGTGCTGGAGTCCACACATTGTTCAATGACGCCTGTCAGAAGCCTCCTGCAAAGGGCAAACAACCTCAGCCCCCACTATGAGACAATGGTCCACAACCTGGAGTGCAGCCAGCCTACCCCAAGTCCCTTTTGCTCCCTGAAATCCCTGGCAGCCAAAAGATCTGGGGTGAGAGGCAATGCAATGCAGCAACAACCCAATGAAAGAGCCCCTCCACAATGAGAAAGGACTTGAAGATGAATTGAAACAGAGGCTAGATTACCAGGCAACACCAGACACAGTGGCCTGCTTCTCATCATACAGGAATCTTGCAGCCCTCTGAAAAAAGTGGGAGAATAGGAGTTTCCTTGTTTGTGGCTCTAACTGACATTTACAATTTTAAAAGTATCAAAGCTGGCCAGTCATTAAAACGTGACAGTGTTTAGAAGGAAACACTCACACAATGGATTCAAATGAGGGTCATCCTCCATGAATTGGGAAGCCTCTATTGTGGTAGACATTTAGACAGACCCAGGAAAACCTAGGCCAGTGGGGGAAACGGAAGTCAGGAGAAGAGGAGGCAAGTGTGAAGGCCACATCCCACCCAGCATCAATCCATCCCATACCCTTTTAGTTCTGGCTATGACAGCCCTGAAATCAGGAGTTTGCCAGGATGGCCAAGTATGCACTCCAAATGTTCCCTGCATGCAGAAGTACTCCCAGGCCATGACGTGGATGGCTTGTGCAATTAAGCAAATGTGGGGATGCTGTTGGAAGCATGCTCTGTGCCATCAGATCTTCACTGTTTTTGCAGGTGAAGGTGCAGGTCTGCATCCAAACCTCACCAGATTATATCCTCACCCCATCTGACCTTATTGCTGCTCACACTGTTTGTCCCAGAATAAAATCCCAAGATGATAGTGGAGTGCACCCTCACAACATGAAGCACCTGCTCTACTGCGAACCAAATTCCTGGTAAATTCAAGGGGCCCTGCCATCAGGACTGCTAGTGTCTCTTCCTGGGTTGGCCATGGGACAATGAAAGACTGGGCAATGTTGCTTCTTGGGTGAGGTGTGCTCCTCTTCTTTTGAGAAGAGTGACTTTTTTTTTGCAGGTGGGGGAGATTTGGACCATAGCAGGTCACAGCCAGCCTCCCAAATCACTGCAGATTCTTGATCCACAGAAAAATAAAGAATACAGAGCCCCACAGCCCAGGCAGAACCACAGAAACAAGCTACCAAAAGGTTGAGAGACAAAAAAAAGCACTGCAGTGTGTTAGCCTAATTTATTTAATTAGACTCCATTTAAAACACACACACACACATCACACAAAGCCACACACACGTGCAGACATCCAAACTTACAACACTCTCACAGAAACTACAGGCCTACAGGTTCTGAGGCTGGGTGGTTCTGCAGGAATCCCAACCTGGGAGAGAACAACACCAAGTAACACAGGAGGGCTGTACCAAGAAATCATACAGGGCAAATTTCAAAAAGATTCACCCGTACAACATCTAGGCAGGTCTGAGGCATCCTGCAGATTATTTTGGATCCTTAGGGATTTTGCAGATTATTCCTGGGGCTCTGTTTGACCTTTCTTCATGATGTCTCACATATGCTCTCTCCAAGGATAATGGGACTATCCTGTGGATCCCACAGAGAAGACAGGTGAAAGTTCACTGCCGACTCACATACACAGAGATCGCCTTCTCCACCAAGCCTCAGGGACTTGTTGCTAGGCAATGCTGTCATTCATTGTGATGCTTGCCAGAGCTCACAGCTCTGGCCTGGTGCCAGGAGACTAGTGCATTTGCATTCTTGTCACAGGCTCAGCAGCCCAGCTGTCAGCATGCCTAAGCAGAGAAAAATGGTACAGGCAGAGCTGACCTGGTGTTGGGAAAATGGCTGTCTGAGATAATCCACTGAGAGACCCTGAAAGTCTCAACCATAGGTTTTCTTCAGGCCATCTTGTTGGTCAGGTTTCACTTGAAGGAGGAGGCATTTCAAGACTGTGAACTGGTCACTGGAAACTGCACTTCTGACTTCATCCCTGAAAGAGTGCAGAAATCCGGTCCCATGGTGATTGGAATATAGTCTGGTGAGTTGTTGAGGGGTCTCTGGTTCATGGAATCATACCTGAGACCCCAGAGGCAGGTGTCAACAAAAGATGGCTGTGCCCTGGACGTCACTGCCTGACTTCATCCTGGGCCTCCAGGTGCTCTCTGGGAAAGGCAGGAACCATGACAAAGGCAAGTCCACGGTGGAGCAGTGTTCTCACACCTCCAACTGGCCTCTCATGGGTGCAGATGAGGTTGAGACAGTGTCTCAGAGGCCATTTGTGGCAATTGTAAGCCTGAAAAGGGTGTGCAGTAATGCTGTTTAGGGGCAATGTGTATCTTCCATGAAAGCGAAGGAAAATCAAGGCTTGGGTGAGAGAAACAACTGACTTGTGCTGAAGTCCAAGCAATACTGAAAGATTTCTTTCAGAGGACCCAAAAGCCACCTGCAAAGTGCAAACAACCTCAGTATCCAAAATGAGACCACAATCCACAACCTGGAGTGCAGCCAGCTTACCTGAAGTCTCCTTTGCTCCCTGAAGTCCCTGGCAGCTAAAAGATCTGTGGCGAGAGGCAGTCCCATACAGCAACAGCCCAATGAAACTCCCACTCCACAATGAGCAGTGGCATGCAGGTACAATAAAACAGAGCCTAGATTACCAGGCAAATGCCAGACATGGCTGCCTCCTTTTCATCCTACAGGAATCATGCAGCCCTCTGATAGAAGTGGGAGAACAAGAGTTTTCCTGTTGGTGGCTGTAATGGGAATTTACAGTTTTAAAATATCACAGCTGTCCAGTCATTAAAGCGTGACAATGTTTAGAAGGAAACATTCACACAATGGATTCTCATTAGGGTCATCCTTGGTGAACTGGGATACGTTTAGTGTGGAAGACATTGAGCCAGGCCTAGGCTCCCAGTATGAAAGCCCTCAAATTGGGAGTTTGCCAGGATGGCCCCAGTTTGCACTCCAAATATTCCCTGCATGTTGGAGTACTCCCACCTGAACACCAGGCCATGGTGTGGACTGCCTGTGCAGTTAAGAGAATGTGGGGATGCAGTTGGAAGTACTTCTGTGTAATCTGCCTTTACTTTTTCTCAGATTGCATGCACACCCCTAACCGACCTTACTGTTGCTCACACTGTGTCCCAGAATGAAATCTCAAGATGATAGAGGAGTGCCCCCTGATGACGTGAAGCTCCTACTCAGCTGAGAACTGAATTTGATGTAAACTCAATGGGCCCTGAGGATAGGAATGTTAGTATCCATCCCTGGGTTTGCCACAGGACAATGAAACACTAGATGTCTGTTCATGGGTGTGGTGTGCTCCTCTTCTTTCTGGAAAAGTGGCTTCTGTTGCAGGGGAAGGTGATTTGGACCCTGGCAGGTCTCAGTCAATCTCCCAATTCACTATAAATTCATGATCCACAGAAGAACAAAAAACACAAGGCTCTACAGCCCAAGGAGAGCCACAGAGACAACCCACCAAAAGTTTGGGAGAATCAAAAAAATGAAGGGCTGAAGTGCTTTAGGCACATTTTTTTAAAGCAGACTCCACTTACAGGCATACACATACAGACACACACAAACACACACACACAAAACACACACACACACAGCCACTCGCACAGGCAGATATCCAACAATTACAACACTACCACAGAAACGCACAGCCCGGTAGGTTCTGAGGCTGCCTGGTTCTGCAGACAGCCCCACCTCGGAGACAGCAACTTCGAGGAATACAGGTGGGCTGTACTTAGAAATAACAGTTGGGCAAGTTTCAAAAAGACTCACCCCTACAACGTGTAGGCAGGCCTGAGGCGTCCTGCAGATCCTTTTGGATTCTTAGGGATTTCGTGATTTACTCTTGGGGCTCTCCTTGAGGTTTCTTCAGGCTGGCTCATGTCTGCCTTCTCTTAGGATCATGGGACTATCCCGTGGGTCCTACAGAGAAGACAGGCGAGAGACCACCGCTATCGCACCCCCACGGAGGTCTCCTTCTCGGCCAAGCCACAGGGACTTGCGGCTAGGGAAAGGAGGCATTTATTGTGACGTTAACCAGAGCTCACAGCTCAGGCCCTGTGCCCTAAGACTAGCGCATGTGCATTCGCGATGGAGGCTCCCGCGCAAGGCTTTCAGAACTGTCAGCCTGTCTATGCAGAGGAAAATGACAGGCAGAGCCTGACTGATATTGGGGAAAAGGCTGTCTGCGAAAACCCACTGAGAGACCCTGAAAGTCTCAAATTTAGGGCCCCTTCGTGTCATCTCCATGGTCCGGTCGCGCTGGAGGTCGAGCCGTTTCGCCACTCTGAGGTCATGGCTGAGAAATGCTCTTCTGACTCCATTATTGAAAGAGGTTGTGTGCAAGAATTGGGTCCATGGGGATTGGAATATAGTCTGGTGTATTGTTGAGGGTTCTTTGGGTGATAGAATCATACCTGAGACCCCAGAGGCGGGCGTCATCAAAATATGGCCAGGCTCTTGACCTCACTGCCTCCGTTCATCCTGGGTCGCACAGGGGCTCTCCGGGAAAGGCAGGAACCACGACAAAGGCAAGGCCAAGGTGAAGCAGTATTCTCAAACCTCAGACTGGCATCTCATGGGTGCAGATGAGGTTGAGAAGGTGTCTCAGAGGCCGTCTGTGGTGACGGCAAGCCTGAAAAGGGTGTCCAGTGGTGCTGTTGAGGGTCACTGAGGATTTTCTATGAAAGCAAAGAGAAATTAAGGCTTGCCCAAGAGAATGATCTGCCTTGGGCTGGAGTCCAAGCAATGTTCAATGATTCCTGTCAGAGGACCCAATAGCCTCCTGCAAAGTGCAAATAACCTCAGCACCCACAGTGAGAGAATGACCCACAACCTGAAGTGCAGCCAGCCTACCCAAATTCCCTTTTGCTCTCTGCAATCCCTGTCAGCTAAATAATCTATGATAAGAGGCAGTCCCACCGAGCAACAGCCCAAAGAAAGAACACTTCCACAATGAGAAGGCCATGCAGATGAAATAAAACAGGGGCTGGCTAGATTACCAGGCAAAAGCAAGACGCGGGTGCCTGCCTCTCATCCTACAGGAATCATGCAGCCATTTGATAGAAGTGAGAAAACAGGAGTTTCCTTGTTTGCGGCTGTAGTGAGAATTTATGGTTTTAAAAGTGTCAAAGCAGCCCAGTCATTAAAATGTGACAGTGTTAAGAAGAAAACACTCACACAATGGATTTCCATGAGGCTCATTGTCTGTGAAGTGGGAAATGTTTAGTGTGGAAGTTTTTGAGCCAGAACCAGGAAACCCTAGGCTAGTGAGGAGCACGGAAGTAAGGAAAAGAAGAGGCAAGTCTGGAGGCCACATCCCACCCAGCATCAATGCATTCCACTCCCATTTGGCTCTGGACATGAAAGCCCTCAAATAGGGTATTTGCCAGGATGGCCTCAATTTGCACTCCAAATGTTGCTTGCACATTGGAGCACTCCCACCTGAATACCGAACCCTGATGCTGACTGCTTGTGCAATTAAGGGAATGCAGGGATGGAGTTGGAAGCACCTTCTGTGTCATCTGTCTTCATTTCTTTGCAGGTGAAGTTGCAGGACTGTATCCACCCCTCACCAGGTTGTATCCTCACCTGTATGTTAATGTATTGCTGCTCACACTCTATGTCCCAGGATGAAATCCCAAGATGATGGAGGACTGCCCCCTCAAGATGTGAAGCACCTGATCATCTGGGAACTGAATTCGAGGTAAATTCAAGGGACTCTGCAGACATCCAACACTCACAACACTCCCATGGAAACACACTGCCCGGCAGCTCATGAGGCTGTGTGGTTCTTCAGGAAGCCCTAAACTACTCCAGATTTCAATCTGTCTGCTCCATTGATCTTGCTTTTGTCAAGGTCTTCAGTGACTTCCACATTTCTAATTTTCCTAGGGAAAACAATGGGGAGAATTTTATAAAACACACATAGAAATAAAGCAAATTGTATTTGACTGGTTACAATTATACAGTTGTCTCATTTGATCTATCCCATTGGAAAATCTTAATTATGTAAGTTCCTTAACTGCTTCTGATTGGTTGATATACATTCTGTTTTTCTGTGATATAAACATTAGAAGAAGTAGCTCAAGTTAGTTTTGCTTATGTTTGCAAATCAAGCAAGATTGAAGTTACTTATGAGGCCTAACTTTGTTTTTCATCTAAGAGATTCTTCAGGCCCAGTCTCTATTTTAATTTGTTTCAGCATCAGTTGACCTGTTGTCCTCGATGTGTTTATTTTGTTTGTTTTGATTTTTACCTTTTTATTTTAATATAAAACTCTGATATGGAAAACACACAACACAAGTGTATGGTTTTATTTCTGCCCCACAGATATAAAGCAACAGAATATTGCCAACCAAACTAGTGTTCCAATGCAGATGTCTTGTCCAAATCACCATTCCCTTTAGGACTTTTCACAATACTGAGACATTTGTCTGTGTTATTAGGAAGCCACTCAGTGGCCAATGAAGAAATGAAAACCAAAGACAGTTAGACTAAGAAGAAATACATAATGAATCTAGGTCTCGAAGAAGGCAGGAGTGGAAAGAATCAGGTAAATTCTACATCATTGACAAGGTTTAGTCTCAGAAAAAAGAAATTTCTCTTACTGCAATTAAGAGAAAAGAGATGACAAGACAATTTCGTTCAAACTGTCATTTAACAAACATTTATTAAGCTCCTATTAACTGGCAGTAGTGTAGAAAGCACTAGAGAAAGATTTTAATGGGAAAATAAACTTTACTTGGGCTCTCCTGCTTGATGGACTTAATCACTTTGAAAAAGGAGGAGATGAGGTTGTGGTTCTCAGTAAAAGCTGTTTAGGGAATTCTAGATTTGGACATTTGAAGAGTGAGAACACAATTTCAAAAAGCTACAGTAGAGAAAGCCCTACAGAATCAATATATTTTCTGCACAGGACTCTGGATAGAGGCAAGCCTAGCATTTTGTTTTAAAAACTAACCTTGGAAGTCTTATATCGGACATCACAGTGAATCCAGTTGATTCTTATTTTTAAAATTGCACCTGCCATTGGAGTGATGCCAAAACACACATACCAAATTAAAGCACAAACACCAATAAAACATAACAGGAGCAGAATGCTGCAAACTCAATTGCTTATCAAAAAACTATTAGCTTTAAAATGTTAGCATGTCAGGAAACAATTTCCTTCTACTAACATCAGCTTTGAAGATCAGCTAATCAGAAATACATAGAATTAGAACAGGCAGTGAATTCAATAAAGTAGATCTTGCAGTAAAATAAACTTTGCTCCAGGCCCATGCTGTTGGGATTAGAAAGGCATCATCAGGCACATGTCTGCAGATCAGAGGTCTCAGCCAGTGATAATTCTGGTATTTACAGTCCACCTATTATAACTTAAGTCATCTTTTTAAATATCTTATTTGTTATAATATTTAATTTTCTCTTTAAGAGTGCTGAGCACTTTAGAAATAAACTAGGATGCCAGAACACTTTAGAAATAAACATATCTGAATAAGCTAGCCAGTGGGACTTCTTTTGTGTTTTCATTTCTTTCAGCAGGATTTTTTTTTCTTTAAGTACTTTCCTTCTGTTCTCATAAGTTAATCTGCATTTGTGATTTTGGAATTTTGCAGAGTGGAATGTGATTGCTGAAGTCTTAATCAACATTCAGGCTGACAGAACAGTTGAACAAGCTATTATGTTTTGTGCAGAGAGATAGATTTATTGTAAATGCTCTGGGCTCTCTGAAAAGTTGGGAGAATAGGACTTTGAAACTAATGAGGGTGTCAAAGTTTGGTTTTAGATTCCTGTATAATTGAGAGAACTGCAAAGATGACTTGGGGAAGAGTTATTTATAATATCATTGAATGGAAGTTAAAAAGGACAGTATCTTACTTTAAATATGATATGTTTTGTAATTATTAACTGAATCATAGAATTTGAATTGAATGAGATTTCATAAGGCAATCAGTCTAGTGATTTCCCAATACTGATTTCCAGACAGACATAAGACTGGGATAATATTTTCACTAATTCATAGCAAAATTAAAAAAATAAGATAACAATATAGACAGGTATTCAATGAAGCTAGGTTTATTTGATTTTAATCTTAATATTAAATTCTTTTTATTTTTAGTCCTAAAATACTCTTTCTTCTTTGAGATGACAGATGTATATGGTGAGATGTATAAAGTGCTCTTGGTTAGATTAAATGAAACAATCATTGTTCTTTTGGAAATTGGAGTAGGGCTGATATGAAGCTAGACTAGGAAGCAGGCAGCATTTGGTTTGAAGACCAAGATATTGTTGTGCCTGAGCTCTTTTCTTTTTCTATGGTACTCAATATCCTCATTTTTCTATGCAGTTTACAATGTCATTTTGTTCCCTACTCCGTTCTCTCCTAAATAGAAACCAGCTTTGAAAAAGTATCAGCTTTTAGCCATTTATCCAACTCAAAGGCAAACTGAGAGTGAACTGTAGGTGCTAGAAACCACAATCCACTGCTCTCAATTTTATTTTCTCATGTACGTTAATCTCTCCCTCTCTACCAGCTCAGTATACATATACAACTGTGATCTAAATTCTTATATTGCTTTCATAAATTAGAATTTTTCCCATTGTTTATCCCCCTGCCACCTACCCCTCATTTCTTTTCTCCACTAAACACACAGTACCCACTTTCCTCATTTCTTCCCTCTCACTATTCAGTTCAGTTCAATTTGGTTTTGTTCTCATTTCACTGGAACTGCTTTTATCAAGAACAGCATCACCATTTGTACTATTAAAACTGCTGGTTACTTTACGATGTTCCTCTTACTCCAATTCTCGACATTATTCTGCACATTAGCAACTCTCTGTTCTTCAAACACAGAACTATGCCAAAATTGTCCTATTTTAGAGCCTTGGCAGCTGTTTTTTTTTTCTGCTTTTCAAATGGTTGATCTTTCTGATATATCAAATAAGACTTCCTTGGAGAAATCTTCACTTAGTACCCAAAACACAGTAGTTCTGTGTATTACACCAACCATCACTACTCTCTGTTACTCTCTTTCAGCATCCCCAAATTTCCTTCACATCATTTACAAGTGCTTGTGTCTTTTATTTTTTAACTGTCTCTCCCTGTACATCAAGGTTTATGAAGTCAGGGACCATTAATCCCATATTCATTGTTATACCTCCAGAACCCAGCACAGTGGTTGTTTCATAGTAGTTTTTAAATAAAGATTTGTTGAATAATTTGATGGATAGATGAATGCCAAGAATCCCACAATATTTATTTTTTACTAGCCTCAACTTAAAAACTCATGCTAAGACTTTTATACTTTACCTTTGCAATGATTCTCACATCTTTCTCTTTCTTCTAGTCCTTGCTTCCACTTTCCTTGCCCAGGCCACCATCATCATTAGTTTAACCATTTAATAAAACTCATAACTCACCTCCTGTCTTCTTTTGCTGATCTTCATTTTGTCTTATAACCTTCCTGAAACTTTGATCTTATTTTCCTATGGAAAAGGAAACAAAATAAAAAAAAAACTCCCTTTTGTGCAGACAGTTTCTTCTAAACTTTCTATCCTGGCATTTATGGTCCTTCAAGACCTGGCTTTAGCTGATACCAGCTGTAAGTAATCATAATATCCCATGAATTTGCCTAGCTATTTTTTTTGTGTGTACTTCTCTTTTGAAATTTTGTGACTCAATCTTGTGTTATTACACCATTTAATAGAATGAGAACATGTTGAGGACATATAACATGGTATGTTTTTCTAATCTCAGCACTTAACACAGTTTTTGATACACACAAGCTCTATACATATTTACTGAATAAATCATTGTGTGACCCTCTTCTTGAAGTTCTATGTTCAGTAACAAAGAGAATATAGAATATAAAAACGATTAATTGCAAACTCTATATAGTGTTTGGGTTTAACTAAAACATTGATTTCTGTACATTTTGTTTAAGGCAATGGATATAACTTATTCTCTGTGCTAATATTAAAGATTGTTGTGCATCTGATGCCTGAAGTTTCCTGAGCCAAAAGAGGAAAAATCTTCTCCTTAGAAATTCTTCAACTGAGAGGCCATCCAATCAATTAGAAGACCCTCAGCAAAAAACCTGTTGACGTATGTGGCCTTTTCCACAGAAAGATCTGCAAGATATGAAGAGAACAATAGCCTCAGGCAGTACACTCAGCAGATCAGACTGTAAAATGTGAAAAAACCCACTCTGAACATTTCTAGCATAGGCTGGCTCCCTGCAGGTCCTGATATTGACCCTGAAGCATGCTGCTTAGACTTCCATTGCAGATGAAATAAGTGGCCAAACATGTATGTATGTGTATGTATGCGTGTATTTTTATACACACACACACACACACACACACACACACACACACACACACACACACATATATATACATATGAGACAGAGCCTCCCTTTGTTTCCCAGACTGGACTGGATTTCAGCAGCTCAATCTCTGTGCACTGGAGCCTCAACCTCCTGAGCTCAACTGATCCTCCTGAGAAATTCTCTAGCCTTATCTTCCTGAGTAACTGAGACCACAGGCACACACCACCAGGCCTGGATAATATTTTGTATTTTTTTGTAGAGACAGGGTTTCACCATAGTTTCAAGCTGGTCTGGAACACCTCACTTCAAGTGATCCACCCACCTCAGCCTTGAAAAATGATGGGATTACAGGTGTGAGCCACTGCACCCTACCACACATATTTCTAAATATTTTAAAATATTAATTTTGGCTGAGTGTGGTGTCTCACATTTGTCATTCCAGCCAAGGTGGGTGGATCATGAAGTCTGGATTTCCAGACCAGCCTGGTCAGTGCAGTGAAACCCTGTCTCTACTGAAAAATACAGAAATTAGCTAGGCAGGATGGTGGGTGTCTGTAATCTGAGCTACTAGGGAGGCTGAGGCAGGATAATTGCTTGAACCTGGGAGACAGAGGTTGCAGTGAGCCGAGACTGTGCCAATGCATGCCAGCCTTGGTGACAGAGCTAGACTCCATTTCAAAAAAAAATTAATTTTTACTTGTATCATGCTGCATGAGAACAGTGCAACATAATTAAGGGCAGATGAATAGATAGGAACTTACTTTCATGGATTATTGTTCTTAACCTAGTAGTTTTCAATTTTGAATGCATATTAATGTTACCTGTCAAGCTTTCAAAAGTTCAGATGTCCAGGATCCATTGATCGCCATACATTCTGATTTAATTGGTCTGGGATAGATCCCAGATGTGGTATGCCTTTTGTAAACTCCCCCAGTAAATCTAAGCTTTTTCTATGATTGAGAAGCATTTATACTCATTGAAGGCTGCCATTCTGCTGTAAGTTACTAAGGAATCAAATAATTGATGTAGTTGAGGGGCTTTTTGTTTCATTCTAACATTGATTTTTCTTTTATGAAGCTGTAAGCTTGAGGTTTGAGCACTCCACATTCAACATCTACAGTGAATGCTAGTGAAACCTTACAGTCAGAACGTTCAATAGTATTCCACTAGGTACTAGCTGTTCCAGTTGTATTTGTTAACAGTTAGAAGATGGTGGACATGATGTCCATAATTTTAATCAATCATGGTCTTGTCTCTGAGTAAACAAAGTGCATGACTGATATTTGTGATACTTCATGCTGTATCCCAGGCTATCTTCTTATCTTCTATTTTTTCTTTTTCTTTTTGAGGTGGAGTTTCACTCTTGTTGCCCAGGCTGTAGTGCAATGGCGTGTTGTCATCTCACTGCAACTTCCGCCTCCCAGGTTCAAACAATTCTCCTGTCTCAGCCTCCTGAGTAGCTGGGGTTTCAGGCACCTGCCACCATGCCTGGCTACTTTTTCTGTTTTTAGTAGTGAGGGGGTTTTGCCATTTGGGCCAGGTATATCTGGAACTTCTGACCTCAGGTGATCCACCTGCCTGGGCCTCCCAAAGTGTAGTATTACAGGTGTGAGCCACAGGGCCCAGCCTTCTATTTTCATCTTATACTATGACTGGTTAATCTTCCAGCTTATGCACCTTGAATTATGTTTTAGTCACGTTGATTCCAATAATGCACAAGCTTTTGTGTCTCCAGGTGCTTGCACATGCTGTTTCCTCTGTTTGGACTCCCCTTCCCTTCTTGTCTGCCTAAAACATTCCTACTGACTCTCCTATATCAAGAGCTCTTGATGATGCACATTCTGTATTAGTAAGTAAAATATATGTGTATTTTTGTTATGTAAATTTTTATTGAAAGAATCATCATAAATTTCGTTACATCCTTAAAAAGGGTCTGTGACCCCATAAATATTAAGATTCATTTGTTTCTGCCTTTAGTCAAATGTGACACAATGAAAGGATACTCTGAGACCTCGTTGTTTTCAACTGCCCAAAACAAGTTATCTGTCACAGATATTCTGTCCCCTTTCTCAGTTTTTATGGCACTTTACATATCCCTCCTTTTTTTCTTTTTTCTTTTTTTTTTTTTTGAGATGGAATCTCACTGTGTCACCCAGGCTGTAGTACAGTGGCGTGATCTTGGCTCACTGCAACCTCTGCCTCCCAGATTCAAGTGATTCTCCTGCCTCAGCCTCCCAAGTAGCTGGGACTACAAGCATGTGACACCACACCTGGCTAACTTTTTGTATTTTTACAACAGACAGGGTTTTACTGTGTTAGCCAGGATGGCCTTGATCTCCTAATTGCATGATACCCCCACCTTGTCCTCCCAAAGTTCAGGGATTACAGTTGTGAACCACCATGTCCATCGTACATATCTCTCTTTGTACATCATTTTTATTTGTCTCCCTTTGGACTGAAGGCAGAAACAAGGTCTTATTCACATTTGATCCCAGAACTTAGCACAAATAGATCATTTTAGCTGGGAGAATGTTGACGCTTAAGTCAACTTGCCTGGAATTTAAAGGTTTTCATATACTAAAGTTCTGAGGATACAGTGCTTTCATCTTCTAACTGTTACTCATACATTTCAATTTCTGACCAGTCATTGCCCTTTTTCAGGTAACAATGTGAATACCAAGAAATACAACATTTCTCCATAATAAAATATGAAAATCTTGAGCTGTGATAGTTTGACACAAACAGAATTAGTGTGGTGCTATCTTCTTCTCCAAGATAATTTCTTCCAATACTTAAATTATATGTGTTATAGAAAGAAAAGAAATAAATAAAACTAAGGGGAATAAATTGTTGGCAAAATAATTTAATAAAAAGTCTCAGAAGTTAATGATGCTCAATTTGTAGATTAAAAGGCTAGCACCTAGAAAAACAGAAGAAAATAGACTCATCTCAAGATATATCAGTGTAAAATTTGAGAACGCTGAAAACAGAGAAAATTGTATGTTTCCAGAGGGGCAAAAATAGGTCAGGTACAAAGGATGAGGAATCAGATGATTTAAAAATTTTCAGCACTGGCCAGGAGTGGTGGTTCACGCCTGTAATCCCAGCACTTTGGGAAGCCAAGGCACACTTTGGGAGGCCAAGATGGGCAAATAACCTGAGGTCAGAAGTTTGAGACCAGCTTGACCAATAAGGAGCAACCCAATCTCTACTAAAAATAAAAAATTAGCTGGGCATGATGGCACCTGCCTGTAATCTCAGCTACTCAGGAGGCTGAGGCAGGAGAATCACTTGAACCCAGGAGGTGGAGGTTGCAGTAAGCTGAGATCATGCAATTGAACTCCAGCCTGGCAACAGGAACAAAACTGTACCTCAAAAAAATTTTTTTCAACACCATCACTATAAACCAGAAGGCAATGGAGTTATGCTTTGAAAATTCTAAAGGAAAATGATTTCTGACATATGTTTCTACTTCCACATAGAAAAAAATTAAACGTACAAGTAGAAAACATACATTTTTTGGACATATGACATCTCTAACATTGTGTCTCCCTGTGAACCTATTCTCAAGATGCTACTACAGACTTTTTCCTACCAAAAGGAAAAAGTAAACTAAGAAAGAGAAAGACATGGAATGCCAAAAATAGGAGACATAACGCAAGAGAATAAATTCTTAAAAGTGTGGTGAAGGAAAATCCTAGGATGAGAAAATTGAGTCAGGCCTAGAGGGCAACCATTCAAGACTGTTGCAGGGAAACAGCCAACAAGGAAGTATTCTTCAAGGTGAGAGCATTTATAGAACAATTGAAGTGAATAAAAGTCTCGATATGAGATTTTAAATTTGTAAAGAATTTTCCATTGAGTTAACACAAATTAAAATAAAATTAAGTTGAAGTTGAACAACAAAATTAATAACATAAATATTTCTCAGCTCCCTATCATTGATTATCATGATAGAAATTTAAAAGTACTTAGAACTTAATGATATTGAAAATATTACAAATGAAATTTGTGAGTAGCAGGAAAAGTGATATTGCAATAGGAGTTTATACACTTAAATGTTTCTACAACTTAAAAATTAATGTACTAGGTGTTTACATAAAGAATTAGAAAAGAAACAACAGAATCAATTCTGAAAAACTAAAGTGCAGGGATGATGATGTAGAGAAAATTAGTAAAACATACAAAGATAATATTTGGTTGTTGGAGAAACATAATAAAAGATGCAAACCTCAGGCAAGTTAAGAAAAAAAAGGGAGAAAGCACAAATAAAACTAAGAATTAAAAAGATACATAACAATAGATACAGTACAGATTAGGAAGCTAATAAGAAAATATGGACTATAAATCATGCTGCTATAAAGACACATGCACACATATGTTTATTGCGGCATTATTCACGATAGCAAAGACTTGGAACCAACCCAAATGTCCAACAATGATAGACTGGATTAAGAAAATGTGGCACATGTACACCATGGAATACTATGCAGCCAGAAAAAATGATGAGTTCATGTCCTTTGCAGGGACATGGATGAAATTGGAAATCATCATTCTCAGTCAACTATCGCAAGAACAAAAAACCAAACACTGCATATTCTCACTCATAGGTGGGAATTGAACAATGAGATCACATGGACACAGGAAGGGGAATATCACACTCTGGGGACTGTTGTGGGGTGGGGGGAGGGGGGAGGGATAGCATTGGGAGATATACCTAATGCTAGATGACAAGTTAGTGGGTGCAGCGCACCAGCATGGCACATGTATACATATGTAACTAACCTGCACAATGTGCACATGTACCCTAAAACTTAAAGTATAATAATAAAAAATAAATAAAAATAAATAAAAACTAAAAATAAATAAATTAATTAAATTTAATAAAATATAACAAAAAAGAAAATATGATTAACACTTTGTGCTACGAATCTGAAAACTTAGATCAATAGATTTTTATAAATATATAGCTAAGAAAAATTGATACAAGAATAAGTATGTAATCTGAATAGTCTCATAAATGTTAAAGGAAATAAAGGATTATTCCTACAGATAAAACACTAGGCCCAGATTTATTTCCCCAGACAGAGCATTTCAACATATGTAAAGAATTGTATAAAATAAAAAAGGGAAAATCCTAAACTTATTCTGTGAGGCAAGCAGAACTTTGATACCAATGCCACATAAATTGAGTATACAAAAAGATATTTTTTAAAAAGTCCATTCTCATTCATGAAATAAATGGTAAAATCCCAAAAGTGGATTCCTTGAGGGTTAGGATGAAATTTGCTACTGCCAGATCGTGCTATTCTGGGGTAGCTCACACACAAATTGATGTTTTGAGTTTGTCTGTAATACCCAAGCAATATGGAACTGGCTTGACAATCTGTGTGATGGCCAGCCTGTGGCCATGACTTCTCAGGGACACAATATTTTTTTCTCTTTTCCTCCTTATTCTGCTCAGCTCCAAGACAACTTTGGCCAAAGTTCCTTGAGCTTGGAAACAGGAATGGGTTTACTTCTGTTTCACCCTTACCATGAAGATACTATCCTATGGGATTCCAGATCCATTTGGAGAGAGTTGGCTATTAAACTCTTTTCATAAGTAGGCCCTGGGCCTTGACTACAGTCTTTCTTGAGATATGAGGCTAAGAGTTCCTTCCTGGCCTGCCAGTTTTTGACATGATTAATGTTCTTTCCATTCAGAATTTTTAATTGTTTGGGAGGTGATATAGTTTCATGTGCCTCCCTTCAAATCACAACTTCAATTGTATGTCCCAGAATTCTCACGTTTTGAGGACGGGACCCAGGGAGAGGTAATTGAATCATGGGGGCTGGTCTTGCTCGAACTATTCTTGTAATAGTGAATAAGACTCACAGGATCCAATGGGTTTATCAGGGGTTTATGCTTTTGCTTTTTCCTTATTCCCTCTTGCCACCACCATGCAAGAAGTGCCTTTATTCCTATGCCATGATTCTGAGGTCTCCCTAGCCATGTGGAACTGTAAGTCCAACTAAACCTCCTTTTCTTCCCAATTTCAGATATGTCCTTATGAACAGCATGAAAATGAACTAATACAGGAGGATTGGTCCAAATAACCTGAGCTTCCAATATAGAATGTGGAAGTTGGTGAAGTTTTTATCATTTCTGTGGCAAATTTTAGTAGTGGGTATTATTTTCCTAATTATTTTTTGTTCTTTTCACCTTTGTTTCTCATAGGGTACTCTCGCTCTGTAGCCCAGGCTGGAGTGCAGTGGCACAATCTTGTCTTACTGAAACCTCAGCCTCCTGGGTTGAAGCAACTCTCCTGCCTCAGTCACCCGAGTAGCTGGGATTACAGGCATGCATCACCATGCCCAGCTAATTTTATATATTTTTAGTAGAGATGGGCTTTCACCGTGTTGGCCAGGCTGGTCTCAAAATCCTGACCTCAGATGATCTGCCCACCTAGGCCTCCTAAAGTGCTGGGAATACAGGCATGAGCCACTGTGCCCAGCTGACTCCAATATTTTTACCTAAATGCTGTTGCCTTATTTTATTTTATTTATTTTATTTTATGAGAAAGGTTCTCACTCTGTCATGCAGTTTGGAGTGCAGTGATGAGATCTGGGCTTACTGCAACTTCTGTCTCCCAGGTTCAGGCAGTTCTCCTGCCTCAGCCTCCTAAGTAACTGGGACTACAGGAAAGTGCCACTAGACCTGGCTAATTTTTGCATTTTTCATAGAGATATGTTTGCCATGTTGCCCAGGCTGGTCTTGAACTCCTGACCACAAGTGACCTGCCCACCTTCGCCTCCCAAAGTGTGGAAATTACAGCCATGAGCCACCACGTCTGGCTTGGAATTGCCATTTTTTGACATAGAAAATCTCTGGAGGTAAAAGTTTGGTTTATGGGAGCACCTGAGCTCAGTTTGGCCCATAAGTTTGGGATACCTATTATTTACTGGCAGTGATGGCATGTTGTTAATGTACAATATGTTCATGCACATAGCATATGTATGTGCTCATCAGATATTTTCAGGTGAAAAATAGTCAGTCCCATAGTTTGAGCCATTATAACAATTTCTACCCAGGGATTTCACAGTCAGATTCCAGTTCTGGGTAACAGTGATTAACATAATGGTTATTAATGAGAAGAGATTTTGAGATGTCCAGC
This sequence comes from Homo sapiens, assembly GCF_000001405.40. Classification (NCBI taxonomy): domain Eukaryota; kingdom Metazoa; phylum Chordata; class Mammalia; order Primates; family Hominidae; genus Homo; species Homo sapiens. The sequence continues at coordinate 21,618,585 of NC_000024.10, forward strand.
CATGTTTAGATGTCAGTGCCTTGAAGGGATGGGTTTGGCATATTAATAAGAAAGAGGGCATTGGACTGCATACTAAGAAACATAATGAATTGTTTTTCTTGTCCTCTATAACATGAAAGGTCAATTAGAGATATAGAAACAATTGAATATTTCACAGCATGGCTTGACATTTCACTGAACTTTTATCCTTTTAACCATGTACAAAGTTTATTAAATATGCAAAGGTAGGACTGCTACAGTAAGAAAGAGGAGGAGTCAGAGGTCACAATCCACAGCAAGGTGACTGTCTCTTGTGGATGGCGCCCTGAGAGATGAATTCGAGTGAGCATCAAGTTTCAGATTGCCAACAAGGATCAAGGAGAATGAAGCTATCAACAGTCAACATTACTGGATTAATTGAAATAAATATTGACAGAGATTTTGTTGGCTTTCCAGCAAATTGAGTACAGATAAGGTAACCACTTATCAAATTTCACACCTATGAAATTACATAAATTTATATGTACATATGCAAATTCACAGTGTGCAAATATGTGTCTATATCTAAAGATATACAAATCCATTGACCAACAGAAAGTTAGAAATTATTCTCCCATTTTACCATTCCCTTTCCAGGAATTTTGTCACAAGTACAGTTTTTCTATATGTTTGAAGCCTACTCCCTGGAGGCATGAAATATATGGATACAGTAAAGCTATGAGATATCATAGTGTTTCTATCAGAGAAAAAAATAACACTGGTGTTACAAAAGATCCATTGTGAGGAGAAAGTTACACTTCACATTACAACAAATACAGAAGTACGATTTCATCAAAGGCTGAAATCAGTCAATAAAATTTGTATTTAATGCTTTATTTAAAATACTTAATTTCAAAAGTATTACCTAAATAGAATAAGGGTATTGGTAATAAATAATTTTGAAGAATTCCCTTTAATATGTTGATTATTTAACATGTAACTAAAATACTAAAAGTTACTGTACAATGTAGTTTCATGAAGCATTCTTTATGGTTTTCATAAAATTAATAGTCAACGGAGTATTTTGAGACTGAGGAAGTTCCATATATTATTGTATTGCACTTTCACTTTATTAATTGCTTTCATGTTGTAACTGATGGAATTAAAAATATTTATACTTACACATATACAAATGTTGTATTTTTGTTCATGTTTTCTAGTGAGATAAAGTTGCCAATAATTTTATCAATATAGGAAAATTTTTATAAGATCAAAGTTCTTAACTTTCTTTTCTTTTGAAATTTTATATTTCAGTCTAGATATGAGATGGAATTGGCTGTGATCATTCTTTGATTTCACTATGATTACTGAGTTTCTGATACAGTGTTGGGAACTTATAGACTTTAAATCTTGCTTTCTTCTTCTTCATCTCCTATTGGAACTGTATATGTGATTTCTGCAGTAATGGGCATTGTTATCTGACGTATGGTTGCTGAAAGATACAAACAGAAATGGAATTCTTAGTTTCAGTGAATCTTTAGGAACAGACAAGTAAAAGTGAAGGATGATTATTGTATGAATGTTAGTAAACTGTTTATCACAGAGTTACAATAAGGGTGAAAATAAATTTAAAAATACATACCTCATCCAAAACATGAGGTAGTAAAAATAAAAAAATTAATTTGACAGAAAGAACAGTTTAAAAGTTGTGATTATTTCTGGTGAGAGCAAGTAGCTCAGAAACTATGAGGAAGTCCTGCAAAGCTACATGATGGATTTGCAAGTGAGGATGGGGAGCCTGGTTCTGGGGGAGGGTTCCAAGTCCTGGTCAGGTTGAGGTCCTCCTGGGGCTCAGGGATGTCTCAGCGGGAAAGCCGGGAAGGGGAAAATGCATGCTTCACCCCAGCTAGCAGGCCACCTCAACCCACCTAGATGAAATTGTCCATTGACTGTCCTCTTTCTCCTTCTTGGATAGGCAGGTGGAGGAACTCAGCCACCCTGAGTACAAGTGGCAAGAAGAAGTTTGCCTTTCATCACAACATTTACTTCCACAATGAAGTGATCATTAAGGAGTATTGCATTGGAATTCTCAATAAGGAGTGCCTCCCGGCATGGTAGAGGGGATGGTATGTGGGAAGCTAGGCCTGGCATGAGCCTTCCTGACTCCTTCCCCTCCAGGATACAGGGTGACTACCTCCACTACAGTCCGGTTGTTCTAGGGTCATGCAAGTGAAGGCCTCAGTTTCAGGCAGGACACAACCTAAGTGAGCTTCTTCAGCTGGTTGACTGATGGTGATTGACCAGGGTATGGCAGGATTGCTGAAGTGGGGCAGCTGTGGGACATCATAGGTAAGGAGCTGGTCATTCCTTGGCATCAGAGGAATTGGCTTTGAACCAGAACCTAACCTGTCACGACTACTTTGCCCAGTCCCCCAGATCATCAGCCAGGGCCCGTGGCTCAATCTCATGCAGCACTACCCAAGGGAGTTAGGCCCTCAGAGAGGGAACAGAGAAGAGGCCAGGGAAGCAGCCCAGGGCTGGGGGATGAGAGGCCTGTGGGTCCTGGAGCCAGGATACATAGCGAAGCCAAGGCTCAAGGAGGAGACTGAGGTAAGTAAACTCAGGCTATTCATCGCTCAGGGGGAAAGGCCCATCAGGGAACTGTAGCACCCACATTTCAGTATTGGGGAACCCTAAGCTACTTAAGAGGTGTAAGTAACTAAGGTCAATGGGAGAGAAGTCAGGCCCAGGGTGCTCTCACCCTCCACACAAATGCCAACCTGAGGCCCTTCTAGGTCTACATCTTCCCAGAATGGCTCTCCCAGACCTGTCAAATTCTGTGTCAATGACTCCTGACATGCTGTTTCCCCTCTGCCATCCAGACGACACAGGTTTCACAGGGGAAGAAATGTGAAGAGATGGCAAAATGGAAGGGGACCTTCTGTGTGTGTTCAGGAAGGCAATCTGGCTGGACATTAGGACCCACCTAAGTATTAGTGAGGACACCAAATGTCTCTCAGACCTGAGCATGTGCACACAAAAACATATTGTCTAAATGGCATTGACATCAATACTACCTAAGTGATCTACAGATTCTGTACAACCCCTGTAAATGTATCAGTGACCCACTTTTCATAGAAAAACCATCTGAGAATCCTAAATTTGCTATGAAATGGTAGAAGATCCTGAGACCCAGAACAATCCAGTAAAAAGCACAAAGCTGGAGGCTTCATACTACCTAACTTCACAATATGCTACAAAGTTTTATGCACCAAAATAGAACAGCACTGGCCGACAAGCAGAGACATGAGCTAATGAAAAACAATCTGGTCCCAGAACTAAGTCACCGCATTTGCAGCTCATGACCTTATCCCAAAAAAGCAAGAATGCACAATGCAAAATCAGGTATCTGCTATAAACTAGGTTGGGGAAAACCTGAATATCCACATAAAGGATTTTAAGAGTAGATTATGTCTCACAGAACTCCAATGTCAGACAAGAAACGACAAAAATACCAGAAGAAATCGCAAGGAAGAAGCTCCATGACATCGGTGTGGGCAATGGTGGTCTCAAAGTGACTGCAAGAGCACAGTAAACACCTTCAAAAATAGATAATCGGGTTATGTCAAGCTAAGGTGCTTCAGTACACCACAGGAAACTGAAGAGAGGGAAGGGACATCCTACAAGATGGGTGAAATTATTGAATCACCATACATCTGTTAATGGGTGAATATTTACAGCACATAAGGAACTCCAACAACTCAATAGCATGAAAACAAATGAGCTAAGGGTATGAATACTCATTTGTGAAACTAAGACATACAGTTGCCCAGAAGACACAGTAAAAAGCACCCATCATCAGTAATACAACAGGAAAATGCAAATCAAAACCACAATGAGATTTCATCTCACTTCAATCAGAATGCCTACATGAGTATATAATAAAAAACCCAAAGTTTTCACTTACCCTTTTTAATAGCTCTCCCAGGGGGCACATAACTGAGAAGTCATAGTGTAAACCTTCATGATTTTTCTTTAAATATACATTGACATATTCATACAAATATGCATGAATACCTAAAATATATTGCCATGAAAATAAGAACATTTTATGAGATCCAAAATTCTGGAGGACTAAGCAGGGAGAAAAAAGATACATGTGTTCATGAAAGGAGTCAAACTCTGCAAAATATTTAAAGAGATTTTTTCTGAGCCAAATATGGGTGACCAATGACCCATAACACAACCCTTCTCAGAAGATCCTCAGAACATGTGCCCAAGATGGTCTGGGAACAGCCTAGTTTTCTGCATTTTAGGGAGACACGAGATATCAATCAAATACATGTAAGATGTACATTTGTTTGGTCCAGAAAGGTGGGACAACTTGAAGTGAGTGGTGGTGCGGGGCTGGGCTTTCAAGTTATAGGTATATTTAAATACGTTCTGATTGGCAGTTGGTTGAAAGAGTTATTTTCTGTAGACATAGAAACAATGGATAGGAATGACTGGGTTGCAATAAATAATAGGGAGCATAGAGACAAAGTTTATCAAGATGAGGAAGACTCCATGTGGCAGACTTAAAAGAGAATAGGTGGTAAATATTTCTTGTCAAACTTAAGGTCTGTGTTGATGTTAATGATGGTCAACTTTCCCTAAATTTCAAAAAGGTGGAGTGTATAATGAAGCATGTCTATCCTTCTTTCCTCTCAGGACCTGAACCAATTTTAAAAGGCCCTTGGCCAAAAGGAGGGGTCCATTCAGATCCCTGTGGTGGGCAGGTTTGAGGGGAAACTTAAAATTTTATATTTGATTTGTAAGTCTTTCATTTCTGTCTACAAAAATGTACGCTATTAAACAGTTAGCCTAAGAGAAAAAATGGGGATTCTTGAACACAGAAAAATAGAATATTACAGAACCAACAATTTGCCAAACCAAAAACAAAAGCTATAAAATAATCATTCTTCATCAGTTCATTAAATACTATGTAATTGATTCCAGTCTTGCTTGATTTTGTATTAGCAGTTCCATGAGACCATCAGTTTCTCCACTAGAGTTCTGGATATCATTACTCAGTCCCATAGTATAAACATAAAATTATTGAAACTTTGACATCAGATGCTTGTGCCCAGAGGACGCATTACAGTTGTTTCCATCGGTATCAGAGGCAGTGCCTTGTTGGAGACAAACATTCTGATCTCTAGCCAGTGCAGATGCAAAAGGAAAAGCATGATATTGAAATAATAACTACCTGTAAATTAGAAAAGGTGCAAAATGGCCATGGTTAAAAATCTAATGACATTCATTATGTTACAATTAGCAAGAAAATTTGTTTTCTTCTGTGGCAAACAACATTTAAAATAATGACTAGAATTATGACTCAAGATATTATCCTGGGACATATAATAGATAGGTCATTCACAAATTTCCAGGAATTCCATGCAGCTTCCAAAACAAATAACATTTTACCCAAATATATTTACCAAAATATAACCTAGGGAATATTAATCATATTTTCTTATTTGTATATTGTGTATACTGCTCATTTGAAACTGTGCCAAGACCAGCTTAGCTGGGGAGACCCTAACCCGGTGGCACTACAGGAAATAAAGACACACACACAGAAATCTAGAGGTGTGAAGCAGGAAATCAAGGGTCTCACAGCATTCAGAGCTGAGAGCCTCGAACAGAGATTTACCCACATATTTATTAACAGTAAGCCAGTCATTGGCATTGTTTCTATAGATATCAAATTAACTAAAAGTATCCCTTATAGGAAATGAAGGGATGGGCTGAATTAAAGGAATAGGTTGGGCTAGTTAATGGCAGCAGGAGCATATCCTTAAGGCACAGATCAGTCATGTTATTGTTTGTGGCTTAAGAATGCCTTTAAGTGGTTTTCCACCCTCAGCAGGCCAGGTATTCCCTGCCCTCATTTCTGTAAACCCATAACCTTCCAGCATGGGCTTTATGGCCATCATGCAAATGTCACAGTGCTGCAGAGATTTTGTTTATGACCAGTTTGGGGCCAGTTTATGGCCAGATTTGGGGGGCCTGTTCCCAACATGCCCCCTTCTTTGATTTTCAAATTGATAAAAGCAAAGTCAGCTTTGTCATGGTGAGCTACTTCTTGCAGAAGTCAGAATCCACATCTGCAGACTATATACAGAAAAACAACATAGATTAAAAGCACAATCATCATTAAAATCACAGAGCTTCCCAGTGTTTTTATCCATTTTAATGGGTTACTAGCTGCGAATCTGTCTGCAGCTCCTTTAAGCACTCCAGATCCTGGCATTAAGGTCAGGTGTGCCTGGGATGTTTTAAATATTTGTACTTTTAATTTTGCAATATCCAAAAACAAGTTTGTAGAATGTCCTTTTAGATACTATTTTTATGGTTTCCCAAATCTTGATCTTATTAAGAGCTACTAATAGTTTCTGTAAATCCTTATGTTTAGCTTCTACAATGGGCCATGTCATTTGAGGTTGAGGTACCACTATACTACCATGGTTCCAGATAATAGGAACTCTTGCAGTACGTCTTATCATTTCTACCATCTGATCATTTTGTTCAGACAAGCTGAACATAGTGTAGCCATGGCACACAGACTGAGAGGTGCAATTCAAGCTAAACATCTCCTTAGGGGACCAATCAATCATGATTCCATAGGAATCATTGTGCAGCACCTCTGCCTCTTCTGCAAAGCAATCTTCGTAAACAAGTAGGTTCATTATTTTTGGCCACATTCTGTTTTATTTACAAATAGGTTTTTGAAGGTGGTATGCCTCAATTATAGGAGCAGATTTATTATGGTAAATACTGAGATCAGAAAGCATGTGCTACCGTGTCATAGAGTGATTATATTCAGGCATAAGTACCAGCCAGGATTGATAAATATGCCCAATAAGAATAATTGTTCTCTGTCTCAACCCTTGTTGAAGGAATACTCATGGCAGTGGTGATAACTGCTATCATAGCTACCATTAAATTACTTGTTGTGACTGGTTGTCCCGCTTTCCTCAGGTTTTCTTCTGCCATCAGTGACAGCTTCTTGATCTGTCCCCAGGTGGTTGACTGTGTTCAATGGGTGTTGCTCATGACAGTTGGGGTCCTCCTCAGCATCAACCTCAATATGGCTGCAACTGAGGGGTCCTCAGGATCCTCCCAGAGTCTGGTTCATGATAGGGATTCAGGTGTCTTGATGGTGTCCTAATCGGCTGTTGATTTTAGTCTGGAAAAACACAAGCATAACCTCTACCCCAAGTTATTATTTTACCTATTTCCCAACTTCTTATTTTTGGATCTCTCCACCCAATCAGTTGTTCCACTTCTGTCTTTGCAACCAGTTTCTGTAGATGATGTTCAGCTGCTGATAACATCTGGCCTTTGGGCAGGCTCAAAAATTTTAAAGTTAATAATGCTAGATTTTGTTGCATCTGTGGGGTTCCATATTCTCTATTTCCCCCTTTCTGCCTTTGCAACTGCTGTTTTAGGGAAAGATTTATTCTTTCCACTATGGCTAGTCCTTGATAATTGTATGGGATACCAGTAATGTGCTTAATATTCCACATAGAGAAAAATGTAGCTAGGGTTTGGATAGCATAGCCTGGGGCATTATCTGTTTTAGTAGAAGCTGGAATGCCCATCACCACAAAACACTGCAAAAGGTGATGTTTAACACAGGCAGAAGATTCACCTGATTTGCACATAGCCGAGAAAAAGTGAGAAAATGTGTACACACATACATGTACATAAGCTAGTCTCCCAAACGAGGGTGTATGTGTGACATCCATTTGCCAAAGACAGTTAGGTTCCAATCCTCAAGGATTAACTCCTGTAAAAGATAAGGAATGTACCAATTGGCAAGTTGGGCATTGCTGGATAATAGTTTTAGCTTATTTCCAGGTAATGCTGTATCTGTGTTTGAGACCAGAGGCATTAACATGGGTTAAACTGTGAAAGTGTCTAGCATTTGAGACTGGAGGCATTAACATGGGTTAAATTGTGAAAGTGTCTAGCATTAGATATTGCATTAGCAACTAGGTGGTCAGCCTTTTGATTCCCTTCAGTTAAAGGTCCTTTAAGAGGTATATGAGCCCTAATGTGAGTGATGTAAAAAGGGTGTATTCTACTTCTAACTGTTGTTTGCAATTGGGTAAATAAAGTCATCGGTTCTTTATCTGTATGAAATCATAACTAAGCATTTTCAATTAACTGTGTGGAATGAACCATGTATGAAGAATGAGAAATCACATTAATAGGCATTTCAAAAGCAGTAAATATCTCAATTACAGCTATAAGCTCTGCTTTTTGAGCTGAAGTATAGGACATCTGCAAATTTTGCTTTTTGAGCTAGAATAAGAAGCTTTACCATACTAGACCCATCTGTAAAACAATGAAAACACTTTGCAGTATACAGGTTGTTTACCACAGGAATTGTAAATGCAAACCGTTCACAGTCTTGCTCAGCTAAAGGGATAGAAAAGAAACAGTCTTTTCAATCTGGACTATTGAAGGCCAATCTTTTGGAATTATAGCAGGAGAAGGCAATCCTTGCTGTAATGCTCCCATAGGTTGTATAACTGAGTTGATGGGTCTTATGTCAGTTAACATTCTCCATTTACCTGATTTTTTCCTAATTATGAAAACTAGAGAATTCCAAGGGGAAAAAGTTCAAGCTATGTGCCCATTTTCTAATTGTTCAGTAACTAATTTCTCTAAAGCCTCCAGTTTCTCTTTATTTAGCAGCCATTGTTCTATCCAAATTTGCTTGTCTCTTAACCACTTTAAAGGTATAGCTTCTGGAGGCTTAACAATGGCCACCATCAAAAATGGTATCCTAAACTTTAGCGAGAACTTTGCCTTTCCGCTTGAAGCAGTTTTTTCAAAACTTCCGTTTTTTTTTTTTTCTACTCTCTTACCAGGGGCATATCCCATTTCATGCATTGCATGTTGACTTTCAGGGCTATATAATTGTTCTGAAATTAGAACTTGTGGTCCCCATTGTTGTAATAAATCTCTTCCCCATAAATTTATAGGTACAGAAGTTATAATTGGTTGAACAGTCCCAGGTTGTCCACTGGGCCCTTCACAATGTAAAATAGAGCTACTTTGATATACTTCAGGGGCTTTACCAACTCCAATTATGTTAAATTGAGCTGGTTGAATTGGCAGTCCAGACAGCCAGTGCTGTAGAGAAATGACTGAAATGTCCACTACTGTATCTACCAAACCTTTAAATTTCTTTCCCTCAATAGTTATTTCACAGGCAGGATGTTTATCAGCAATTTGATTTACCCAATAAGCTGCTTTGCCTTGTTTATTTGTGCTTCCAAATCCTTCTGTTCATTTAATTTCAAATTTTCCCATTCTCACATATGGCACAATCAGGAGCTGTGTTATACACTCTCCTGGCTCTGCTTTCCAGGGAACAGAAGTAGATATAATAATTTAATTTCCCCATTTATCAGGGGAAATTCAGCCAGATATCAGGCAAAATTCACCCCCAATATTTCACGTAGGTTCTTTTCTGTTTTCCCTAAGTGTCAGCCAGTCTGAGAAATAAAGGGACAAAGTACAAAAGAGAGAAATTTTAAAGCTGGGTGTCCGGGCAGGACATCACATGCTTGCAGGTTCCGTGATGCCCCCTGAGCCATAAAACCAGCAAGTTATTATTAAGGATTTTCAAAAGGGGAGGGAGTGTACAAATAGGGTGTGGGTCACAGAGATCACATGCTTCACAAGGTAATAAGATATCAGAAGGCAAATGGAGGCAGGGTGAGATCACAGGACCACAGGACTGGGGCAAAATTAAAATTGCTCATGAAGTTTCAGGCATGCATTGTCATTGATAACATCTTACCAGGAGGCATGGTTTGAGAGCAGACAACCGGTCTGACCAAAATTTATTAGGCAGGAATTTCCTCATCCTATTAAGCCTGGAAGCACTATGGGAGACTGGGGCTCATTTCTTCCCTACAGCTTTGACCATAAAAGATGGCCACCCCCCAAAGTGGCCATTTTAGAGGCCTACCCTCAGGGATGCATTCTCTTTCTCAGGGATGTTCCTTGCTGAGAAAAAGAATTCAGCGATATTTTTCCCATTTGCTTTTGAAAGAAGAGAAATGTGTTTCTGTTCTGCTGGCTCACCGGTGGTCAGATTTTAAGGTTATCTCTCTTGTTCCCTGAACATTGCTGTTATCCTGTCTCCCAAATTCTCGACCTCTGGAGGCTGAGGTACAAACGGTAACATTTATTGGAAACTCTAGTCCATGAGGAAAGTCTTCATTTCAGAACGTCATTTTTGCTAGGCATTTTTTTTTCATCCAACGAAACTTACCCCCAAGCAGTATTGTTACCTTGTCTGTTCCTCAGGTAGAGATAAAAAGTAGTAATTATACCACACAGAATCACATGATTATGAGAAAAGCTATTATATGAAACACATGATAGAGTAGAACTTACATATTTTACTGTTCATATTTTTTTGTGCTTGTTTTCCATATGCGTGTTTTTTAGCGAAGTGTGTGTTCCACTATTTCTTCATTTTGTAATTGGATTGTTTGTCTTTTATGTTGTTGAGTTATACAATTTCTTTATACATTGTGGATAACACACTGTTGTCACATATATCATGTGTGAATCTTTCTTTCTGTGGTGTGTCTTTTCACTTTCTTGTCAGTGTCTTTTGTTCCACAAAAGTTTTTAATTTGAGGAATTTATTTCTTTATTTGCCTGTGATTTTAGTATCACATCTAAGAAATTACTGCTAAATTCAAGGTTATGAACATTTATCCCTATGTTTTCTTCTAGAGTTTACATTTTTACCTCTGTTTACATATTAAACTTTTTGAACCATTTTGAGTTAATTTTTGAGGCTTCTGAAGCATTTTGAATTAACTTTTCTACATGTTATGAGGATAGAGTACAATTTATTTGTCTGAATTTTAGTAGTCAGTGGTCTAACACCATTTGTTGAATTTAATGGTCTTGGCTACATGTCAAAAATCAATTGACTATAGAGGTATTCTTGGACTCAACATTCAGTTCTATCGATCTATATGTTTGTCCTTATGCTAGTATTATGGTCTTTTTATTACTGTTCCTTTGTAGTAATATTTGAAATTGAGATCCAAGTTGGTTTTTGTTTTCAAGAATATTTTATCTACTCAGAATGCCTTGAAATTTATATGAATGTTATGACTGGCTTGCCCATTTCTGCCAAAAGAATTTTGGTGTTTCATAGGAATCACAGTGAATTTGTAGATTGCTTTGTGTATTATTGCCATCATACAAAATATCACCTTTAATCCAGAAACATGGAGTGTCTTTACATCTATTTAGGGTTTCTGAAATTTATTTCAGCAATATGTTATAATTTTTCATGTCTAAGTCTTGCACCGTGGTTAAATTTAAGCTTAAAATATTATTACCACTGATTTTGTTGTTGTTTGCGGAAGCGTCTCAGTCTCTGGCCCAGGTGGGAGTGTGGTGGGCGGTGTGCTCACCGCAGCTTCAAACTCTTTGGCTCGAGCAATCCTTACACCTTTCCCTCCCAAAGAACTGGAATTACAGGCATAAGCCACCACACCACACCTGGCCTTTTTTTTTTTTTTTCTGTTTTGAATGTTGCCAAGGATGTGTTGCTTTACAGTCAATAAAAATATAGTACTTTGAATTGCCCAAAAGGTATAATGTACAAGAACTCTTAAGTCATATAGTTGACTTGTTGACCATCTGGATACAGTTCAGTTACTTCTTCAAAAATTGTACCTAGTAACATTCCAAAATTATTTTTTTTAAGTTCTTAACTTGTAGCAATAAACAAAATGTCAAGACTAGACATTTTTATTGTATAGTATTATTATTATTATTGAGATGGTATCTTGCTCTGTCACTCAGGCTGGAGTGCAGTGGCATGACCTCGGCTCACCACAACCTCTGTCTCCAAGGTTCAAGCAATTTGCCTGCCTCAGCCTCCCGAGTAGCTGGGATTACAGGGGCCTGCCATCCTGCCTGGCTAATTTTTGTATTTTTAGTAGAGATGAGGTTTCACCATGTTGGCCAGGCTGGTATCGAATTCCTGACCTCAGGTGATCCATCCACCTCGGCCTCCCAAAATGCTGGGATTACATGCCTGAGCCGCTGCTCCAGGCTGACACTTTTAAGGAATACTGAAGTTTATTTAAAAGAAAATAAAAATTTCAAATCTTATTCCTTTTTTTGAGACAGGGTCTCTCTGTTGCCCAGGCTAAAGTGCAGAGGTGCCATCATGGCTCACTGCAACCTCTCACTCCCAGGCTCAGTTAATCCTTCCTCTTTAGCCTCAGTCACTATACCTGGTTGATTTTTTTGTGTGTATTTTTTGTAGAGTTCCCACTTGGCCTCCCAAAGTGCTGGGATTATTGGCATTGATAAAACATTTAATATGTTAGGGTTAGATAAAAATCAACATTTTGGCTAAGGTATGAACATTTTTAAAATGCAGTTATTCATTTATGCCTAATTTTCAGCATTTTTATGTTATCAATTCTCATTTTAAGAGTCATATACAAAGCATAAGGCAAACCCATTTATGAGTTGCATATTTGTTTCACAGTTTGTGAAAATGTCCTTAGTTTGCTCATATTGCAAACACATTTCAACTCTGCTATGCAAATAACAAAAGGCAACCTTATTTACAATTAATTTTATAGTTACATTGCATACAGGGAATGCACTGTCTAGATGAAAAATAGCATCTCAACTACAGGTCTTAAACACTGAAAAGAGCTAACAGCTGGCCGGGCTCAGTGGCTCACACCTGTAATCCCAGCACTTTGGGAGGCCAAGGCGGGGTGGATCATGAGGTCAAGAGATCAAGGCCATCCCGGCTAACATGGGGAAATCCCGTCTCTACTAAAAATGCAAAAAATTAGCCGGGTGTGGTGGCAGTTGCCTGTAGTCCCAGCTATTCGGGAGGCTGAGGCAGGAGAATGGCGTGGACCCAGGAGGCAGAGCTTGTAGTGAGCGGAGATTGTTCCACTGCACTCCAGCCAGGGTGACAAAGTGAGACTCCACCTCAAAAATAAATTGACAGCTTATTATAATTTATTTTATTATATCAATTCATTTTATTTATATACAATCAATTGTATTTACATGCAATCTAGAAAGTTCACAGCCATCAGCAGTTCTAGTGCAGCTTCAGGTAAAATGGGAATTTAGGAATCTCTGTGGAACTGTACATTCAGTGAAATATTTAGGTAAAATATGTGCATACTTTTGGCTGCACTTGTGAAGGGATGTCTCTCAAATTGACCTCAATGCTTTCCTCCTCAGAAAAATGACCTGGATCACTCAAACGGGTTTCATTGTTGCTGAGGTTTGTGCATGTTCTCCTTTTACAACAAATTTATGACTCAGGATATATCTGTTTGATATCATGGCATTAGGGCTTTCACAAGCATTGTAGGTTTTCTCTTCTTCATCCATTATGTTTTTAAGTAATTCTACTTGAATCCTCAGGAACTTGAATAGTTTTTGTTAGCCCCACAGCCACTGCAGCCCAGGACCGAATGTAGCAACACAGCCTCTGCTCCAAGGCCACCTTCCATGCCCATCTACCTGCCCCTGTGGGTTTTAGAGCAGTTGGAGTAATCTAGTCCTGTAAGTTTTAATTTGTTTACAAGATTTCATAATTTATTGTTGGTTCCTTATGATTTTATGTATATAAGATTATGAGATCTATGAGTAGAAAGTTTTACTTTTGTCTTTCACATATGAATATGTTGGTATATATTTGTCTTTTCTAATTGTTCTGGATGGAAGTTCTAAAACAATGTTGAATACAGTGATGAAAGTGGGCATCAGTGCTACATTCCTAATCTTAAAGATTTGGTACACAGCAGCTCAGATGATGATTGTTATGTGCTTCACATAAAGATGTTTTATCATATCAAAGAAATTCAAACCCATTTTTTGGATGTTTGTATTATTAAATTTGTTGACTATATTTAAGTAGTTTCTGTAACAGTTGAGATAAACATGTAGTGTTTTTTCATCATTTAATTTACATAATATATTGAAAAGGGATGGCTTTAGAATGTTGAAAAACCCGTGATTTTCTGAAAAAAGAACTTAGTCATTCAGGTGTGTAATGTCTTCACTATGTACCTAATTCCATGTACTAGTATTTGTTTAAACATTATGATGTCTATAATTATCAGATTTGTTAATATTTAGCTTTTTGTCCCAGTGATATCATATGTTTAATTGGCTACTCAATTGGAATTACAAAGAAGTATTGCTTGGTGTACTCTTATGGGCATTAGGGCTTAGAGGTTAGAGTCATAGAGGATATATTTAAAATTTTTTGAAGGAAGATGGGGTAACATTAAACACGGGATAGAAGTTGGGTGTTAGGGATAGGGGTTTACAATTGCAGAAGAAATGTTAGTGTTAGATTGAGGGTTAGGGCTGGGGTTGGGTTAGGGTCTAGTGTGGTAGGATTAGGGTTAGGGTTAGAATTAGGATTAGGGTCAGGGGTCAAGTTTAGTTTTAAGTTTAGGGCTAGAGTTAGAATCAGGTTTAGATGTTAGGTTAGGTTAGGTTTGGGATCAGGTTATGCTTAGGTTTAGGTTAAAAAACAGGCTTATACTTAGAGGTTACGAGCCAGGGTAGGTAGGGTTAGGTTCTAGGTTAGGGTCATGGCCAGGGTTGTGGTCAGTGTTATGAGTTAGAGTTAAGGTGAGGGTGAGGGTGAGGGTAATAGGGTTAGTGTGTTACTGTTAGGGTTAGGGCTTAGAGTTAGGGTTAGAATAAGGATAAGAATTCAGTTTAGGTTTTAGGGTTTGGGCTGAGGTTAGGGTTTCAGGTTAGTGTTAACGTTAGGGTTAATGTTTAGAGTTTAGGGTTAGTGTTTAGGGTTTAGGGATAGATTTAGGGTTATTGTATAGCATTTAGGGTTAGGGTTAAGGTTGCTTTAGGGTTAGGATAAGGGGTTACGGTGAGGCTTAGTGGTAGGTTTGGGTTAGGTTTAGGGTTGCAGTATAGGATTAGGGTTAAGTTTGGGTTTAGCATTTTCATTTATGCTTAGGGTTAGGGTTTATGCTTATGGTTAGGGTTAAATTCTGTTAGAATTAGGGGTTAGGGTTTATGTTTAGGCTTAGGGTCAGGGTTTAGGGTTAGGTTTACATTTAGGGTTGTATGTTTGGATTAAGGTTTGTGTTAGGGGTTACAGTTAGGTTTAGCCTTAGATTTATATTTAATGTTAGCTCTGTTCTATGATTAAGGTGAATTGTGAGGATTAAGGTAGGGTTTAGCATTTATGATTAAGTTTAGGTATAGGTTTAAAATGTTAGAAGGCTATTGTTAGAGTTATTATTAATTGTTAGGGTTATATCTAGGGTTTAGGGTGTATGGTTAGGGTTGATGTTAGCATTTAAGGTTTTGTGTTAGCATAGGGCTTGCTTTTAATTTTAGGGTTATGGTTATGATTATGTTACAATTATGATTAGGTTTATGTTCAGGTTTCTTGTTTGGTGTTTTGGTCTGGGTTAGAGTTTTTGTTTAGTTTGGGTTTGGAGTAGAGATAGGGTTAGGATTAGTGTTAGGGTTATGGGTTAGGGTTATCATTACCTGTTAGGGTTATTGTTTGAAGTTTAGGGTTTAGGGCATAGTGTTAATGGTTAGGGTTAAGGTTCAGCCTTAGATTTTGAGTTAGGGTTTAGGCTTAGGTCTAGTGGTCACCTTTGATTAGCGTTTGGGTCAGGGCCTTAGTTTGGCATTAGCGGTTAAAATTTAGATCTAGGTTGTATTGTTTTGGCTAGTTGTTACAGTCTTTACTAGGCTTAGTGTTTTATGGTTAGGGTTGTTGGTCAATTTGTGGTTGGTTTTGGGGTCACAGTTAGAGTCTGGGTCAGGGTTAGACCTCAGGGTTTGGGTAGTGTTATGGTTTTGTTAAGTGTTACGTTTATGTTCAGGGTTAGGGATTAGTGGTTACGGCTTGGATTGGGTTAGTGATAGGTTTCAGCATTTATAGTTACGGTTCGCATTGCAGTTGGGTAGGAATAGGATTTTAGGGTTAAAGTTAGGGTTAGTGTTTTAGCATCAGGGGTATAATTAAAGGGGAGATTTGAGGTTGGGGTTGTTGTAGGACTGGGGTAGATTTAGAGTTAGTGTTATCGTTTATGGTTAGAGTTCAGATTAGAGTTTATATGTTTGGGTTATGTTCAGTGTTAAGGTTAGTGTTACGGGGTTAGGGTTTGGATTATAATGTTACTGTTAGCTTTAGGATTTAGTTTAGGGTTAGGGTTAGTGTTTAGCATTAGTGTTAGTGTTTCAGTGTTAGCGTCAGGTATATATTTAAGTTTGTGTTAAGGTTGGCTTAGGGTCATGTTTAGTGTCAGTGTCATGCTCAGTTTTAGGATTATGTGTTAGAGTTAGTTTTGGGGTTACAATTAAGGGTCAAGATTGGATTTGGGCTTGGGGTTAGGGTTGGGGATAGGGTTGGAGTTGCAGTTGATGTTGTTCAATATATGGGTAGTGTTAGTGTCACTGTTTTAAGGTAGGGGTAGAGTAGGTTTAGAGTTAGTGTTAGGGGTAAAAGTAGGAGTTAGGGTTATGTGTTAGGTGTTAGAATTACAATTTTAGGGTTAGGTTTTTTGTTTTAGGTTTAGGGTTAGGATTGAGTTTAGTTTAGGGTTAGGGTTTGGGTTAAAAGTTGGGATTTGGGTAGGTTTAGGGCTGGGGTATGTTTAGGATTGGGGATAGGTGTAGTGGTACATTTAAGTTTAGAGATATGGCTAGTTTTTGGTTTTGGTTGGGGTTAAGATTAGGGTTTTAGTTAGCATTTTAGGGTTATTTTTAGGGTTTAGTGTTAGTGGTTAGGGTTTGGATTAGATGTCTTTTTCTGTCTCACTCATGTTCTCCAATGGACCAGTCATCACAGTTTTTCTGTCCTCAGAAGCCCATATGGACTTCAGACTTATTCAGACTTTGAAATAACTTCTCTTCATGGTGGAGTTACCAACTGTGGGCCTCCTCTCACTGAGACTTATACACTTACTGGGATTGCATGCCTGTAGAGAGATAGGTCTCCTCCTAACTAAGGGATGTAGAGACATCGCAACAACCTTCCTGCTCATAGAAGCTACCCACTGTGAATCTCCCCTCCACCAAGGGCTTCAGAGAAGTTTACACAACCTGTCTGTCTACTAAAATTTGTATCTGTGGGTCTCCTATTTACTGAGTGTTGCACAGATGCAGGTATGTCCTCTTTGTAAAATGGAGTTACCCACTTTTTGTATCCTGAGATCTGTATCTTCACTCAATAAAGCATCTATTTACCTTGGTTACTCTCCATTTTCCCACATATGTCATTCTTTCTGGACATGGGACAAGAACTCAGGATCCTCTTAATGACACAACTAAAAGTATAGTAACAGAAACGGGATTAAAACACTCCAACCCACACTTGCCACATTGTTAGCAGAATTGTTTTTACAAAAAGGATTAGAAGGGCTTAACCCTTTGAGAAGCCTAGACCTAAACATGTTCAAAGACAGAACTGTGACACCATCTCTGGGGCTCTCCAGTTTCTGGCATTTCTAAGTTTTTGGATGACACTGCATTCTCCAGTGCCTATGGAGGAAACAGCTTGTGGTATGCCTGATTCAGCCAAAGACTTGCAGGGTGTTGGCACCTGTTCTAGCACTTGTATCAGCTCACCTTATCACAGACAGTTTGTTTAGCTGTGTACAGTGGCTGGACTCAACAGTCACTCAGGTACCTCTCTCTACTCTGTGTCTGGCTCACCCACAGCAGGAATAGAATCTGAGCTGATAGTTTCAGCTAAACACAGCCTGTCAAGCTGAGTCAGTAAAATTAGCTCTGCAACCCCAAGAGAAACTTGGGCAATGCTGCCACCATCCACAGAGATTTTTGGCTTGAGAAGCAACAGCCTAGAGATACTGTGACAAAAGTAAGATTGTTCACCTGTGGCCAGTAGATTATTCCATCATGCCTATGTAATGAAGCCTCAATAAAAATCCAAGAGGACAGGCTTCAGAGAGCTCTGGATAGATAAACTTATAGAGTTTTCTAGAAAATTGTGAGCACATAAAATCAGACACCGATAATTTTAAATGTCAATGATAATATAAGTGTTTTTCCTTTATTTTGAAAGAAGTTTCAGCATTTGACTATGTGTTCAGAATTTTAACTTATTAAGTAGTACCTATTCCAAGTTAACCTAACAACTACACATTATAAACATAAAAACTTAAATATTTCCACCTAAATGTTTCTATGATTCACTAATACTACACAAGTTTTGTTTAGATAGTGGTTTCTTCATGTTAACCGGGTAAGAACTAGAAACTTATGAAAGAAATTAAAATAAATTGATATCTCAACATGAATTCTAACCATGTGTTCGGTTTAGAAGTTTGTCTCTCTGAGTTATTTGTGACTTTGTAAAGTCAAAGGCATTGGCTTAGATGTTTCTGTGTCTCTATTTGGGGGAGGGGAGCAGAGAGTGCCTCACAAAGCATTAGACTCTGCATTCTACGATATAAACAACAAACATTCTTACAGGCTTTTCTGTCATCCAAATCTAATAAAAGACAAGTTTTATCTTTTATATAGTAGTAGCCATAAATAAAAATTAGTGCTTTAAAGAACAGTCTAGTGCTCACCAGTCTGCTGTTATATTAGGGCTTATATGGGCATAAAATAATAACATTTGGGCCAAGTAGCTGTTTTATTATTTATTTTAAAGGTAGAGTGCTTAAAATGCCTTGATAATATTAAATAAATATCTTGTACATTTCCAGTTCTCATTTCAAGCTTTAGCTATGGGTAATATTGTTTGGGGCTATTAAGATAGATTAGGGCATCTTGGAGCTAATTATGTATTCTGCTGAGCTCAATCCTTCTGTCCTGAGCAGACAGACTGGCACATGCTTTAACATGGATTCTATCCCTTGTGCTGAGCCCCAGATTTTCTTTAGCACTTCACACACTCTCACATTGGCCTGTTTCATCTCCATCATAACATTACAGTGAACAAGAGTGTTACATTCCTTTAGCAAAACTGGATTACATGAGGCAAGCTCCTTAATAGGGATCCTAACCTCTTGGGTGAAAGTTGCAGCCCAAGACACCTGAGGGACCAGGCCTTTGGCACATGCATTTCATGCTGTCGGCTTTCACCAACCAATCAACATTTCATTGGAAGATGCTCCACCCATCATCTTGGGAAATGTGATGGTAGAACAGCCCCCTGGACTCTGTCTAAAGGTTGTACAAGTGGTGTGAAACAAAGCCTTTTCTTTACCTCAAACCAAATCACAAAAAGCATTATAGATGCACCTAGTCCAATGCCTGGGCTACTGGCTGGTACAATAGTCTTCGTAAACAGAGTGAAAGTATTCACAAAGTTCTTGATGGTGACCACCATTTCAATGCTTGCTCTGTTTCTGTCATTTCTTAAATGCACACAAAATCAAGACCACAGCAAAAGGCACTGCCAGCTACACTGAGCAGCATGAGCTTGCTGTCATTCCCAGTGGCCATATTCAGAGAATTCTCAATTTCTTTCATTACTTCTTTATTTAGTGAGTTTTTCTCTGTTGATCTAGTTGATAGCAACATCTGGTGAAGCCATCCTCTTTCCTCACCACAATGTCTCTAAACCTGCTGGCACTTTCTGTTAGCCTTATGGAGAAATACATCCTTTTGATAAAAGGCTGATTTTTTTCATCATCAATTGTCTTTCTTTGCCCAACTCTCACCCTTGGAACACATATATACATGTTTCTTGTTCCATTGGCTGTTAGTGGATCCATTAATTCCAGTGTACCTTCCTTATTACCTGAGCCTGTGGCCATGGAAGTAGTAATTGAGCCAGACAGCTGAGACATTAGTGGGTGTATCTGGGGCCACTTCGCTCTTCCAGCCTGGTTTGCACCAAGATCTGCTAAAGCTCTGATGGGCTTCTCTGATGCCACCTTGTGCACTGACATGTCCTGCGAATCTGGTGCAACAGGGTCCAGTTTCTCAGGTTCATGAAAGCCATTCTCGGTGTTTTTGCTGTTAACAGTCTCAGAATTGCAAATGTCTTGATAGTTGAATTTACCAGCTCCATATTTTTGGGTTGGAGAGAGGTGAAGCTGCATTTTCCTAACGTTCTGGCTGGCAGCAAACGACTGGCTGTTTTTGGATTTGTGATGTTTACCTGTCATTTTTTTATGAGAGTTCTTAGAAAAGTTGGCGTTCGTAGACCTGGAAGTTCCTTTTTCTGACATTGATTGAAAAAGTTCTACCTGTTCTTGTCAGTATACTTTTTTTCTGATTTTTAGTCATCTCTTGTAGTCATAAATACATTTACCGCAGTTCACGAGGTCCTGCTCTGGTTCCCAAGTGTCAGCCTTTTCATTGAACCAAATACTCTGTCTTCCCTTTTATGTCTTGCCTTTTGTCAATAATAGTTCAAACTTCAACCTCCTGGGTAGCCATGAAGAAAGAGACAGGATTGAGGCAGTTGCTGTGGCAACTTTGTTTCAGTTCAGTCTCCACATAGTCCCTGCTTTCTGCCTCCAGTGCTTCATCAGGCCCTGGGTATGGATGAGTCTCTTCCACTACATGACCACTGGCATAGTAAAAGTTGTGGGAAGAAGCAGCTATGCTATGTGCCTCAGGCTCTCCACATTTACTCCATGGTGGGACAGCTCAGGCTTCTGTTCAAGGTGCCAAGATGGCTGGCTAGGTAGCGTCTGGTAAGACCAACTAAATCCACAGCTCCTTCTCACGGATGTAGTGCAGAAAGCTTTCTACCTGCCTGTTCTCTTTCCTTTGTAGTTGCTATGATGATTATATTGAACATCCTAAAGTTATAACACGTTCAAAGTCACGTTAGTTTACTTTCAGTAACACATGAAACCCCTACTCATTTATAGCACAACCCCCATTATTTCACTTGTTGATTTCTCAAAATTATACCTTTATGCATTGTATTGTCAAAAACACAAGCAAGGCCAGGCATAGTGGCTCACACCTAGAATCTCAGGAGTTTGAGAGGTGAGGCGGGCGGCTCACCAGAGGCCGGAAGTTCGCGTCCAGCCTGACCAATATGGGGAAACCCCGTCTCTACTAAAAATACAAAATTAGCCAGATGTGGCTAATAATTACAGTGCCTGTAATCCCAACTACTTGGGAAGGTTTTCAGGCAGGAGAATCGCTTGAACCCAGAAGGCAGAGGTTGCGATGAGCCGAGATCGCGCCATTGCACTCCAGCCTGGGCACCAAGAGTAAAACTCCATCTCAAAAAAAAAAAAAAAAAAAAAAAAAAAAAAAGAGAAAAAAAGAAAAAACAAAACAAAACAGGCCAAGAGCGGTGGTTCACTCTTGTAATCGCTGCACTTCTGGAGGATGAAGAGGGTGGATTGCGAGGTC
Organism: Homo sapiens; assembly: GCF_000001405.40. Classification (NCBI taxonomy): domain Eukaryota; kingdom Metazoa; phylum Chordata; class Mammalia; order Primates; family Hominidae; genus Homo; species Homo sapiens. Next base: position 21,639,978 of record NC_000024.10, read on the forward strand.
AGGAGATTCAGACCATCCTGGCTAACATGGTAAAACCCTGTCTCTATGAAAAATATAGTAGGGCGTGGTGGCTAAGCTATTCGTGGTGGTTAAGCTGGTAGCCCAGCTACTCAGGATGCTGAGGCAGGAGAATGGTGTGAACCCGGGAGGCAGAACTTGCAGTGAGTTTAGATCTGGCCACTGCACTGCAGCCTGGGCGAGAGAGGGAGACTCCATCTCAAAAAAAAAAAAAAAAAAAAAAAAGAGCCGGGCACGGTGGCTCATGCCTGTAATCCCAGCACTTTGGGAGGGTGAGGTGGGCGGATCACCAGGTCAGAAAATCGACACCATCCTGGCTAACACGGTGAAAACCCCGTCTCTACTAAAAGTACAAAAAATTAGCCAGGCATGGTGGTGGGCGCTTCTAGTCCTAGCTACTCGGGAGGCTGAGACAGGAGAATGGAATGAACCTGGGAGGTGGAGCTTTCAGTGAGCTGAGATGGCGCCACTGCTCTCCAGCCTGGGCGACAGAGCGAGACTCCGTCTCAAAAAAAAAAAAAAAGAAAAAAGAAAAAGAAAAAAATTCACTTTTTTTTTTTTTAATAAAATTGTATTGTCGATTATGTGGAGAGCAAATTACGGAGATGCACATTGTTAATTTTTTCTCTTTTATAATTGTTCACGTATTTATCTTTACCGTAATCTTTATTTATACTGCTGTTTAGCATCCTTTCATTTTATCCTGAAATACTCCATAAAACATTTCTTAAAGGGTTATCTAAAAAGACCCCAGCTTATATCTAGGAATGTCATAATTTTTCCCTCACGTTTGATGGACTTTATTTGGACATAAGATTTGTGTTTGAAAGTCTTTTCTTACATTACTTGGAAAATATTAGTCTACTGCCTTCTGGACTCTGAGTTTTTAGATAAGAAATCTGCTGATTATTTTTCAGGGTTCTTTTTACATGACTAGTCACTTCTCTTGCTGCTTTCAAGGTTCTCTTTGTCTTTGTTTTAGACAGTGTAATTATCATGTAAGTTTGAGTGTGTCTCTTTGAGTTTGTCTTAATTAGAGTTTGTTGATCTTCCTAGGTGTTTATTTCCTCAAATGTGTTATATTCTTGCCCACTGTATCTTTAGACTCCCTGTTTCTTGGTCTCTTCTCTTTGAACTTTCAAAATGAATAAGTAGGTCTTCTTGATGGTGTCCTACTGGATCTAGGCTGTGTTCGCATTTCTTTATTTCTTTTTCTCTTTCTGACTTAATAATTTCAACTGCCATTTTTCTAGGTTTGCCAACATTTTGTTCTTTTATCTGCTCAAGTCTCCTTTTAAATGTATGTAGAAAATTTCTATGTCATTTGTTTTCCTTTCCAGGTCCAGAATTTTTTCTTAGTTTTAAAAATAAGTTTATTCTCTCTTTATTAACATTTTTTGTTCATGAATTTCTTTGTTTTGGAAGGTCGAGGCAGGAGAATCATTTTGTTTATTCTAGTAGCTTCCTAAGGACATTAATTTTTAAAATTATTTTTTAGTAAGCCTGCCATTTGAGCTTTCTAGGAAAAGCTTCTGTTAGTGATTTTTTTTTCTTAGGATGATCCATACTTTCTTATTTCACTTTTTGCTTTGTGATTTTGTTGGTGTTGAAAACAAATCTTAAAATGCTGAAACTTTGAAAATCAGATTTTCTCCCTCTGTGGTTTGCTAGGGTTTTTTTAATTCCTCATGTCGGTTATTTCTGTCCTGGCAGTCAGTCTTACTCAACTTATTCTTGGGTCTTTCTTGAGCCTGCACCATTTTGGGGCACATGTGCTTAACAACAAATTTTATTCTAAAGTTTCATGTACATATGTTTTCTTTTTAATGTTTTTGTCCATAATTGTCTGGTCTCTTAAGATAAAAAAAAGAAAAATTAGAAAAAAAATGCATTGGCTCTTTAAATCTTCTGAAAGTTGCTTGAGGAGGAGGAGGAAAAGCCTGCAAAAGGTTTGGGGAATGAAATCATGACTTTTTCCCTGTGTCAGGACTGCCATAATCAGAAGCAGCAATTGGTGCCCAAGTCTTCCTGAGATTTGGAGGACTGAGTTCTTTTTGTTTATCCTGGCTCTTGCCAGCTGCTCCAGAAGTAGTCGCAAGGTAGCACACCACTGCGGTAGCTAATGAAAAATAAATAGCTGCTGGTGATCTACGCTATAAAAATGATCAAATTTAATTGCTGTTTACTGTACAAATCTTCTTTTAGAAACTGTATACTTTCAGATAGACTCTGGAGTTCCAAACTAATTGCATCATACCGATTCTGCCACTTGAAGAAACAGATATATAGTGCTCTATAGTCCAGTCATTCTTTTCCCAGAAGCTGTGTCATTTTACTTTGAATCTCCATGTTTTTTCACCTAAAGTAATACTTGCATAGAAATCGTGTAAGTAAATCCTTCTTTAAACGCGCTTTTTTGACATTCTTTGCCCTTTTCATGCAAGAGCTCATATTTAAAGTTATTACAAATAAAAAAATGCATACTCTAACATTTACTTACTTGTTTTCCATATTTTCTGTATCACATTTGATCCTCAATTCCTCCATTGATCATTTCAAAAATATGATTTTTAAAAATTTATTCTTTTCAGTATTTTTATATTACAATTAGTTGTATTTGGGACTTCATGTAATATTCTACACATAAAATCGCCTACTTTGAAGAATGTTAACTCAATTGAATGATCTAAAATTTAATTTTAACAATAAAAAAATGCTACTCTTGGGCTTTTCTATCCTTCTCAATTTATATTATTGTTCCAGATTATATCTGTATGCACTGAGTGCCCATTAAAATAGATTTGTATTTTTTAATGTAGTAGCTGCCTAGCAGAAGTATAATAGTATTAGATAACTTTGCCAGTGTGGTAATAGTAATACTATTTTTCTTAGAGAAGGGTTAGTTACACATTCCTTTAGCTTTTATCTAGGCATTTTTTGCTTGCATATTATATTGCCAGTTATATATTTTATTCATATCTCCAAAGTGTTTTCTTAGTTATTGAAAGCTTAGCATGCGTTCCATTAGCATTTTTAATAAGAGCAATATAAAAACTATCATAAAAAACAGAATCTGTATTAACTGATTGTCTGTTGTATGAGATAACTGTATTCTTTTCTCTCAACGTCGTAAAGATATGTGACCAATTCTTGGTATTTTCAACCAAGAGTGAGTTCTTAGTTAGGCAAAACAAAAATAAATGTGTTTTATCAATTCGTCATTTATCTCCTAGGAAGACTAGAAAAAACACAGTAAATTAGCACATAAAGGCTTCTTAACTCCTCCCTGAATCAGGAATCTGGGCCTCAAATTAAAAATATAAATTTCAGTTTAGAAGGCTTCATCTGTGCCAGGGAGGCAGTATGGCAATCCAAAAATAAATTTATAATTTTAAAATTGTCTCCCTTGATTGCTTAGTTGATAGCAACTGTTGATTTCCAGGGTCCAGACACTTTTTTATTGGTTTGATATTTCTTTGAATGGTTTGAAGCTGTCTTCTCTGTAGTTTTGCTTTCATTTTTATTTGTAAAGCACTGATTGTTTTCTAATCTCAGAGTTTATTTTTATTTAGGAGATCTATATTTTTGTCCAATAACAATGTTATTTAAAATAGTTTCATTGAATATTACACCTCTAATTTGGGATCCTAGATGTTTTGTTTTTGTTTTAGTAGTTACAGTATAAAGTTTTTGTTTGCATTTAATTAATTGAGTTTATCAATTCCATATACAATGCATGAGGCAAGACTCTCTATTATAAAGTACATTTTGGTTTTATGTAAAACAAGTATAATTTGTTTCGAAAGTGACTTGCAAGTACATATCTAAATAAAATAATAAGAGAATAATCATGTAAGTATGTAGGAAGATCGACAAGCATGATGATTTCTGGCAGAGTCCTGCTTAGATTGTTTGCAATACAGCGAGGTCACTGTGGTTGGAGCAGTTACCTTGGAAGGGGAATGATTATAAATGGTAAGACCATCGAGACGACAGACAGTCCGGGGTGATTGTCCAGGGTTTCTGTAGGTCAGTAGATTTAAGTTTAGTTTTACTTTATGCCTGGTTGATGACTGGAAGTGGAATTGGTAAGGTTGTTACTAGCGTCTGGTGCTGAAAGGCTAGAAATGCTGCTAAATATCTTAAAATCTAGAGTCTTAGGCATCTTTGAGATATTAACAGTGTTGAAACATCTCTCCAGAAAATTGTAAAAAAATAAACACACTTTCAGAACACTTTGATTTTATATTTTCAAGATTTCTTAACTCAATTTTTGCTTTCTGTAAATAAGAAGGATTTTAGGAAGTTTTTTAAAGTTCAGTTGATTCACGGTTGGGTAAGTGTTAGTGAAGTCAGTTCAGTTAATCAATGGTTAGAAACTAAAGCATATATTTCCTTTTCTCCCCTTTTCTTTCCCATTACTTTTTAAATATTTCCATAAAATGCTAATATAGCAAAATAAAACCCTAGGCCACGTCTGTTTTGGGGAACCAAGAGAGAAAACTCAATCAGCGGCTTTTAGGATAGAACTAATCTTGACTACAGCTGGAAGACATACATAATGCACATGCACACATGTGCACTGGCACACTCCTATTCATCCACATTTTGCATATTTGTCATAAGACAAATATTAAATGTGTCTTATTCATGAAAGTTGTAAGATATTACAATAAGCAAGCCAAATGAAAACTAAGATTTCAAAGATTATTGCCAGTGTTGGAGAAATCTTGCTTTTGCTAAAGTTGTTGGCTTAATACTCAAGTATCTTCTACTGTTTAATAAATTACTTGATAGAAGTTTGTATAGTGGGCATCTTTGATCACAATTACTTATGCTCTGTCTTGTTGTAAAATAACCCAAAATAAATAGTTTCAGAAAAATTTACATTAGAAAATAAGAGAAAATAAAACAAATGAATGAGAAAATTGCTGTAATATAAAAAATGTGGAATATGAAAAAATATATATTAAGAGAAATCCAAAAAGGAGGTTCATTCATACAATGTAAAATCTTTTCTGTTTGAATAAAAATTAGTTTCAGAACCTTAGCAGCTAGCAGCAACATGGTAGTTAACCTCATGTGTAATGCTCAATTAGTTGTATATGGAGCACAAAATGTATGAGGAGTTTATTAAGTATTAACTCTCACATGATCACAATAGGCTACCTGCAAGCTGAGGAGCAAGGAGAGCCAGTTTGAGTCCCAAAACTGAAGAACTTGGACCTCAATGTAAAAGGGGAGGAAGCATCCAGCATGGGAGAATGATGTAGGCGTGGAGCTAGGCTCCTGTCTGCTTTTCACATTTTTCTGCCTGCTATATATTCACTATAAGTTGATTAGATTATGCCCACTAGATTAAGGTGGATCTGCCTTCTTCAGCCCACTTACTCAAATGTTAATTTTTCTGGGGGGACCACCCAATAGACACACACAAGATTAATACTCTGGCACTTTGGGAGGCCGAGGCGGGCGTATCACGAGGTCAGGAGATCGAGACCATCCTGGCTAACACGGTGAAACCCCGTCTCTACTAAAAATACAAAAAATTAGCCGGGCGAGGTGGCGGGCGCCTGTAGTCCCAGCTACTCGGGAGGCTGAGGCAGGAGAATGGCGTGAACCCCAGGGGGCGGAGCCTGCAGTGAGCCGAGATTGCGCCACTGCACTCCAGCCTGGGCGACAGCGAGACTCCGTCTCAAAAAAAAAAAAAAAAAAAAAGAAGATTAATACTCTGTATCCCCCAATCCAATGAAGTCAACAATCAGTATTAACCATCACAGCTCCACTTCTTGTCAAGTTGAACCCATACACATCTCGTAAGCGCATACATAATCTTCAAATAAAGACAATAATGAGGTCATAATTACAACTAGCATAATACAACTATCCTTTGTACAACCAGGAACATCCCAATCCCTAACCCAAATAGTATTATGTAAAGTTAAGAATACTCAAATATTAATATGAAGTCAATAAATCTTATGTCACATGATAAAGAAAAAGAAAAAAAATAAAGATATTTTTACATTTGTATACATGCACAAACTTTGTTTTTTTAGAGTCTGAGTCTCACACTGTCACCCAGGCTGGAGTGCAGTGGCATGATCTCAGCTCAGTGCAAGCTCCACCTCCCAAGTTCACACCATTCTCCCTCCTTAGCCTCCAGAGTAGCTGGGACTACCGGTGCCCACCACCACAACTGGCTAATTTTGTTTTTGTATTTTTAGTAGAGATGGGGTTTCACCAGATTAGCCAGGATGGTCTCGATCTCCTGACCTCATGATCCACCCGCCTTGGCCTCCCAAAGTGCTGGGATTACAGGTGTGAGCCACTGCACCCAGCCAAACTTTTTTTTAACAAAAGGAAGAAGTATTTAGGACATTCAAAGTCCTCATTTCTGCCACTGGTCATGTTGTCATAGCTGGTATTGATGACTACCTTTTTCTACCAAATTTTCTCTATTTCTTTTGCCTTCAGCAAGCACCTCAGCAGGTGCTGTTTTTTCTTTTTCTTTTCTTTTTTCCCTGGTAGAGTGACCCAAACCTTAATTCCGGAAGAGTCTGGACCATTTGTATTCCTGCCAGAATTTGGCTGCTGTAGTTATCCACTGACCTTAATCACAGGACATGTTAATATTAACAGGCACCCTGATTGATTTCCTTTATTACATGCTTACTCTTCCTTACCTCCATTGTGGAGTAGTAGACTGATTTCATCTGACAGTTTAGGACAATTACCACAGCCAAAACTGTAACTCCTTTCTTAGCCTGATGACTGAAACCTAGGAGGAGCCCAAAGTGATAAGGGGGCAATCTTAACTTCTAATTTAATGGAATCATTCAATGGATCCCATTCAAGATGATGGGAAACATGGTAGGACCAGTGAATTCCATAATCAGTAGACCACTGCCACACTTCTTTAGCCGTAAAGTGAGCGCCTTGGTCAGAGGCAATGCTGTGTGGAATGACATGATAGTGGATAAAGCATTTTATTAGTTCACAGATGGTAGTCTTGGCAGAAGCATTGCATGCAGGATAGGCAAACCCATATCCAGAGTAAATGTATATTTCTTTGAGAACTAACCTCTTTCCTTTTCATAATGGAAGAGATCAAATGTAATCAAACTTCCATCAGGTGGCTGGCTGATTACCCCACAAAAGTGGTGCCATATTGAGAGCTCAGTGTTGGTCTATGCTGTTGGCAAATTGGGAATTCATCAGGGGCCATAGCCAGGTCACCCTTGGTAAGTAAAAGTCAATTTTCTGAACGCTTGCATAACCTCCATCCCCACCATCATAGACACTTTGTTTATGGGCCCATTGAGTGATGACAGGAGTGGCTTGGGACAGAGTCTGAGTGGTGTCCACAGAACAGGTCATTCTATCCATTTGATTATTAAATTCCTTCTCTGCTGAGGTAACCAGTTGGTGAGCACTCACGTGAAACATAAATATCCTCAGTTTCTGACCACTCAGAGAGGCCCCTGCACATACCTTTTCCCAAAATTGCTTTGTCACCAATTTTCTAATCATGGTTCTTCTAAGTCCCTGATCAGCCAGCCAAACCATTTGCTACAGCCCAAGAATCAGTATATAATCACACATCTGGCCATTTCTGTTTGAAGTTCTGCCCATTGGGAAGATTTCCCTTTACCACTGTCTTTTAGGAATGTCCTAAAAAGAAGCTGTAGTGCTGCAGCTGTCTAATTTCGGGTGGTGGCTGCATATTGTGCAGAACCAACTGGAACCTGGCCATAATCTTCTCTTATTTTGTCAATTGATCATAGGCAACTCCTCATGAGACCATGATTGCAAGTTGAAGGAGAAAAGGCAGGATGGCAGAAGTGGAGAGCGTGGACTTTTGATCCACTTTCTTATATAACTAACTTACTTGTTCTTTCACATCCTGTTCGAGCATGGCCACATATATTCCACTTCCATTTGATGATGAAATACTGCTATGCACAACCCATTTTGTGGCTAGATGGTTAAGAAATCAAGCAGTTCATGATAGGCCATTTAGTTCATATGGTGGCTTGATGACCCATAGTCAAACGTTCAGTTTCCAACAAAGTCCAGTAACAGGCCAAGATCTCTCAAAAGGAGAGTAGTTATTTGCAGAACATGTGGAGCTTTTCTTCAAAACACTAGAGACCAATGCTGTGATTCACCTGTGGGAGCCTGGCAAGGCCTCCAAACAGCAACCTTATCTACCAATGATGCCTCAAGCACCATTAGAACTGCTGGGTCATATGGCCCAAGTGGCAGGGAAGCTAGCATGGCATCCTAGAACTGCAGCAGATCTTCTTCCTGTTCTGGACACTACTCAATACTGGCAGGCTTTCAGGTCACTAAATAAATGGGCCAGAGTAAGATACTTGAATGAGAAATGTGTTGCCTCCAATATCCAAATAGGTTCCCTAGACATTTTGCCTCTTTCTTGGTTGTAGGAAGAGCCTAATGTAGCAACTTGTTATTTACCTTATAACACCTAGAAATTTTACTGAGATAAAGTGTCCCTGAAATTTAGTCAGATTTATTTCCCATTCTCTGGTACAAAAATGTCTCATAAATAAGTCCAGTGTGTTTGCTACTTCTTGTTCACTGGGTAAAATCTGCATAATGTCATCAATGTAATGGACCAGGGTGCTATCTTGCAGAAGCCAAAAGCAATCAAGGGCTCTCTAAATAAGATTATGACACACAAAGAGTTGATATACCCCTGTGGTAGGATAACAAAGGCATATTACTGGCCTTGCCAGCTGAAGGCAAATTGCTTCTGGTGAGCCGTATGGACAGGAATGAAGAAAAAGGTATTTTCCCAGTGAATTATTGCATACCAGGTACCAGGAGATGTATTAATTTGCTCAAACAATAAAACCACATCTGGTACAGCAGGTACAATTGGAGTCACCATGCAGTTAAGCTTACGATAATCCACTATTATTCTCCAAAATCCATGTGTCTTCTGCATCAGACAAATGGGAGAGTTGTAGGAGGATGTGTTGCTAATTACCACTCCTATGCCTTTCAAGTCCTTGATGGTGTCACTAACCTTCACAATCTCTCCAAAAAATTGATATTGTTTTTGATTTACTATTTTTCTAGGCATAGGCAGCTCTATTGGCCTCCATTTGACCTTTCCCATTATAGTAGCTCTACCCTACAAGTCAGGGAGCAAATGGTGGATTCTGCCAGCTGCTAAGTATGTCTATGCCAATTATGCATTCTGGCACTGGGAAAAGGACCACAGAATGAGTCTAGGGACACATTGAACCCCTTCTAAGTCTGACTGAAGCTAAAACTTTATTAATTACCTGACCTTCATAAGGTCCTACTTTAACTGAAGGACCACAGTGATGTTTTTTGTCCCCTGGAATAAACATCAGCTCATAGACTGTGTCCAGCAGTCCCTGAAAAGTCTGATCATTTCCCTTTCCACATCAGGACACAATTATTCCCATTGTGTTTAAATTTGGTAGTTTAGTTACTGTAGTTTCCACCCTTAGATCTGACATACAGAGAAGAAAAATTACAGGCCTCTTCAAAGATGCAGGTGCTGATCTCACAAATCTATTTCACAAAGCACTGATCAAGGGTGTATCTTTTGAACCCTCCCAGCTGGGGTGAGTATGTCTAAAGTGACAAATCCACTCCACCATCCAAATCTCCCTAGGCCTTTGGATGTCTTCCTTACATTAAACCAATAAAGAGCAGACATTTATAGCCCACTCACAGTAGGCCATCTTTTTATTTATATTTCATTTAATCAAGCAAATAAATTATCAGAACTCATTTTAAACTCCTTGAGCTGCAGCTTTAAATGCAGAGCCTACTTAGTGAGCCCTGATCAATAAATTCAGCCTGACACAATTCTGGGTTTTTTTCCACTATTTTCTCATACCTATACTATCCATTCCCATGCCTGTTCCCAGACTACATTTTATATACATTTGAAAACTCAAACAGTTCTTTTCATGTGTACCATACGTCCTCAGAGGTCACATTCTCAATCTCACCTCTAAGAGCCCACCAGAGCTTTGTAGGGGTTCAGTCAGGATGGTGGGGAAAATTATAAGTCACAAACCTTCTTGCAAAGCCTGAAGGATTTTGTAAAAGTCTCAGGATAAGGTTATGGCTGAAGGCAAACTAATCCTTACCTTGAGTAGATAGGTTAAAGTGCATACAAAGGAAGGTAGGGTAGTTTATCTAACTGGCTTCTTTACTCATGTGGTAAGAAGACTAACTTTTGATCTACTGCAGGTGCTTAATTCCTTTCTACTTGGGAAGTCTGAATGTCAATTACCCTCTAGTGGTGTTTACTCAGACCTTTGTCAATTAATCTTTACTGTACAAATGCAAGTCTCGCTGGCTGATTGAGGCTGCAGTTGCAACTGTTTAGTGCATTCTGTGTGGATACTCTAAGTGGCCCAGATGCTTAGTCAAACTCACAAAGCAGAATATCTGTGTGTCAGTGTACTTTATTCACCCATCATTGAGTTAGGGTCTGCAGGAAAGACCCCCACAGCCAGCACCCCCATGTGAAGAACATGGCAAAGGAGGTGCGATGGACCCCCTGAAAACAAACATTGAAGAAGATTGTGTGGTCAAGTCAGTAAAACAGGAAGTCATTGGTGTCCACTTGGGATTTCCAAGTTCAGAGGGGATTGGTCAGGCTGAGGTTTCATCATGGGACAACAGTTACCAACTCAACAAAAACAGTGTATAAAATGTTGAAATAGTTGCTTAATGCTTCCAGAGTATCAGGTTCATGGACTCACTTAAGAGAACTAATGCAAACTACTGTCTCACATAATCCATGGTTCCCAGAATAAGGAATGCTAGAGGTAGAACTTTGGTAACAGGTGGGGAGAAATCTTAAACAGCATGATGCACAAGGGCAATGGGTCCCAGTATCAATTTTAACACTATGGGCCCCTGTAAGGATGGCTTTAGTCTCATTATACACAGAAGAGCCTAAAAAGGGGAAGAAGGAGAAAACGTCACTTGCCGTATTGCCTCTCCTGGTGAATCAGGTGGCCAGGCAAAATATAACAGCTGATATGCTCCAGGGAAGGGGTCCTCATGCCGATGTGCAATAAAAACTAAATTTTGATCTCCAGGCTTATGCTGATGTCCCTCTGTGTGCTCTCAGGGCTTGGGACCAAATTCCTGAAAGCAGAATTCAGCAGGGATCTTTTGTAAATGTTTGACAAGGGCCTCAGCAGCCATTTGTTGAGTTTATCAATCAGTTAACCAAGGCAATTAAGAGACAAATTAGTCATGCCCAGGCCACTGATATCATTGCAGCTGGTTTTTGAAAATGCCTGTGTGGTTTGCCAGCAGGCAATGCAGGCAATCAGAGGAAAGGCCACCACTGTTGGGGAGCTAATACCAGCATTTCAGCTAGTAGGAACTGAGATACGCAAAGCCAAAATATTGGCTATGGCATTAAGGCCTCCTAAAGTGAAAAGGGAGAGAGACCAAAATTGTGTTCTATGAGGAGAGCCAGGACATATAACAAGGGAATATCATTATAGTAAAGATCAAGGTAACTAAGATCAAGTAAAGATCAAGGTAACTTCTATATGTCCCCAAAGTAGGAAGGGGAAGCATTGGGCAGATCAATGCAGGTCTAAATTGGATAAAAATGGCAACCCCATAAGAAACCAGTCAGAAGCTTCATGAGGGGTCAGCTCCAGGCACCACTCCCAACTGGGGCAATGCCAGCAGCTTTCCTTGGTCAAATGGGAAGTCCATAGTCCTCTCTTTTAGAGCGGCCACAACTGGGAGCACAGGACTGGACTTACTCTGCCCCAGTGAATTAGTGCTAAAAGAAGAAGACTCTAAAAGTGTTGCAATTGGGATCTGGGGCCCAGTGCCTCTGGGAACAGTGGGGTTAGTCCTAGGGCAGTCTAGCCTACCCAGTCAAGGAATTAATGTGCCCAATGGGGTAACTGATAGTGATTATCAGAGTGAGATATTGGTTATGATGGAATGTAAAGGTCTGCATATTCCTCCCCCTGGATCAAAGATAGCTCAGTTACTGATTTTACCATACTGGGTCTTCAATGCCCATGGAAAGGAAAAGCGAAAGGGAAGCTTTGGATGCACAGGAGCCATGGGAGTGTATTGGAATCAATTAATCACTGATCAGAGACCCATGATTACTTTTAAAAATTGGACATAAGAATTTTACTGGCTTATTGGGCACAGGAGTGAACATTTTAATCATTAGTGATCAGAACTGTCCAGAAACTTGATCTTGGATCACTCAAAAACAGAAAATTTCTGCATTGACAAAGCACACACAGCCAAGCAGAGCATGCGTCCCCTAACATGCTGTGATTATGAAGTTAGAATGACAGTTATGCAACCTCTAATCATGCCCATCCTGTTAATCTTTGGGGGCAGGACCTATTAGCCCAGTGTGTGTGAGGAGATCACTCTGCATACCCCTTTATGACAATGGCCACTATTGTTATTTCTCCTCTACCCCTGACATGTCTCTCTCAAGATCCAATTTGGGAAGAATAGTGGCCTCTGAAGTGAGACAAATTACAGAAGGCTCATGAATTAGTTGAAGAGCAATCAAAGGCTGGGCATATCAAATTATCTCACAGTCCCTGGAATTCACCCATTTTCATCATTCCCAAAAAGTCTGGGAAATGGATAATTATCCAAACTTACAGGCTATTAATGCTAATTTACAGCCTATTGGGCCCCTTCAACAGGGCCCCCCTTCCTCCACTTTGATTCCTCAAAATTTGCCTGTAATCATTATTGACTGAAAGGATTCTTTTCATACAATTTCTCTAGGACAGAGAAAAAATTGTGTTTACCATATCAGCTATCAATAATGAAAAGCCAGCTTGTTGATTTCATTGGAAAGTGCTTCCTCAAGGAATGCTAAACAGTCCTACCTTGTGTCAGTATCATGTAAATCAAGCTTTGCTCCCTAGTAGAAAAGAGTTTTCTGATTGCAAGATGAATATTTTTATGGATGATATTCTACTTGCAGCCCCAATGGAGCCAACATTTTTAAATTTATATTCCTCTGTCATAAAGAATACACAGATAAGAGATTTAATTGTTCCACCTGAGAAAGGACAGCTGTATTCTCCTTGGAAATATCCTGGGTACATACTAACTTTCCTGTCAGTAAGACCTCAAAACACTAAATTAAATACTAGCAAGTTACACATCTTAAATTATTATCAAAAATTTCTGAGAGACATTAATTTGCACCACCCTACTTTGAGGATTTCTACTGATAAACTATAAAACCTGTATTCTATCTTAAAGGGCAATCCAGCCCTAGATTATCCCAGATATTTAACCCCTGCAGCAAAAAGGGAAATCAAGGAACTAGAACTAGAACTGCATCAAAAAGAGAAATCAAGGAAATAGAACTCACCATCTCTCAGAGGCAGCTAGATCACATAGTCCCAGGCTTTATGGTACATGCTGTTTATCTTTCCCAGCAAACACTCCCCTAAAGGGTTAATAGGACAAATGGTCCCTGGGCTATTCTTCCTAGAATGGATTTTTTGCTCACATAATGGGACTAAAACTCTATCTCCCTATATTTAGTTAATTACTAAAGTCATCTATTCAGGTTGCAAATGATGTAATCGGTTGCTAGGTTATGATCCTGATGTCATCAGGATTCTTTTAACTAAAAAGCAATTTGAAGCAGTATTGCCATTATTGATAGATTTGCAAATAGCTTTCTCTGATTACACAGGACAAATAGAGCACATCCATCCTTCTGATCAACTCCTTCATTTATTATCTCATATGCTGGTAATTTTGTCCACAGAAAGAGGTCAATCCCCATATCTAATGTTTTAACATTGTTTACTGATGGGTCTGGTAAACATGGAAAAGCAGCAGTCTGGTGGAGACCACACAATTCAATCACTTGATCTGGGTTTACTAGCACTCAGAGAGCTTAGATTGGGGCTCTGATACTGGCCTTGGAAACTTTTTGCACTCAGGCCATAAGTAGTGTACGTGACTGTGCATACTCTATTTACTACAAAACCTTGAGAGACCTTAATTGAGTCCACTCTGGGCCCAGCCCTGTGTGCTCTTTTTCTTTGACTTTAGCAATTGCTTGATCAACATACACATCCTATTTTTATTACAAACCTTCGAGTCCACAGCTCACTGCCTGGCCCATTGACTTATGGCAATAATGAAGCAGACTTTCATGTTATGACATTACTGCTTAACCAAGCCACCCAATTGCATCAATTTTGCCACCAAAATTGGAGAAACTTATCTAAATAATTTCCACTTACTCACAGAGTGGTAAAAAAATTATCCTAAAATGCACAGATTGCCACCTCATAGGCACATCTCCTCCTTCAACAAGTGTTAACCCTAGAGGACTAGAGCCTAATCAGATATGGCAAACAGATGATACATACATCCCTGAATCTGGAAAACTAAGATATGTACATGTATCCATTGAGACCAACACGCATTTAATTAGTGCACATGCTCTGCCTGGAGAGTCAACTCAATATGTCATTAAACATATTCTTTTCAGTTTTGCATTTATGGGCTGACCCACAAAAATTAACACTGATAATGCTCCAGCTTATGTCAGTTCACAATTTCAACAATTTTGTCACACATGGAGCATCCAATATTCCACAGGCATTCCATATAACCCCAAAGACAAGAAATAGTAAAACATGCCCACTCCTCCCTTAAAAATATGCTCAAATAAAAGGGTGGGGGGAGTATGGGTAAAGACCCTTCAATGCTATTGGCATAAAACCTACAGTTTTATGGAAAGATGTAAACAGTAATGAATGGTGCAGTCCTAGGGAATTATTAACCTGGGGAAGAAGGTATGCTTGTGTCCACACCCCCTCAGGTCCTCTTTGGATTTCAGCATGACACATCAAACCATACCATGGCATGACTAGGACCCAACCCAGTATCAGGAATGAATGAGTGAATCCTGAAAGATCCACAGCCCCGGACGATGAAGTTAACATGAATGACACAAGTGCCAGACATTACCTGGGGGCTGCTGAAGAGGACAACTCAGGTGGCTGAACAAATCCTCCTCCAGACATAGACACTATTTACTCCAGATAATTTGTTTCTTGCTATGCGTTCTGTTTTTCATTGCAACTCATGAAGGATATTAATCCTTTTCATGCTCTTGCTTTGTCTGCAAACTGCACCTACTAAATTTATTGAGCTTATATCTTAAACCAGCCTTTTTTTTCACCTGGGCAGACACTTTCTTTACAACCTATAATAACATGACTCCTTCACTAGGAGGGATAGATTTACCCCCATGGCACCCCTCAATAATGGCACACATTGAACTAAGGTGCCAAACAATACTACATATCACTCCACTATCCTCCCACTGTGTGTAAGTTATAAAGGCTCTAACACTTACTGTGTACCTGCCCAAATACAAGTATGGCTACATCATGGGAAAGGAAATGCCTTAACATTCTTAGCTGCAGGAAGCCTCAATCCAGGCAATGCAATCAATGCCACTTTCCCAAACATTCCTTCCTGTACTAAAGAAAAAAGCCAGGAAAGTAATGGATTCCACTTTAGCTGGGAGGTCTGTCACAGGAAACAAGCCCATAGCTTCTGGTTAGGCAATTATAACATCCTAGACTTGAGCCCCCAATGCCTATTGCAGGGCAGTCTTACTAATGTCTTCTTCCATCACAGCAACAATCATAGTTCATAACCATATCTCTTTCCCCTATAATTTGGGCCAATGGGGGGATGGAATATTCCAGACCCCAAGTAAAGTCCATGCCACCCCAAGTCACCTTATGGTGCCTGGTACATCTCAGCACCTCCCTTAACACTTGGCATGGTACCTATCATAATTCCAGTCATGGCCAGGTGCAGTGGCTCATGCTTGTAATCCCAGCACTTTGGGAGGCCAAGGAGGGTGGATCATGAGGTCAGGAGATTGAGACAACCCTGGCTAACATGGTGAAATCACGTCTCTACTAACAATACAAAAAAATTAGCCAGGCGTGTTGGCAGGTGCCTGTAGTCCCAGATACTTGGGAGGCTGAGGCAGGAGAATGACGTGAACCTGGCAGGCAGAGCTTGCAGTGAGCCAAGATCATGCCACTGCACTCCAGCCTGGGCAACAGAGCCAGACTACATCTAATAATAATAATAATAATAATAATTCCAGTTGCAACTATACTATAACCTTTGTTCATAATTACACTGATTACTGCCTTTGTTCATAATCATACTGATTAGATATATTATGATCACCAATCACAATATATCTAATTTCAAAATTACTTGTTGTGGGAAGTCAGGGACCCCAAGTGGAGGGATCTGCTGAAGCCATGGCAGAAGAATATGGATTGTGAAGATTTCATGGACATTTATTAGTCCCCAAAATTAATACTTTTATAATTTCTTATGTCTGTCTTTACTGCAATCTCTAAACATAAATTCTAAAGATTTCATGAACACTTATCACTTCCTTGATCAATACCCTTGTGATTTTCTATGCCTGTCTTTAATCTCTTAATCCTGTCAGCTCATGAGGATATATGTCGCCTCAGGACCATGTGATAATTGCCTTAACTGCACAAATTGTGAGCATGTGTGTTTGAACAATATGAAATCTGGGCATCCTGAAGAAAGAACAGGATAACAGCAATTGTTCAGAGAATAAGAGAGATAACCTTAAACTCTGACCACCAGTGAGCCAGGCAGAACAGAGCCGTATTTCTCTTCTTTCAAAGCAAATGGGAAAAATATTGCTGAATTCTTTTTCTCAGCAAGGAACATCCCTGGGAAAGAGAATATGCACCTGGAGGTATAGGCCTATAAATGGCCCCCTTAGGTGTGCCCATCTCTTATGGTCGAGGCCATAGGGGTGAAATAGACCCCAGTCTCCCATAGCACTCCCAGGCTTATTAGGAAGAGGAAATTCCCAAGTAATAAATTTTTGGTCAGACCATTTGCTCTCAAAACCCTGTCTCCTGATAAGATGTTGTCAATGACAATGGTGCCCGAAACTTCAGTAGTAATTTTAATTTCACCCTCGTCCTGTGATCCTGTGATCTCACCCTGCCTCCATTTGCCTTGTGATATTCTATTACCTTGTAAAGTACTTGATGTCTGTGACCCACACCTATTCGCACACTTCCTCCCCTTTTGAAAATCCCTCATGAAAACTTGCTGGTTTCTGTGGCTTGTGGGGCATCACAGAACCTACCGATATGTGATGTCGCCCCCAGATGCCCAGCTTTAAAATTTCTCTTTTTTTCTACTCTGTCCCTTTATTTCTCAAGCCAGCTGACACTTAAGGAAAATAGAAAAGAACCTACATGAATATTGGGGCAGGTTCCCCAATAATTATTAGTGTCATGGTATTAAGGAGACAATCTGAGGCATTCCTACCAGTCAATCTGACATGCAATTGGCAAAGTTCCTCTGCCATTTCCACCTTAGAATATGCTCTGTCCCAGGACAGACACAAAATGTTTACAGTTACACTTATGGCCTTTATATTCTCAGCTGTAGTTATCCTGGCAACTGCTAGCATTGCTGTTGCATCTATTACTGAGTCAGTAAAAATAGCTGCCTTTGTAGATAATCTGGCCAACAATGTGTCTAATGAATTCTCTCTCAGCAAGATATAGATTAAAAAAATCCTTGCATGTCTGCGAGCCCTCGAGGCTACTTTAAAATATGCAGGGGAACGACAAGATCTACTGGCATTCTGAAAGCAATTAAGCTGTGACTGGGAACATAAACATCTCTATGTCACTTCTCTACCATGGACTCAATCTATACATTGTTGAGATGAGGTAGAACAGCATCTCTGGGGAACCTTTCATGACAATTTAACAGCAGTTTTAAGCCAACTTAAAACTAACATTTTAGAATCCCTTCACACCATAGACCTACACACACAACAAACAGCCACAAGGAAGGGTGTGCAAGATCATTTCTCCTAGTTAGACCCCCCACTCCTGGGGACCACACTTTGACTGGAAAAGAATGCTGCTAATTGTACTCATGATTGTTTTTTATTGTTTGCTAATTCTAAGATGCAAAGTTAGAATAAGAGTAATGACTGCCAGGACAGCCACACCTGACAGACTGGTTGCTGACATACCTATGCTCTCCAATTAAGAAACCTGATGCAGAAAACAAAAAAGTGGAAGAGGTAGCAGATTGATCAAGATGGTAGGGACAATTATAAGCCACAAACCTTCTTGGAAAGCCTAAAGATTTTTGTAAAAGTCTCAGTATAAGGTTATGACTGAAGGCAACCTAATCCATACCTTGTGTAAATAGCTTAAAGTGGGTACAATGGAAGGTAGAGTAGTTTACCTAACTAGCTTCTTTACTTGTGTGGTCCTAAGACTAACCTTTGATCTAATACTGCAGGTGCTTAATTGCTTTCTACTCAGAAACTCCACGATGTCAATTACCCTCTAGCTGTGTTTACTCATGAGCTTTGTCAATTAGTCTTTACTGAATAAGTACCAGTCTCATTAACTGGTCAGGACTGTTTACAGTCCCTGGTCGCAACTGTTTACAGCACTCTGCATGGAGTCTGTAAGTGGCCCAGATGCTCAGTCGAACTGGCAAAGCAGAATATCATGCATCAGTGTACTTTATTCATCTGTTGTTGGGTCAGGGTCTGTGGGATAGACCCCTGCAGAACTTGAGTCTAGTTATAGGTCTAGAAGTAAACAGAGGTGTAAGGGTGGATTCTGAGGAGACTCAACATTATAGTGCCTGGCAACTGACTCGGGGAGGCCATCACTGTTGCCTCAGCTAGCTCAGGCTTTATATCTTCAGACAGAACTGGAAAGGCTGATGGCAGCATGTACCTCTTTCTTTCTTGATGCAGAACAACAGTTTTAGATCTGTTGAATGTCAGGGCTGAATGACCTGCAACACAAACAGGGATAAAACTTGCCCCTTGCTCATCACATTGTGGAAGACAAAGATAAGAGGAGAACGGTGACCTTTCAGACCTAAGGGCTGGCTGTGACACCTTCTTTGGGACTTTGCAGTTTCTGGAATCTCCATGCTTCTGGGCACCACTACATTTCCCAGTATCAGCTGTAGAAGCTGCTTACAGTATTCCTGTTCCAGCTGCAGCTTCTCATTTCACTGGTACTTTTGTTGGCACCTAACACTTTCTGCCCTCTCACACCTGGCAAGCCTGGCTGTGTTTTGTGGCTGGAGCCCATGCTTGCTCATACACCACTCACCACACACTCATGCTTGCCCTTGGCTGGTGTTAAATCTTGGCCCATAATGGAAGCTGAGTGCAGCCTGTCAGGCAGACTGGGTAGAACAAGCTTAGCAGGCCTGAGCAAAACTCAGGCACAAGCACCATTGGCCATAAAGGTTTTCATCTGGCAAAATGACTCCCCTAAAATTCCATGAAAAAAGAAGCATAGCTAGTTGTGCCTTCTCGTGGATCTTGAAATACAGATAATTCTGTGAACTACATTTTGGTAGTTTTAACCTTATTAGGAAATTATTATTACATTTCAAAATTTTTTAAAAATCAAATTTGAAAGTTGGCCTTAGCATTGAACCACCTGATCCCTCTTACACAGAAATATATCATGTGAGAATATTTTTCTGAACTATATGGCATTGGGCTTCAAGTTAGCATCTTTCTAGGAGATTATGAAGCTTCTTGAGGAGACAGAATTTCTGATACCTGGACTTTGGCATTTTGTACTCATATAATTTTGTGGGGGAGAAGCTTTTGCTGTGCATTGTAGGATGATTAGCAGCCTGGGAAGCCTGAGCAGCCTTTCTGGCCTTTTCCACTAAGTGTAATAGTGACATCCTTTTTCTGTGGTTGAAATACTCAAATATGTTTGTGTCTTGTGGAAGCAGAACCGTTGACATTTACAATTCTACAGAGTTCTGAAGAAGAAATTAAAAAAAAACACTTTAAAAATTTTTTCAATGGCTTCTCATGGTGGCTCACACCTGTAATTCCAGCACTTTCGGAGATCGAGGCAGGAGGATCACTTCAGATCAGGAGTTTCAGACCAGACTGGCCAACATTGATGAACCCCATCTTTACTAAAAATACAAAAATAAACATAAAAATAAAAAAAACTTAGCTGGCACCTGTAATCCCAGCTACTTGAGAGGCTGAGGCAGGAGAATTGCTTGAACCCAGAAGACGGAGGTTAGAGTGAGCTGAAATTGCCCCACTGCACTTCAGCCTGGATGACAAGAACAAAACCCCTCTCAAAAAAAGATGAAATTTCGCAGAAATTTTATAAGAGATCTCATTTTTCTCTTACTTTTACTAATTACTAGGAAAATGTAAATCAAAACTGCAATGAGGTAACATCTGAGGCCAGTCAAAATGATGATTACTAAAAACCCGAGAAACAATAGATTGTAGTAAAGCAGTGCAGTAATAGGAATGCTTTTACACTGTTGTTTGCAGTGTAAATCAGTACAGACATTGTGGAAAACTGTGTGATAATTCACCAAGTGTCTAGAACCAGAAACACCGCTGGACTCAGCAATTTCATTACTGGGTATGTAGCACCCACACACAAAAAAAAGTCATTCTATTTTAAGACTACATGCATGTGTACGGTTATTGCTTTACTGTTGCAAAGACATGGAATTTATTCAAATGCCCATCAATGACAGAATGGATAAAGAAAGTGTGACACATATACATCATGAAATAATATGCAGCCATAAAAAGGAAGGAGATCATGTCCTGTGCAGGGAGATGAATGAAGCTGGAAGCCATCATTTTCAGCAAACTAACACAGAAACAAAAAAACAAAGACTGCATTTCCACCTTCTTATGAGGGTCTGAAGTTTGAAGACACATAGACACAGGGAGGGGCATGCCACATATCTGGTTATGTCATGGGGCAGGATAAAAAAAGAGCTGCAGGACAAATAGCTAATTAATGTGGGGCTGAATACCTAAATGATGGATTAATAGGTGCAGCGAACAATCATGGACATGTTTATCTATGAAATAAACCAGCATGTCCTGCATATGTACTCTGGAACAATAATAAATAAAATTATAAAAAGCAAAATTATATAAATTAACTAACAATAAAAAGGCTTTCTTTTTGTACAGGCGATGTTGGAATAACTTTGAAATGTGTGTCACACATTATTTAAGACATTTCGTTACTACAAATCAGAGTTGTCACAAACTTAGTTGATTGAATTTCTTTTATTTTTAGAATGGAATCTCACACTGTCCCTTTGGCTGGAGTGCAGTGGTGCAATCTTGGGACACTGAAACCCCCTGGTTCCCAGGTTCAAGCTATTATTCTGCATCAGCGTCTTGATTACCTGAGATTGCAGGAGTGCACCACTGCAGCTAATAGGGCCTATCACCATATTGGCCAAGCTTGTCTGAAGCTTCTGACCTTTCTTGGCCTTCAAATGCACTGGAATTACAAGTGTTAGCCACCATGCTAGTCCCTTCATTGAATTTCTAATTGAGAAAAAATCCCTCTTGAAAACTTTAGTTTTTTTATATCATATTTTTGATGAGTTTCTTTTGTTTCATAATTCAAGAAAAATAATATAATTTAAATTCATTTTCTTTTTATCATAAATAAATTTATTTCCATTAATATATAGTTAACAGAGAAGATTAATTTAGAATGTTATTTTTCTTTTGGATAAAGTCAGATTTCAGAAATTTCAAAAAATCTAACTTGGGAAACTAATTACATTTATTGATTATGATCACTTTTTTTTTAGGATTCGCTTCTGTAAGAAAATTCAAAATTGTTTCAAGATATGAGATGTTTAATTTTGTCAAATAAACTTTAAAAGTATTTTCTTTGAAAAAAACATATTTTTCTTAAGCTATGTTTTCTACTAATAATATGTGATTACTTTTTCTAACTTACTGGAAATTAATTCATGTTTTCATTTTCCCTGCATCAAAAATTTACTTGCAATATATAAGAAGTAAAGAACTGCCAGCAGAGCAGGTGGTTCTAGCGTAGGTCACACGCTACGATCAATGCTGATTTTCAGCTGCTTGTACCACGAGTTACTGGCTGTGTAAAAAAACCTCAAAAAGATAGTAGACTGACTGAAATACATTACATAGACAAAGCAATAACTAGTGGGTATTTTAAATTAAAAAGCTGCTTTTGCTCACTAATAATAGTTTTGCTTAAAATTCTATTTTTTCCTTTAGAAAAAATTAACTCATGGATTTTTTGTTTTGACCAACAAGTTTAACATTCTGTAGCCATCAGGCATATAACTAAAACAATTTAAGTCAGAGAATATAAATTTTTTAAAAAATATGTATTTCTTAAATGCTCCCCTATATTTAGTTTTGGTAACTTGCCACAGTGAGTTTTATTTAATCATATGTGAAAAAATATTGAAACTTTAGAGTAACAAGTGAAATTTAATGCTACAAAACTTTATATTTAAAGTGTATTCATTAAAAAGATCTTCTAAATCCAAACATTGAAGTTATTTAATGTTATTTTAGTTAAATTCTAAGAGAGGTATAGCTTTAAAAATCATTATGTGAGAAGAGAACCTTTGATTGCACTTTATTACTTCTAAATGTTCACATCAATCTAACAAAGTGACTAACAATGTTCAAATCTTACACAGAACTCAGAATCAGGGAGGGAGGTAATATAAGTAAATTAACAAATAATAACATAAAATTTAGTTTATTTCAAGAGAAAACTGAGGGTTAAGAATATAATTAACAGCAGCATTCCTTACAGATTTTTAATTGGTAAATGTTAATTTTTTTATATTTGTTTATTTTTTCTCTGAGTATATTTTCTAGCACATTGCTGTAGTTTCTAGCTGAACTCACTGCTTAAGAGGACAGATATTTATTTGTCTTGGGGGCTGTATGTAGACAGCAGAGTTTTCTGCTTGAAAACATCTTTTTTGTTAATTTATGTAACAATTGCATTGACATATATATATGAATGAATATATGTACATACACATATATGTATATATACATACATATATACATATATACACACATGTGTATGTATCCACATACATATGTGAAAAAATATATGTGTGAAAATGTGTGAAAAATATATATATGTGTGAAATATATATGTGTGTGAAAAATATATATGTGAAAATAAATAAATTATATATATATATATATATTTTTTTTTTTTTTTTTTTTTTTTTGAGACAGAGTCTCACTCCGTTGCCCAGGCTGGAGTGCAGGGGCGCGATCTCGGCTCGCTGCAAACTCCGCCTCCTGGGTTCACGCCATTCTCCTGCCTCAGCTTCCCGAGTAGCCGGGACTACAGGCGTCCGTCACCACGCCCGGCTAATTTTTTGTATCTTTAGTAGAGACAGGGTTTCACCGTATTAGCCAGGATGGTCTCGATCTCCTGACCTCGTGATCCGCACCCCTCGGCCTCCCAAAGTGCTGGGATTATAGGCATGAGCCACAGCGCCTGGCCATAAATATATATTTTAAAAAGAAATTTTTCTTAAACCAACATTCTTGTTGTTAAACTATTTAGCCAATGTTTTCTTGTGTTTAACATACATTTAAAAATGTACAAGAAGATGGCTGGTCGCGGTGGCTCCCGCCTGTAATCCCAGCATTTTGTGAGGCCGAGGCGAGTGGATCGCGAGGTCAGGAGAGCGAGACCATCCTGGCTAACATGGTGAAAGCCCGTCTCTACTAACAATACAAAAAATCAGCCGGGCGTGGTGGCGTGGGCCAGCTACAAGAGAGACTGAGAAAGGAGAATAGCGTGAACCCGGGAGGGAGAGCTTCCAGTGAGCCGAGATCACGCGACTGCACTCCAGCCTGGGCAACAGAGTGAGACTTCATCTCAAAAAAAAAAAAAAAAAAAAATATATATATATATATATATATAGACACACACACACACATATATGAATGAAGATGTGTATTAAAAGTTATTGACTTGCGGCCGATATTATATTTCTGATGCACAGATTATTTCCGTATATATACTTCTCCATACATATAGCTTCTTTAAAGAAAGAAGTATGCAATATAAAATATTGCTAAATTTGTTTTATACTTAGTCACTCACGTGTCAATATATGAAGATCCATTTGTTTTGTAGCTTGCAGTTCAATGTGCTCCAACATATGCAGTCCACCACTAAGATGGATTGATGTGTAAGTTGTATTCAGTTTTACACAGAGAAGCATTTACAGTTCTTACAGTGATTTTTAAATACACCATCTCAACGACTTCATCTCACAATAAAACTGTGAATATAGACAAAGCAATTTTCACTATTTGCTGAAGAAGAAAGCAGAAATGTATGTGAAGATTATAGTTTTTATGAGTCAGAAAAATAATTTTAAATGAAGTGCTCAATTAAAACAGAAAATTCTAATGTTTTATTTATGTAAAGTTCTGATGACAGTGTTTTGAATACACTTACAGTGCACAAGTTTTTTATAACTAAATTAATGATTAAAGCTGTCTGCGTTTAACACATGAAAATTTAATATTATACCAGCTTACATGATTCTAAGAAAATGGTTACAGAAGCAATGTCTTTAAAAATGTTTGCTTAACAAGTCTGTAGTAAAGGGCCTGTATAGTGGCTCAAGTTGCTGATGTAAAAGTTTAAAGTACTCTTTCAAAATTGCTGTCTTAACCTGATAGAATGAATTTACCCAGACTGATTAAGAGAACAATGGACAGAATCATTATTTTTGTAGCATAAGCATTTTTTTTCTTATCTCATCTTGTGAATCACTCAGTGTGCAGGAGTATCTGTCCCCTGTTGGGCCCTACCCACTAAAAGGATTTGTGGGATTCAAGCTGGTACTACCTGTCACATTAATTCTGTGATCTAGCAACTATACATAATCACCCTTGTCACAAACAATATTTCTGTAATTGAAAACACAGGTAGTGATACAAACAATTATTGTTCAAAGATGAGAAACAAAATGTGAGGTAAATATTAATTATTTTAAAAATATTCTGATAGCAGATACTGTTGTTCATTCTGAGATTACTGTGTTTTCACAAGATTTTGTCAGAACTGCATTTGATGATACGGCTAGAATGTCTGCAATACCATCACTGGCATGTTTATCACTCTCATCTAACAACTTGACAATATAGTTGATAATATTTATCACTTTTTTGTTTATTTTCAAAGCACAGTTGATATAATCACGTATGTATGACACGGTAAATGCAATTCAGTATGTGAAGAATTAGAAATCTTTATTTTTAATAATCATACTCATCTTTTTTTAAGTATTCTGTTTTTTTTTTTAAACTTTTATCCCATCTGTGTTAAATAAGTTGTGCTTATTTTTAGGATTCTATGTATATTTTTCTAAAATTAGGGATTTTTCTGCTACAGAAAAAAATTTGTTTTTCTAATAATGCTACGTAGACCTGTTAGCAACATTATATAACAATTACAATTAGGCTGCTAAAAGTATAAAAGCATTTGGTTAAAAATAAAAAATATCTGTTGAAAATAAAGCAGCATGCCAGGTGCGGTGGCTCCCGCCTGTAATCCCAGCACTTTGGGAGGCCGAGGCGGGCGGATCACGAGGTCAGGAGATTGAGACCATCCTAGGTAACAGAGTGAAACTCAATCTGTACTAAAAAAAAATACAAAAAAAAAAAAAAAAATTAGCTGGGTGTGGTGATGGGCTCCGGTAGTCCCAGCTACTCAGGAGGCTGAGGCAAGAGAATGGTGTGAACCTGGGAGGCGGAGCTTGCATTGAGCCAAGATTACGCCACTGCACTTTAGAATGGGCAACAGAGCAAGACTTCATCTCAAAAAAATAAATAAATTAAGTAAATAAGTACATAAATAAAAATAAAGCAGCAAAAAGTCACTTTTTAATGGCAGATCACATTTTTAAGATATAGCTATTAAATAGGTGAATATAGAAAACTTGAATTTTGGAAATGTTTATACTCAAGTTGTTTACCATTCATTTATATTTTTCTATAGACATTGATAGAAATTAAATAGAGAAATTTGAATAATTAAACTGTAGTAAATGATTCTTAAATTTCTACATTTCTTTCCCTCAGTGGTTAGAAATAGTTTGTCTTTCAAATAACATCTCAGCACTTTTCATTTATGAAGACTATAAAAAACACTGCCTTACTAGATTGAATAGATTACACCACGCAGCAATTACAACCTGGGAAGCATTCCTTTTACTAGAATCTCCATATGGGATGTTCGTTAATACTTGGTTAACAGAAACTATTGGACAAAAAAGTAGAATGTAAGTCCTGATACTGAAGCCCCTTTTGCCCCTCTGGTTCTGAATTTAAAATAGATAGAGATTGCTAATTATACTGACAAGAAGTGAACAAGGCAGATAGAGTATAAAATTCAAATTAAGTCCCCTACCTTTGTGCTTGGTTGGTTGCTTTTGCTTTATGTTGTCTCAGCACTTTACTGTGGCATGCGTGTCTGCCTAGTTGCTTTTTCTGTGGGATGAACTTCCTCAGGCTATGAACTGGATATTGTTTATTTCTGTATCAGAAACCTCAGAAGAGCAAAGCATATAGAAACATGTTAGATATCTGTAAAACAACTATATTTTGCTCTGTAGCTACAAGAAAATTATGACCTTTGGAGCTTCTGTGTATACTCTTGTTTATTCCACAACTACTCTTAAGAGCTGTATTTATTGAGTGGTAGTAACTCTAAATACATCACATAAATTACATCATATAATCTGCAAAAATGCATTATTCTCACAAGAAGACACTGAATTCTTGGAGAACGAAGTAACTTATTCCTCATAAGTTATTTATGAGAGACCACTGATTAGACTTTAATCTTTAATGAATTGCAGGTTATAATTGCTATTATTCTATTGTTTCTAATGATAACTTTTCTGTGAACTCTTTATGATGGTCCATCTGTGAAATAAGTACTAATACTAAATATTAAAACCAATAAGTTTTTTGAAAATAGTATTAAAAAATGCATATAATTTTATTAACCAAATGTTGGTGTTTATTTCAACTTCTTTCATTATACATTTAATGTTAGATTAGTGCATCACTAATGTCTTCTGGTCTCTAGAGATCTCCGAGATGATGTGTTTAGATATCATTATAAATTTGAAGAGAAACCAGCATTAAACAAGACAGAAGATAGGAAAGCGTACAATATTGATCTCCTAAGACAATTTCAGGTCATCTTTTACATTTAGCTGCTTTCTGACTACAATAATGTACCCAGAAGTTTTTGGAAACAGTTTATGTAAATTATGGGTAAGATATGATAAAGTCATCTGTACACTAACTAAAATGTTTAAATATATCTTAAAATACATAATTTATTAGGCGTTTAATATTTAAACAATAGTAATATTCTAGCTGTTTCTCTTGGTCATTTTTATTAGTATTATCCCAACTGAAAGAGGTTAAAATTTTCACAGCAAAGACAGACAGTATATTTTTTATATCTCATGATATAATTAACTTCTTATTATTAGATTTATAAATTATATATAAGCAAAATACTGAAATGTAGTCATCTCATTGATTTAACAGTTCTCTAATAAAGCAAATGCCAAGTATATTGTTTTATTTGTATAGATATTTTAATGCATCTCTAAAGTTTAAATTTAAAAAGATGGCCATGGTGCTGTTATCACACATAATAAAAACGATTTTATAAGCTTGGGCAACGTGGCAAAACACTGTCTCTAAAAAAAATACAAGAATTATTCTGCTGTGGTGGTATGAGCCTGTAGTCTCAAGTACTTGGGAAGATAACATGCCATTTTATTCACTACCTGTTGGCATTTGTTTAAACTTCCTTTATCATACTTTTAAAGTTAGACTAGTGTATCAGTTATGCCTTTTAGCTTCTAGAGTAATATTAACGCTTGATATTATGTATAATAATCATCTCAAAGATCAACATTACTCATCATCAAATAAATGTTTTTATTATCAAATGAACATTTTTATCACTGACAGGAAACTACCTCTTCCTAGCCATGTAAGAAAAAGAAATAATATACTTATATATAAATATACAACATATAACTTTATATAATATACATTTTTTTGCAAGCTTGTAAAGTAATCATATAGTTTTTGAGCCACTTACAAAAGTGACCAGTAACATTTGGTCCTTTTTTACATTTGAAAAAGCCCATTTAGGCAGGCACTGTCACTCACACTGGTAGTCTTGGCACTTTGTGAAGCCAAGGTAGGCAGATTACTGGATTATAGGAGTTCATACCCAGTCTGGGCAACATGGTGATATCCTGTCTCTATTAAGATGCAAAAAATTAGCTGAGTGTAATGGTCTGCATCAGTAGTCCCAGCTACCTGGGACAATGAGGGGAAAACATTGCCTGAGCTGTGATTGTGCTGCTGCACTTCATCCTGAGCAATGAAGAGAAGTCGCCCCCCGACCCCCAACGCACAGCTTCATAACATCTTGATTTTGTTTTCTTTGTTTCACTCATTTTATCAAGGCCTAATTTGTGGCACATATGATAATAAACACTGTCACACAACTTTTAATCATATACTGTAGTATATAGCTCTTTCTAGTTTGTAAAAAAAAAAAGCTGCACTCCCTCATAAGAGTTTAGTGTTCTTTCAAAAAAGTGCTTACTAAATAGATCAGAGGTAGGAAGCAAAAGAGATATTCTGATTTCTGGGCTGCCTTCTGTTTCACTCACAGCCCCTCCTCTTCCATTTATTAGCGTATCACTTAGACTTCTTTTAAAAGTCTGTATCACACCTATAATGCACTGACTCTCCATTATATCTCTCAGTTTAATTTTCTAGATTCCATAGCCAAACTGTAAGCCTAGGTTATAAGTATAATTTGCATATATAGTTCTTATTTACCTATTTTAGTTCTACAGCCTCACATGTGACTTCCTCTTCTTTTCAAATATGTTAACAATTTATTTTTATCAGCGTTCTCTACTTGAAACATTTTTTTCTGCAATCTAGGCCACGTTCTGTTCTTGTTCTTTCAAATTATTATAACACTTTGAGTTTAGTCTTCAAAATTTTACTCAAGTATTTATGTGTGTGTGCATCTATGTGTGATCATTTGGAACAGTTTGGCACCAGGGACTGTTTTTGTGAAGGACAATTTTTTAAGACTGTGGTTGCAGGGACAGTTTGGGGAAGACTCAAGTGCCCTACATCTATTATGCACTTTATTTATATTATTATTACATTATAATATTTAATTAAATAATTATACAACTCACCATCATGTAGAATCAGTAGGAGCCCTGAACTTACTATCCTGCAGCTAGATGGTTCTATCTGGAGGTGATAGGAGACGGTTACGGGTCATAAGGCTTTAGATTCTTTTTTTTTTTTTTTTTTTTTTTTTTGAGACGGAGTCTCGCTCTGTCGCCCAGGCCGGACTGCGGACTGCAGTGGCGCAATCTCGGCTCACTGCAAGCTCCACTTCCCGGGTTCACGCCATTCTCCTGCCTCAGCCTCCCGAGTAGCTGGGACTACAGGCACCCGCCACCGCGCCCGGCTAATTTTTTGTATTTTTAGTAGAGACGGGGTTTCACCTTGTTAGCCAGGATGGTCTCGATCTCCTGACCTCATGATCCACCCGCCTCGGCCTCCCAAAGTGCTGGGATTACAGGCAAGAGCCACCGCGCCTGGCCTAGATTCTTATAAAGAGTGCAAAACCTAGGTTTCTCACGTGCACAGTAAATAGTAGTGTTTAGCTTCTATAAAAATCTAATTGATGCCAAGGATCTTATAGAAAGTGGAGTTCAGGCGGTAAGGTGAACCATAGGTAATGCTTTAAATAGAGATAAAGCTTCCGTGCTTGCCCACCAATCACCTGCTGATGTGTGACCCAGTTCCTAACAGGACAGAGATGGGTACTGCTTGGTGACCCCTACCTTAAGCTAAGGAGTTTGAGATCACAGTGAACTATAATTGTGCCACTGCACTCTAGCCTGGGTAACAAAAAACAAATAAACAAACAAATAAACTGTCTATACAGGGAAAATAATGTAAAGAATACATTTTTAAAATTTGTTTCTTTAATAATATCTTTTGGTAAAATGTGAGGAATCATTTACAACTTTGAATGTGGACATTAACAAACACAAAAATCTTCTTGATTATTTGGAACAGTATATGAAATGAAGGTGCAAATGTATATTATTGTAAAATGTGATATAAAGTATATTTTGTTCAGTTTTGAAAAAAATAATGATGTCATTGAACAGAATCAGAAGACATTAGAGTTGTTTGTGCTTATCCTCAAAATTAACATCTGCTTTTTCTTTACTGTTTTTCTCTTTACTGTTTTAGTGGTATCAGAGAGGTAATCAAGATGATAACGGGTTTAAAGGGAAAGAATATTGACAAAATACAGTGACTGACTAGAAAAAAATCAGCCTTATTAGGTGAATAATTTTAGATATAAAAGGATCTCAAAGATTGTTTTCATCTCTAAAATAAATTGCAATTTAGTGATTGAATCATGAGGAGTTAATAGAATAAAACTTTTTTTTCTACTGTAGATACCTCAGAAGTAAAAAAGTTTAAGTTAATGTGGTTACAACAGATTTTAACACCCGCTTGTAGTTTCACAAACAGATTTTAATCTCTAGGCCTAACCAGCTGATTTTATCTCTGCACAAATTGATTGGGAGATGAAATGGTAAAATGTCTTTCAAGATGTTATATGTTAAGTAACACATATGTCTTTCTTCACTTTCATAACTTCTCACCTCCAAGCTTTCTGCATTGTTTTGAATTTAGCTGCCATTTAGATTGTAGTTTGTTTATAAAGTCATCCTTCCTTCTATTCACACCTCTGAGACTTGGAACAGTTTATTTTTACCCTTTTTGCCACTTTTTTTTCCTTTCCCTTTCCCTTTCCCCCTCCCCTCCCCTTCCCTTCCCTTTTCCCTTTCCTTGTCCCTTTATTTGAGACAGAGTCTCACTCTGTCGCCCAGGCTAGAATGCTGTGGCACAATCTCGGCCCACTGCAAGCTCGGCCTCCTGGGTTCATGTCATTCTCCTGCCTTGGCCTCCCGAGTTGCTGGGACTACAGGCACCCGCCCCAACACCTGGCTAATTTTTTGTATTTTTAGTAGAGAGGCGGTTACTCCATTTTTAGCCAGGATGGTCTCGATCTCCCAACCTCCTGAGCCGCCTGCCTTGGCCTCCCAAAGTGCTGGGATTACAGGTGTGAGCCATGCACCCTGCCCTTTCTGCCACTCTAAATCCACACATTTAAAGTAATTATATATAGTTATTACCTTTTTATAATTAGTGAGACCAGTCTGGCCAACAGGGTGAATCCCCATCTCTACCAAAAATATGAAAATTAGCCAGGCATGGTGGCAGATGCCTGTAATACCAGCTACTGGGGAGGCTGAGACAGGTGAATCACTTGAATCCTGGAGGCACAGGTTGCAGTGAGCTGAGATGCTGCCATTGCACTCCAGCTTAGGTGAAAAGAGTGAAACTCCATCTCAAAAAAAAAAAGACAGTCAGGATTAAATTTATTAATATGTGTGCAGCTCTTAGTGTATTACCTGGTCTTTAAGTGCTATAAATATTAGCTGCTATTATTATTGCTTATCATATATCTTCAGTTTACTCACACCAAATTCTAATTAATAGCATAAAAGAAAGCATTAGAGGAATAAAACAGATAGTTGTGACTATATGGAACCACATAGCCATCAGGGTCTGTGTCAGTAATGTTTTCCAATTTGCAACACGTAAGTGACCTTTTACATCCACAGGTTCTGAAAACACAGATTTCTCTAAACATGTATTAAAATGTCCAAAAACAAAAAATAACAATACAATAAAAACTAGCAAATTTAAAAGCAATTACCGTATAATTGTCTACATAATATTTACATTTTATTATTTATTTAGAGATGAGTAAACTATACAGAAGGATGTGTGTACGTTATATTTACGTACTGCACCACTGTTCACTAGAAACTTGAGCAGACACAAATTATAGTAATCATGGGGATCCTGTAGCCAATCCCCTACAGATGCCAAAGGATTACTA
This sequence comes from Homo sapiens, assembly GCF_000001405.40. Lineage (NCBI taxonomy): Eukaryota > Metazoa > Chordata > Mammalia > Primates > Hominidae > Homo > Homo sapiens. The sequence goes on from NC_000024.10 coordinate 21,672,071, forward strand.
TATATAAACATTTTAAGCTTTGGTAAGTAAGCATTGCTTAAGTTAGTTATGACATAATTACCCTGCTGGTGTTAATTATCATTTACTCATCTATATAAACAAGTTGAGAAAGACTATAATTTTTTTTGAGATGGAGTCTTGCTCTGTTGCCCAGGCTGCAGTGCAGTGGCACAATTTCAGCTCACTGAAACCTCTGGCTCTCAGGTTCTAGCAATTCTGCCTCAGCCTCCTGAGTAACTAGGATTACACGTAGGCACAACCATACCCTGCAATTTTTTTTTTTTTTCAGTTGTGACGGGGTTTCACCACATTGGCCAGGATGGCCTCAATCTCTTGACCTTGTGATCTGCTGGCCTTAGCCTTCCAAATTACTGAGATTACCGGAGTGAGCCACCGCGCCCGGTTCAAAAGATTATAAACTTTAAAATTCTCATTACATTGTTTTAATGTTTGCGCAGGTAACAAGATAATATTTGTTTATATTCTCTGTTTATGTTATGTTAACACAGGAAAGCACTTGCTATTTAAAATATTGCCTTTTGGTTTTGCGGCCAACTCAAACAATTTTAATATGTCTGGGAAAATGTACAATTACATTCAGTGATTATTTTTAATTTCTCTGGGACCTGGATATGGGACCTTACACAGTAGCAATGCTGATCAAGCAAGGAGTGGGAATTATTATTATTTTATTTATTTATTTATTTATTTTGAGACAAGAGTCTTGCTCTGTAGCACAGGCTGGAGTACAGTGGTGCAATCTTGGCTCACTGCAAGCTCCGACTCCCAGATTCACGCCATTCTCCTGCGTCAGCCTCCAGAGTAGCTGGGACTACAGACACCTGCCACCAAGCCCGGCTAATTTTTTGTATTTTTAGTAGAGATGGCGTTTCACCATGTTAGCTAGGATGGTCTGGATCTCCTAACCTGGTGATCTGCCCGCCTGGGTCTCCCAAAGTACTGGGATTATAGGCATGAGCCACTGTGCCTGGCTTATTATTCTTGTATTATTCAAAGATGGTAGCCAGTGACTCAGATCACTGGTATAAATTTGATGTTGGAGATGTAACAGAATTGAAAATAGAAGATGATAAAGAAATTTAAAAAGTCAGTGTTTTGGTGGAGAGTACACAAATGTATTTGATCACACGCTGAAGTGCATGTCATAGAGACGAGAGAAGAGATGGTGAAATGCTTGTGTACTTATTTTTAATAAGCAAATGGACATGATAGATGAAGGTGATGAGATGGTAAGATATACATTATGACTAACTCTTACAATACCACATCACCTCATTATGTCACCAGCCATTGAGAGAAGTGTATAGAAACAAAATGTGAAATTTATCCATAATGGAATAAAAGTACTTACATTAATGGTGTTTATTTAAATCCCGCTCAAGGTAAGCTTTTAGATTAGCTTCTTACTAATAAAAAATAATTTGTGTTTGGCTTGCGTGATTCCTTACAAAGCATCAACATGTGTTTAATTTTTTTCTTTAGGCTTCATTTACCTTTTCTTATGGAATCATTAGCCTTAATTTATGTGAAAGAGTTCCTTTTTGGTTTAGTTATTTAAAGTGTAAAATGTAATATATCTGTACATTAGAATAGTGGTTCTTAATATATGGATATATAAAAGAGCATTATTTATAATAATAATTATTACTTTCTACTCAAGCACTAGTTTGCAGTATGGGTTAGTGAAGTGGTAAGTAAATCACTAAGAATTAGTGTTAACTAACAAAAATTTTATTAAGAAAGTGCTTGAAAATACAAATGTTTTTGACTGTATATGTATTTTTATTTGAAGAGTAGAATTACTTTTCTGCCTAAAGCACAATAAATTACTATGATTAGTACACAAATTGCTGGTATATTCCACATTACCACTGGATTTCACACCAAAAAAAAAGTTTGTTGTCCTTCTGGTGACTTGTACATGGCTTTGCATTTCATTCGTAGAGTTCTTACAATTGGTTTGGTTCTCTATTATACTGCTTTACATTTTCCTAACCATAAAAATATTATTTCAAATTTTAAATACACAATAAACATTTTTGTAGTAATTGTGAGAGAATTCTTAGTAAACTTAAAAATCTCTAATCTAAATGTGCATTTATTATTTAAAAATTGGCTCACACACCAATAAATTTGTATCACACCATGTTCTACTTTATCATTACATAAGAAGCTTTATCTCTACCAGATAAAATTTTAACTTATAGTTAAAAATGTAGATCATTTTTAGACCAGGTTTTGTGGCTTATATTTGTAATTCCAAAAATAGTAAAGGCCAAGGCAAAAATAACCTTGAGGGCAGGTGTTTGTAACCTGGTTTGGCAAAATAATGAAGCACCATCTCTACAAAAAGTTTTTAAAAATTAGCTAGATATGGTGGCTCACACCAGTGATCTTAGCACTATATGATGCCGAGGTGGATGGATTACCTTAAGCCTAGAGTTTGAGGCCAGCCTCAGCAACATTGCAAAATTCTGTCTCTAACAAAAAAATTAAAATAAATAAACAAATTAAATAATTAGCTGAGCCTACTGTCCTCTTCCTATAGACCCAGCTCATTGGGAGGCTAAGGCAGCAGGAAAACATGAGCCCATAATTTAGAAGCTGCAGTTAGCTATAATTGCACCACTGCATTCATTCCAGCTGTAGCAATAGAGACTTTGTCTCTTAAAACAATTAAAATTACTGTAGTCTTAGCTTAGCAATAATTATAAAAGTATAGAGTACATTATAACTTGATTTAACAACTCTTTCAGCATTATGTTAAAATATGTTAATAAAATGTTACTGAACTAGAAAAAGGTTGATAAGAATTTTCAGAGACCTGCACACAATTGTATTTGATTTACATCTTTGACTTGACTGTGAAATTAAAGTCACAGAGCTTTATCAGTCAATCTGATATTTGTACTGTCTTAGTCCATTTTCAAGCTAAAGACATATGCTAGACTGGACAATTTATAAAAGAAAGAGAGGTTTAAGGAACTGACAGTTCCACATGACTGGGGAGGCCTCAGAATCACGATAGAAGGAAAAGAGGAGCAATTAACGTCTTACACAGTTGGCAGCAGGCAAAGAGAGAGCTTCTGCAAGGAAACTGATGTTTCAAGCATCAGATATAATGAGACTTACTCACTGTCACAAGAACAGCACAAAAAAATCTGCCTCCATGATTCAATTACCCCCCATCTCATTCCTCCCACCACATGTAAAAATTCAACTGGGGTGGGGACACAGTCAAACCATATCATTCCAACCCTGGCCCCTCCCAAATCTCATTTCCTCACATTTCAAAACCAGTCATGCTTTTCCAATAGTCCTGCAATGCCTCAACTCACTTCAGCACTAACTCAATAGTCAAAGTCCAATATCTCATCTGAGACAAGGCAGGTTCTTTCTCCCTATGAGCCTGTAAAATTGATAGCAAGTTAGTTACTTCTTAGATATAGTAGGGTACAGGCATTGGAAAAGTACAGCCATTCCAAATGTGAGAAGCTGACTGGAATAAAGGGGCTACAGCCCCCATGAAAGTCTAAAATCCAAGGAGGCAGTACAATTTAAAGCTTCAGAATGATCTTCAAGAGCTGGGTTCCCATGGTCTTGTGCACCTGCACCCATGAGGCTTTGCAGGGTACAGCCTTCCTCCCAACTGTTTCCACCAGCTGGCATTGAGTATCTGTGGCTTCTCCAGGCACAAAATTCAAGCTGTCAGTGGATCTACTATTCTGGGGTCTGGAAGATGGAGGCCCTCCTGTGTCCAGAATTGGTGGGTTCTTGGTCTCACTGACTTCAAGAATGAAGCTGCGGACCCTCGCGATGAGTGTTACAGTTCTTAAAGTCGGCGTGTCCGGAGTTTGTTCCTTCTGATGTTCAGATGTGTTCGGAGTTTCTTATTTCTGGTGGGTTCATGGTCTTGCTGGCTCAGGAGTGAAGCTGCAGACCTTTGCGGTGAGTGTTACAGCTCTTAAGGCGACATGTCTGGAGTTGTTTGTTCCTCCCTGTGGGCTCGTGGGCTCGCTGGCTTCAGGAGTGAAGCTGCAGGCCTTTGCGGTGAGTGTTACAGCTCATATAGGCAGTGTGGACCAAAAGAGTGAGCAGTAGGAAGACTTATTGCAAAGAGCGAAAGAACAAACCTTCCACAGCGTGGAACCCGAGCCGGTTGCCACTGCTGGCGAGGGCAGCCTGCTTTTATTCTCTTATCTGGCCCCACCCACATCCTGCTGATTGGTAGAGCCGAGGGGTGTGTTTTGACAGGGTGCTGATTGGTGAGTTTACAATCCCAGAGCTAGACGCAAAGGTTCTCCACATCCCCACCAGATTAGCTAGATACTGAGTGTCCACACAAAGGTGCTCCAAGTCCCCACCAGAGTAGCTAGATACAGAGTGTCGATTGGTGCATTCACAAACCCTGAGCTAGACACAGGGTGCTGATTGGTGTATTTACAATCCCTGAGCTACACATAAAGGTTCTCCACGTCCCCACCAGACTCAGGAGCCCAGCTGGCTTCACCCAGTGGATCCCGCACCGGGGCTGCAGGTGGAGCTGCCTGCCAGTCCCGCGCCGTGCGCCCGCACTCCTCATCCCTTGGGTGGTCAATAGGACTGGGTGCCCTGGAGCAGGGGGCGGCGCTCATCGGTGAGGCTGGGGCCGCACAGGAGCCCAGGGAGGGGGTAGGAGGCTCAGGCATGGCGGGCTGCAGGTCCCGAGCCCTGCCCCGCGGCAAGGCAGCTAAGGCCGGGCGAGAAATCGAACGCAGCGCCCGTGGGCTGGCACTGCTGGGGGACCCAATACACCCTCCGCAGCCGCTGGCTCGGGTGCTAATCCCCTCATTGCCCAGGGCGGCAGGGCGGGCCGGCTGCTCTGAGTGTGGGGCCCGCCAAGCCCACGCCCACCCGGAACTCCAGCTGGCCCGCAAGCGCCGCGCGCAGCCCCGGTTCCCGCTGGCGCCTCTCCCTGCACACCCCCCTGCAAGCTGAGGGAGCCGGCTCCGGCCTTGGCCAGCCCAGAATGGGGCTCCCACAGTGCAGCGGGGGCTGAAGGGCTCCTCAAGTGCCGCCAAAGTGGGAGCCCAGGCAGAGGAGGCGCCGAGAGCGAGCGAGGGCTGTGAGGACTGCCGGCACGCTGTCACCTCTCACTCCTTTAACAGCTCTGCAATCATCGCCTGTGTTGCTACCTGTCTTTTCAATGGTTAAAATACTGCTGCTGATGACGGGGATCAGGTATAGCTGCTGGGTCACAGAATTTATGTGATAGGTAGCACCACCCTCTTTGAGTTCCACAAATCTTTTTGGTGGGCGTGGTCCAGCAGGAGCTGATATTCCCACTCAGGAAGTGCTTTACAAGCTGAGATAAGAAAAAATGCTTTCTCGGAAAGAGTTATATAAGATGGTATAATATTAAAATTTTCATGTGTTAATCATGGACTTAGCCTTAATCATTACAAGTTTACTTACTATAAAACTTTTGGGCCTAAAATAAGTGTATTTAATTAATTGTCATCAGAACTTTATATAAATAAAACATTAGGGTTTTCTCACTTTTAATTGAGCACTTCATATAAAGTTATTGTTGTGACTCATAAAACTGTAACCTTCACATAAATAACTGCTTTATTCCTCAGTAAATAGCAATAATTTATTTGTCTTGTGTATTTAAAATCACTGTAAGGACTATAAATTCTTCCCTATTTTGTGTAAAACATAATGCAGCTTACACATCAATTCATCTTAGAGATGGATTGCATAAATTAGAGCACATTGAACTGCAAGTTATGTAGCTACAAATCAGAATTAAACAGATCTTCATATACTGACAGGTGTTTGACTAAATACAAAACAAAGTTAATAATGCTGTATATTGTATATTTTCATTTGTGTAAAAAATAACCAAATAGCTACATGCATGGATTAGTGCACATACAGACATAATCTCTGGACCAGGAATATAATATTGGTGGCAAGTTAATAATTTGCGGTACATATCCTCTTATGTATTTGGAATTATATTTTAACCCCATAAAACTGTTAGCTAAATAGTTTAACAACAGCAGTGTTTGTTTCAAAAAACTCTTTTGAAAATATGTATTTACTATGTCAATACAATAGTTAAATAAATTAAGAAAAAGGTGTTTTTCAAAAGTAAACTCTTTCCTCTATAAAGAACCCACAAGACAAATAAAGATCTGAACTTTTAAGCAGTGAGTTTAGCTAGAAAATCCTACAATGTGCTAGAAAATGTACTCCCACAGATAAAAATATAAATATAATTTCACATTTACTAATTAAAGGTCTATACTGAATGCTGCTGTTAATTATATATTTAACATTCAGTTTTCTCTTGAAATAAACTAAATTTTATGTTATTATTTGTTAATTTACTTACATTACCTCAAACTTGTTTTAGTTCTGTGTAAGATTTCAACATTACTACCCTCTTTGTGGGACTGATGTGGTATTTAGAAGCAATAAAATGCACTCAAATGTTCTCTTCTCATGTCACGATTTTTAAACCATAACTTTCTTAGAATTTAACTAAAATAACATTAAGCAACTTCAATTTGTGGGTTATGAAAAACTTTTTAATGCATACATTTTAAATATAAACTTTTTATAGTATTACATTTGACTCCTCATTACTCTAAATTTTCAGTATTTTTTCACATGTGATTAAAACAACTCACTGTGTTAAGTTACCAAAGCCAACTATAGGGGAGCATTAAATAAATATATATTAAATAAATTGTATTCTCCAACTAAAATTGTTTTAATTATATACCTGATGGCTACAGAATGTTAAAATAGTTGACAAAAAAAAACCCATGAGTTGATTTTATCTAAATGAGAAAATAGAATTTCACACAAAACTATGATTAATGAACAAAAGCAGCTTTATAATTTAAAATACTCACTAGCTATTGTTTTGTCTGTGTAATATATTTCAGCCAAACAGTCTACTATCTTTTTAAGATTTTTTTACACAGCCAATAGCTGGTGCTACAAGTAGCTCAAAAGCAGAATTGATGGTGTTTGGTGAGCGACAGACTGGAACAGCCAGCTCGGCTGGCAGTTGTTTACTTCTTAAATATTGCAGGTGAGCTTTTTATGCAGGGAAGATGAAACAATCAATTAATTTCTAGTAAGTCAGAAAAAGTAATCACAGTATTATTTGTAGAAAATATAGGTAAAAAAATTCTTTTCAAAGAAAATATTTTATTTGACATAATTAAACACCTCATTGTATCTTGAAACAAATTTGAATTTTCTTACATAAGCAATTCCTAAAAAAACCCCAAGTAAAATCAATAAATGTAATTATTTTCCCAGAGTAGATTTTTAAAGAAATTTCTAAAACCTGAGAAATTTACCCAAAAGAAAAATAACATTCTAAATTAACCTACTCTTTTAATCACATAAAAATGGAAATAAATTCATTTAAAATATAAAAAGGCATTAAAGCTTTATTATTTTTCATGAATTATGAGATATATAAACTCATAAAAATATGATATAAAAATAAATTTTTGCAAGATGTATGTTTTTCTCAATTATAAATTCAACCAAGTGCCAGGCACGGTGGTTCACATCTGTAGTCCCAGCATGTTCTGAGGATAAGGTACGCAAATTACTTGAGGTCAGGAGTTAGAGAAGAGTCTGTAGAATATGGGGAAACCCCATCAGCTGTGGTTGTGTCTGCCAGTAATCTCAGCTAATCAAGAGGCTGAGGAAGATTAATCACTTGAAACTGTGAGTCAGGTGGTTGCAGGGTGCCAAGATTGCACCCTGCACTCCAGCCAAAGGGACAGTGTGAGATATCATTCTAAAAATAAAAGGGAAGAAATTCAATCAACTAAGAATTGAAATACACTATTTACTTTTCAATGCAGTTTGTCAAAAACTGATTTGTAATTATTTTAAAAAAATATCTTAACGCTGGGTATGGTGCCATGCACAAGTAATTCAAGCTATTCAGGAAACTGAGGCAGGAGAATCACTTGAACCCAGGGGTCAGAGATTGCAGTGAGTCAAGATCGCACCACTTCACTCCAGTCTGGCAACAGAGAGAGATGCCATATTTAAATAAAAAAAAAAAGTCTTCAGTAAAGTGTGGCACATATTTAAAAGTTACTATAAACTCTACAAAAATAAATCCCTTCTTATTTTTAATTTTATCTTATATTAAATTCCATGGTACATATGCAGGACATGCAGGTTTATTTCACAATTAACCACGTGCCATGGTTGTTGACTGCAGATATCAACCCATTACATAGGTAGTATGCCCCACGTGATTTAGCTATTTATCCTGAATCTCTTTTATCCCCCCGGCAGACCCAAGTGCGTGTTTTTTCCCTCCCTGTGTGTATGTGTCTTCAATGTTCAGTTCCCATGCATGAGTGTGAACATGCAGTGTTTTTTGTGTGTGTGTGTGTTTTGTTTCTGTGTTAGCTTACTGAGGATATCGGCTTCCTGCTTCATCCATGCCCCTTCACAGGACATAATTTCATTCCTTTTTATGGCTGCATATAGTTTCATTGTGTATATGTACCACGTTTTCTTTATTCAGGCTGTTGTTGATAGGCATTTGGGTTAATTCCATGTTTTTGTTACTGCGAGTAGCTCTGTAGTAAACATACATATGCATGTATCCTTGTAATAGAATAGCTTGTTTTTGGAAGAGTATATATCCAGTAATGTAATTGCTGAGTACAGTGGTATTTCTGGTTCTAGATACTTGATGAATCATCACACACTTTTTCACAGTGTGTACTGATTTGCATTCTGAACAACAATATAAAAGTATTCCTATCATTGCACTGCCTCACTATCATCTGTTGTTTCTTGGCTTTTTAGTAATCACCATTTTGACTGGCCTCAGATGGTATCTCATTGCAGCTTAGTTGTGCATTTCCCTAATAATTCATGATGGTGAGCTTTTTGAGATAAAGACCAATAACTCTTTTCTTACCCAAATGAGGCCTCTTATAGCAGCTCTTCAACATCCATTTAACCTGTGTTTTTAACACTATCCTGCAAAAGGAAAAGTATTATAGGCTTAACTTACATGATAATGATAGAAAATTACAGGATGTTAGAAGAGCAAAGAGTTAGAGCAAAGTGAGATCTCATGTAAATTTTGTGCAAAATTTTTAAAAGCAAGTTCCTATTTCTTCTTTAGAACTCTCTAGAATAGTAAATTTCATCAGTTTTGTTTCCACAAGATACAAACATATTTGCGTATCTCTACCATGGAAAAATAGTTTACTATTGCACTTAGTGGAAGAGGCCAGAAATGCTACTCATAATCCTATGGAGTGCAGCAAAAGTTCCTCACAAAAAGAAATTACATGAGTACAAAATGTCAAAATCCAAGAATAAGAAATTCTGTTACATCAGTAAACTTTATAATCTACCAGAAAAATGCCAATCTGAACCTCAATGCCATATATTTTAGAAATATATTCTCATAGAATAAAAAGAGTAAGAGAGTGTAAGTAAGAGAGATTAGGTGACCCAATGCAAATGCCAGTGAGCCGAGGTCACACCACTGCACACCAGCCTGGGTGACACAGTGAGACTGTGACACACACACACATACACACAGATACACACACACAATTTATCTATCTATCTATCTATCTATCTATCTATCTATCTATCTATGTATCTATATCTCAAATTGTAGGACACTCAATTATCAATATTTCAAGATCCAGTAGATGTAAGGCACTTAAACACAAGTAGCTATGCTTCTTTTGTCATGGAATTTTGGTGGAGTCACCTTGCCGGATGGAAACCACTGTGGCCAGTAGTGCCTTTGCCTCAGTTTTGCTAAGGCCTGCTAAGCTTGTTATACCCACTCTGCCTGAGAGGCTGCCTTCCCCTTGCATTATAGGCATGGATTTAACACCTGCCAAGGGCAAATGTGGCATAGAGTGGCAAGGGGTGTATGAGCGAGTGTGGGCATCAGCCACTACACACAGCCAGGCATGCCAGCTGTGGCAGGGCAGGAAATTTCAGGTGCCAAGAGAAGTGCCATCTCACTGAGAAGCTGCAGCTGGATCAGGCATTCTGCAAGCAGCTTTCATAGCTTATACTAAGGAATGGAGTTGTGCCCAGAAGTTTGAAGATGCCAGAAACTTCAAAGCCCTAAAGAAAATGTCACAGCCCTGGCTTTGAGAGTGCCTAGGTCTGTGCACCCTGAAGGGTCATAGCTCTCGTCTTATTTTTGTCTTCCACAATGTGATGAGCAAGGTATATCTTTTTTTTCCCCCAGTTTGTGTTACAACTCTTTCAGCTTCACCATTCAGCTTATCTCAAATAATTGTTCTGCATTCAGGAATAAAGACATAGATGGACAATTAAAGAGTGTGCAATGTAAAGAGAAGCTGTAGTGAATGAGAGAACACAGAAAAGCCCCTCATTGGGTAGCTCCTCCACACAAGCCAGATGTCCCGATGAGTGTCCATCTCTCAGCAAAGAGAGTGGGTAGCTCCTCTCTAAAGGCAGGGTGTCAGTGATTACTATCCGGCTCTCAGCAGAGAGGAGAACCTGGAGCGGGTATCTTCTCCATCCAGCTGGTCATCTTGCCCAGTTTTAAGCTCCGTGCAGAGAGAAGGCCCTGCAGTGGGGAAATCCTCATATCTGGTGGTCCCAACATCTAAGTTTCAGCATAGAAGAGATCTTGGAGTAGGTAGCTTATCCGTCTATCTGGCTGCTCTGTTATCTCCCTAGCTCTCAGCAAAGTCTGTGGTGGGTAGCTCCAGTGTGCTGTTGAAAGTTCTGATGCCTCCTTAGCTCTCAGCAGAGAGAAGGCCCTTCAGTGGGTCAGTCCTCTCCGCAGCTGGTTGGTAGTCTGTCAAGTCTTCCAGTGTGGCTGAATCCAGTAATTTTACATCATTCAAAGAAAATAAAGTGCTTGCTGATTGGATTATTGGGCAGCAATTTCCTTAATAAAAGTAAATTTACTTTTATTAATTTTAAAGTAAATTTAAATAAAAATTACTTTAAATTTAATTAAAGTAAATTTACTTAATAAAGCAATTTACTTAATAAAAGTAAAATCATTTCCCATTCTTGTCCATCAGCCTATGCCCCAGACTTCAAGATGTCACTGGCTTGAAGGTGGAGCTTCGGTGGGGAGCAACGAATTTATGCCCAGGAGCCTGTGATGGTTAATACTGAGTGTCAACTTAACCGGACTGAGACTTACAGAGTATTAATCCTGGGTGTGTCTGTGTGAGTGTTGCCCAAAACAGATTAACATTTGAGTCAGTGGGCTGACTCAACCTTAATCTGGAGGGCACAATCTATTCAGCTTCCAGTAAACATAAAACAGGCAAAAAACGTAAAAAGGCGAGATGGACTAACATCTTGCCTACATCTTTCTCCTGTGCTGGATGCTGTCTGCCCTCACATGGCTGACTCCAACTTGCTCAATTTTGGTACTCAGATTGGCTCTCGTTGATTCTCAGCTTGCTGACAGCCTATTGTGGGACATTGTGATCACGTAAGTTCATACTTAATAAACTCTTCTATAGATATTAGTTCTGTCCCTGTGAAAGAATCCTGACTAATACAGATGTTGGTAACAGAAATGGTTCTAGAGGAACAGAACATTAAAAATAAAGTTCTTTCATTGGTTTTGGAGGTTTTGAAGTTGGCTGTTTAATATAATTTGATGCAAAAAGTCTGTGGACTCTACTTCTAATAATATGGAGAACACTGATAGTCCTTGGTGGAAACCATTTAGAGACTTATGCAAAATAAATTAATTTGGCACTCCTGATTCACTGATTGTGAGAATCAAGGAGTTTAGTGATTCTATACATAATACCTTTGACCATATGTGGAGAACCAAAGAACACAGTGAAGCTGCTTGGTAGCTCCTAAGTTCAGTGAACAATATGATGAAAGAAAATGATGAACTCAGGGATACTGTCTCCCAACTTCAGAAGCAGATACTGAGGCTCAAATCTGCTAATTTTGCCCTGAGTGAGAATCTTATCATTTGTAGAGCAAGAGCTAAAATTGTGGAAAAGCAGACACAGGCTCTTATCATGTGAGTCACTGACCTGCAATAAAAGATGCATGCACAGCCTCACCAGGTGTCTACTGTTATAGTGAGGGCATTGATTGAAAAAGAAACAGACCCTGTAAATCATAATAGAGATGTGTAGGAGAACCCTGATGAATCTGGTGACAGTGAGTGGTTAACTCTGATGAACTTTTTTTTTTTTTTGGTGCCAGAAAGAATGGCTTCCTCATCTCAAGAAGTGGCAACATCCCCTTTATGATCCATACTGCCATCAGCCTTTCCAACTCTGTCTGAAGAAAGAAACTGTGCACTGGCTGAGGCAACAGTGTTTTCCACCCCTGAGGCAGTTTCCAGGAAAGATAATATCATTTCTCCTCAGAAGCCATCCCCAACACCTCCATTTGTTTCTAGACCTATAAGTAGATTAAAGTTCTGGTGGGCTCCTAGAGGTGAGGTGGAGAGTGTGACCCATGAAGTGGTGTGCTACACTCAAAAAGAACTGTTAGAGTTATCTCATTTATTTGAACAGAAATCTGGAGGACAGGTATGAGCATGAATATTAAGTGTAGGGGATAATGGGGGAAGAGGAATCATGGAAATGTATCAGACTGAATTTATTGAGTAGAGCCCACTAAGCAGGGAATTTGCATTTAATGTTGCTGCTTAGGTAGTTAAAAAAATTCTAATAGTTGATTTTCCTGGTTAGCTGAAATATGGATTAAAAGATGTCCCACTGTGAGTGAGCTGGAAATGCCTAGTCTCCGTTGGCTTAATGTAGAGAGAGAGATCTGGAGGCTTAGGGAAATTGGGATGGCGGAGTGGATTCATCTCCTTAGACTTTACTCATTCCACTTTGGAGGGTCTGGAAGAGATGCCCTTTACCAATGCCTTGTGAAATAGATTTGTGAGGGAAGGACTTGCATCTGTAAATAGCCCTGTAATTTCTCTTCTGTGTATGTCAGATTTAATGGTGGGAAACACAATCACTCAACGGCAAAATTTAAATAGGATGAGAAAAGTTGGATCCCCAGGTGGCAGGCGCCAAGTGGCAGTACTCAACCATCAAAGGCAAGGTGGGTGTAAATAAGGGAAGTGGCAATTACAATAATGTGACTCCTATGGAGCTCTGGCATTAACTAATTAATCAAGGTGTTCCTGGAAGTGAAATTGAGAGAAAGCCTACTGCATTCACACTTAAGTTAAACAAACAGATAACTTTTGGGTCAAATAAAAAAACAGACTACTTTGAATTATAAAAGCAGAGTATTACAGCCCCTTCCCCAATCAGTTTCCAAACTAGAGCCAGTTTAAAGACCAAGAACCCCTTGAAAGAAAGAGACACCAGTTTCCCTTGAGGAATGACCCCACTGCATTACTGAAAATATAATCGTGGTCACACAATTAAAGTAGGAGCTTAAGGAGGTCAGGTAATGAATGGAGATTTAGCTTAGGTTGGACTTACAGAGTGTCCTATGCATCCCAGGACTCCTCTTGGAGTCATTTTCCCGGTGCTAGAATGCATAATTGGCATAGACATACTTAGCAGCTGGCAGAACCCCACATTTGCTCCCTGATGTGTAGGGTGAGGGCTACTACACTGAAAAAGTTCAAATGGAAGCCAATAGAGCTGCCTATACATAAAAAATAGTAAATCAAAAACAATATCACATTCCTGAGAGGACTGCAAAGATTAGTGCCAACATCAAGGACTTCAAAGATGCAGCAGTGGTAATTACCAGCACCTTTTCCTTCAACGCTTTCATTTGGACTGTGTAGAAGACAGATGGATCTTGGAGAACAACAGTGGATTATCAAAACTTAACTAAGTTATGACTCAAATTGCAGCTGCTTTACCAGATGTAGTTTTATTGTTTGAGCAAATTAATACATCTCCCGGTAACTGGTATGCAGCCATTGACATGGAAAATGCCTCTTTCTTTATTAATAACTATAAGGCCCAACAGAAGAAATTTGCCTTCAGCTGACAAGGCCAGCAATATACCTTTACTGTCCTACCTCAGAGGTATATCAGCTCTCTGTCTTCATGTCAGAATCTTATTCAGAGAGAACTTGATTGCTTTTCATTTCTGTAAGATATCACACTGGTCCATATAATTAATGACATTATGCTGATATGATCCAGTGAGCAAGAAGTAGCAAGAACACTGGACTTATTGGTGAGACATTTTTGTACCAGAGGATGGGAAATGAATCTGACTAAAATTCAGAGACCTCCTACCTCAGTAATATTCCTAGGGGTCCAGTCTTGTGGAGCCTATCAAAATATTCCTTCTAAGGTAAAGAATAAGTTGCTGCATTAGGCACCTCCTACAACCAAGAAAGAGGCACAGTGCTTAGTAGGACTATTTGGATTTTGGATGCAACATATTTTTCATTTGGATGTGTCACTCTGGCCCACTTATCGAGTGACCCAAAGGCTGCCAGCTTCCAGTGGCATCCAGAACTGGAGAAGTCTCTGCAACAGGTGCAGTCTGCTGGGCAAACTCCTCTGCCACTTGGGCCACGTGACCCACATATTCGATGGTGCTTGATGTGTCAGTGGCAGATAGGAATGCTATTTGGAACCCTTGCCAGGCTTCCACAGGTGAATCACAGCACAGCCCTCTAGGATTTTGCAACAATGCCCTGCCATCTTCTGTAGACAAATATTCTGCTTTGGAGAGACAGCTCTTGGCCCATTACTGGGCTTTGGTGAAAACTGAACGTTTGACTATGGGTCATCAAATCACTGTGTGAGCTGAACTGCCTATCATAAACTGTGTGCTTTCAAACCCATCTACTCATAAAGTGGGTTGTGCACAGGAACATTTCATTATCAATTGGAAGTGGTATATATGTGACAAGGCTTGAGCAGGTCCTAAGGCACAGTAAGTTACATGAGAAAGTGGCTCAAATGCCCATGGTCTCCACTCCGGCCATGGCACCTTCTCTCCTCCAGCCTGCATCGATGGCCTAATGGGAAGTTATTTATGATCAGTTGACAGAGGAACTAACACTGGGACCTGGTTCACAAGTGGTTCTGCACAATATGCAGCCACCACCCAAAAGTGGACAGCTGAAGCACTACAGCTCCTTTCTAGGACATCCCTGAAGGACAGCGGTGAAGATACATCTTCCCAGAGGGTAAAACTTCAAGCAGTGAACCTGGTTGTTCACTTTGCATTGAAGGAGAAACAGCCAAATATGTGTTTATATACTGATTAATGGGCCTTAGTCAATGGTTTGTCTGGAGGTCTGGCACTTGGAAGAAGCATGATTAGAATATTGGCAACAAAGAAATTTGGGGAAAAGATAAGTGGATGGGTCATTCTGAGTGGTGAAAAACTGAAGATACTTCTATTTTATGTGAGTACTCACCAACGAGTGACCTCAGCAGAGAAAGTGTTTAGTAATCAAGCAGATAGAATGACCCATTGTGTGGACACCACTCTGCCTCTTTCCCCAGCCTGGCATTGCCCAATGGGCCCATGAACAAGGTGGCCATGTTGGCAGGAATGGAGGTTACACATGGACTCAGCAACATGGGCTTCTACTCACTAAGGCTGACCTGGCTATGGCCTCTGATGAGTGCCCAATTTGCCAGCAGCAGAGACCAACACTGAGCCCATGTTATGGGACAATTTCTCAGGGTGATCAGACAGCTACATGATGGCAGGTTGAATATATTGGACCTCTTCCATCATGGAAAGGGCAAAGGTTTGTCCTCACTGGAATAAATTTTTACATTTCTCATGGCTTTGCCTATTCTGCATGCAATGCGTCCACGAAGACTACCATCAGTGGACTCACAAAATGCTTTATTCATCATCATGTTATTCCACGCTGCATTTCCTCTGAACAAGGCACTCACTTTAAAGCTAAAGAAGTGTGGCAGTTGGCTTCTCCTCATTAAATTCTCTGGTGTTACCATGCTTTTTATCATCCTGAAGCAGCTAGATAAATAGAATGGTAAAATGGCTCTTTGAAGTTACAATTACAATGCCAATTATGAGAGAATACTTTGAAGGGCCTGTGGCAAAGTTCTCCAGAAGACCATGTGTGCTGTGAATCAGCATCCAATATGTTGTACTGTTTCTCTCACAGCAAGAATTCATGGGTCCAAAAATCAAGGGTTGTAAGTAGAAATGTCACCACTCACCATCACCCCAAGAGATCCACTAGCAACATTTTTGCTTTCTGTTTCCAAGACGTTAAGTTCTGTTGGCCTAGAGATCTTAGTTCCAGAGGGAGGAATGCTGCCACCAGAAGACACGGCCATGATTCCATTAAACTGGAAGTTAAGATTGACACCCAAACACTTTGGCCTTCTCCTACCTTTGAGTCAACAGTCTAAGAAGGAAAGTACAGTGTTGACTGAGGTGATTGATGCAAACTATCAAGGAGGAAATCAGTCTACTGCTCCACAATTTAGGTAAGGAAGAGTATGAAGGGAATAGAGAAGATACATTAGGATGTGTCTTAGTATTACTATGACCTGTGATTAAGGTCAATAGGAAACTACAAGAGCCCAATCCTGGCAGGACTACAAATGGTTCAGATCCTTCAGGAATTAAGGTTTGGGTCACAAATCAGGAAAAAAAAATGACCTGCTGAATACCTTACTGAAGGCAAAGAAAATGCAGAATGGGGAGTAGAAGCCAGTCATCCATACCACCTGAAAACACGTGACCAGCTGCAGAAATGAGGACTTTAATTGTCTTAAGTATTTCCTCCTTCTTTTGCTAAAAAAAAAAGTTTGTGCATATGTATACATGTAGTAAGAAAATATCTTCATTTTTTCTTTCCTTTTATTATGTGACATAAGATATATTGACTTCATATCATCATTTGAGTATAGGTAACTTTACATAATAGTGTTCGGGTTGGAGATTGGTGTGTTCCTGATTGTATGAAGGATAGTTCTATTATGTTAGGTGTAAATATGACTCATTTTTGTATTATGTTAGGTGTAATTATAACCTCATTTTTGTCTTTATTTGAAGAGTATGTATTATCTCAGGAGATGTCTATAGATTCAACTTGAAAAAGGGTGAACATATGACGGTTAATACTGTGTGTCAATTTCACTGGATTGAGGGATACAAAGTATTAATCTGGGGCATGTCTCTTGGTAGTTTCCCAAAAATGGATTAACATTTGAGTCAGGGGGCTGGGGAAGACAAACCTACCTTAATCTGGTGGGCACAATCGAATCAGCTTCTAGCGAATGTAAAGCAGACAGAAACATGAGAAAAGGTGAGATGGGCCTCGCCTCGAAAGCCTCCATGTTTCCCCTGTGCTGGATGCTCCTTACCCTCAGACACCAGACTCCAACTACTTCAGTTTTGGGACTTGGAGTTTTTCTCCTTGTTCCTCAGCTAGCAAACAGCCTATTGTGATCATGTAAGTTAATACTTCATAACCTCCAATATATGGACATATTGTACCCTTTGTATGTATGTGTGTGTGTGTGTGTGTATCTCTACATATATAGAGATACATATATATATACACACATATATATGATACACACACATAAAGTGATGACAAAGTATACAATTTTTTGTATGTATTCTCAAAAAACATTCTTTGAATAAATACTAAAACTGTAAATCTTATTTTAATAAGTCAGCTGATTTGAGAGTCATAAAATAAACTAATTCTGTACAAAAAACTCACATATATACGTGTCTGTGTGTGTGTTTAAATGGTCCATAATGATCTCTGTAAACAAACACTCCAAAGGTACTCATGTTTCTATTTAGTTACTGTCAAGGCTCTAGAATCTACATCAGAGGAGTTGCTTAATAAATAGTTATGAATTAGTATATACTATTTATTTCTTTAAGAATAGAGGTATATTATGTCTTCTTAGAAAATGACAATTTAAACTTTCACACAGATTTAGGAAATACTGTTTCTGTAATCATGGTAAAATGTAACCATTTAAATCAGTTATAAAATTAAGCAATCTATAACGTAACTGCCTCAGTGAAATAGCTTTTACAAATAATAATAACAATAATAATATTAAAGCAGTGCCAGCACTTTGAAAAATTAGTAAGTAAAGCACAGTAAATATACCTCTTTCGCTACAAGTTTTGCCTGAATAACTCTTTTCTACAAATAATGTCAGCTTCTGTACACTACTTAATATTGTCCGATGCCTTGATTTCATGCTGTCTGCATTTTTCCAAGAATGTGTCTAAATAGCATAGCTCTCCCTTAGTATATTAGGGGAAAAAATTATGTCTTTTTACTTTAGGCATTGAATAGCAATTTATTAATTTTGGAGGAAAAGAAAGCTCTATACGAGTAGAAGTTCTGCTAGTGGAGAAAACTCTAGCATCAGTTACATAGCCAACAGGTCAGGTGCTAAATGAGAACAACTTGAGCATTATAAATGTGGATAACTACCATATTGCTACCTGCTAACGTTCTGAAACAAATTTCTGATTCAAACATAAAGATTTTACATTGCATGAATTCACCTCCTTTTTGGACTTACCTTAATATTTTCACATATTTTTCTTCTCACATTAATTTCCTCATTCATTTATCTTTAATTTATCTTATTGTCTAATATGCATTTTTGTGAATGCATTTATCTTTTATTATCTTAGAAAAAGATGGAAGATAAATAATTCTGATAAAAGATACCCACTATGCAAACTTCTATAAAATATTTTTTAAGCAGTGGAAGATACTTGAGTATTTATTCTACTCAACAATTTTAGCAAAAGCGAAAATTCTCTAACTCCAGCTATAATCTTTGAAAGCTTGGTTTTTATTTGGCTTGCTTATTGTAATATCTTAGCAACTTTCATGTCATAAGACAATGTGTATGCACAATGTGAATGCATAACATAGTGTGCCAAAGCACAGGTGTGCCCGTGTTTTACGTATACCTTCAAGCTCTAGTCAAGATTAGATCTATCCCAAAGGCCCTTGATTGAGTTTTCTCCCTTGTTACCCCCGAAATAGAGACTGCCTAGAGTTTTAATTTTCTATATTAGTGGTTTACAGAAATATTGAAAAAGCAATGGGAAAAATAGCAGAAAATAAGAAAATATATGGTTTAGTTTGTAGTCATTTATTAACTAAACTGACTTCACTTTACTAATGCTTACCCTAACTTGAATGAACTAAACATTACATAAGCTTTTGAAAATCCTTCTGATATAAGAAACCAAAAATTGAGTTAAGAAATCTTCAAATGTGATATCAAATAATTCTAAATGTGTGTTTTTAAAATAATTTTCTTGAGAGATTGTTCAACACTCTTAATTTTTCAAAGGTGCCTAATACTCTAGCTTATAGGATATTTAGCAGCATTTCTAAACTCTCAGTACTAGATGCTAGTAACAAGCTTACCAATTCCACTTCCAGTCATAAACCAGGCTTAGAGTGAAATCTAACGTGAAATCTACTGACCTATAAAATCCCTAGACAATCACAGGGACTGTCTGTTACTTCTATGAGCTCATCATCTATAATGGTTTCCCTTCCACAGCCTGCTCCAGCCACAGGGACCTGGCTAATTTTTAAACAATTAAGCAGGCTTCCACCAGGGATCATCATACTGGTTGAACTTCCTGCATGTTTACATGATTATTTCCTTATTATTTTATTTAGATATTTACTTGAAAGTCACTTTTAAGCAAATTATTGTACATTTGTTTTATATAAAACCAAAATATACTATATACTGATCTTGCCTCATATATTTTATATGGAATATAGAACTTCAATTAATAAAAAGCAAACAAAAAACTCTATAATATAACCACTAAAACAAAAATCTAACATCTAAAATCCAAAATTCGAGGTACAACACATAATTTAAGTATTTTAAACAAAATTTTAAGAGAAAAAACATACATCTCATAGATACAAATAAACTACAAGAATAGAAAACAATCAATGTTTCATAGATAAAAATGAAAAGTGCAAGGAAGGCAACTTCAAACCATTTAAAGAAAACTCATACCTTTCCTAAGCAGCCTGGACCTTTGAAATAAATAGCTCATATTAGCCAAGTTAACATGTAATCAAGAGAGACAATTATAAAATTGCAATTTTTTGTGTGTATTTCCATTCTGCCTCCTAAGCACAGATGAAGGCTTATAAAAATTGAAATCCACATTTTCCATGTGAGGCCCTGAATCCTGCTTCTGGAAGGAGTAAAGAAGCCCTTATATGCTAAATTATTGTGTTTTTTTCTAGTCTATCTAGGGGATACATGAAGAATTGATGAAACACATTTATTTCTGTTTTGTCTAACATAGAATTCACTCTTGGTTGAAAATGCCAGAAATTGGTCATAAAACTTTAAGTTGCTGAGAACAAAGAAAACAGTTTTTATACAACAGACAAACTATAAAAAGGAGCAAAAGTTGAAGAGACCTTTATTTGCAAAAATCTGAATATTCAAAAGCAGTTTAATGTATTGAAAGATTTAGAAAATCATGTCCATGCTCAAGACAGAAAACATTCTCAAAAAGTATATAAAACAATAGGTGTTAATTCTCAATTTTACCTATAGCTTCAATGTGAGAAGAAAATGAAGGCTAAGACAGAATTATAAGCAATCCTCCTGAGAGTTAAAGAAGAATGTTAATACAGATTTAGTTTTTACAAGTGATAGTTTTAACATTGCTCTTATTCAAAACACTAATGGAATGCAAGCTAAGGTTTTAATAACTAAGAAAATACCTTGGAGAAATGAAGAAAACCTATAATTCAGAGTCAGCACGTTTCAACTTTTCAAATATAGTTTTCTGCAAAATAAAAACATAAAAACCAATAGAAACGTATGCCTAATGTAAAGTAAATGCAGAAACTGAAAATATTCTAAATTTTATTGACAAAGAATTTAAAACAACAGTTTTAAGTTGTGTAAAAGAAAAAATGACAGAACCAATGAAAGAAAACTATGAGAGCATCAGTGAGAAAAAATATGTAAAAAAAATGAAAAATTTGAGATAAAGAGTACAAAGACCGAAAGAAAATTGACAATAAAGGAGTTTCACAACAGACCTGAGCTGGAAAGTATTCAGTCAATTTTAAGCAATGAAAACTGAAATAACCCAGTCTGATAAATAAAAAAAAATTAAGTGAAAAAATACTAAGAAGTTAATAGAACACTATGAGCTATACCAATACATGCAATATGGACACCTCATAAATACAGAAAAAGAAGAGGCAAAAAAAAATCTGAAAGCAAAGATGACTGAATATTTCCCAAACTTAATTAGAAATCAGAATCTAAAATTTAAAGAAGGACAAAATCTTCAACTGTAATATAGTCAACGATAGCCACATCAAGAAACATTATAGTCAGTCAAGTGCTAAGACAAAGAAAATTGTAAAACCAGAAAGCGATAAGCAACTTGTTATGTTCAAGGGAATCTTGATTAAAATTAACAGATGATTGTTCAGCAGAAACCATGGAAGTCATAAGGTAGTAGGATATCAAAGTTTTAATAGAAAAAATACTATCAAACCTGAAATCTGTAACTGGTAAAATGTTACATGAGCAAAAATGCCTGGATAAAGGAAAGTTAAAGGAATTTGTTACTAACCTTCTCTAAAAGAGAAAATTACTATTATAACCCTGGCAAAGTTTTCTATTACTGAACACTCAGTGTTTACACATATAATCTGAGATAATAATATAAATTGAAAAGAATGGAAAAGCACAAAAGCAGCACATTTTTATATTGTTTAAATTAAACTTTAGGTTATTGAAACAAGTTAGTATTATTAAAAGTAGGCTATTTTAAATTTACAATAGTAATTGAAGTCCCAAATATAACCAATTATAATATAAAAAATACAATTTTTTTTCTAAATTAACCACATTTTAAAAATAAACAAAGGAGAATTAAGGATAAAATAAAATAATAAAATATTGAAAGCAAATAAGTAAATCTCAGAGTAAGTAATGTTTTACTTGTAATAACTTTAAATATGAGCTCTTGCATAAAAAGTCAAAGACTGGCACAAATGCATCCTTAGATAAAAATTAATGTATATGATTTATCTGAAAGTCTTTCTTTATGTGTAAAGACACAGAGGCCAAAAGTAAGATGATACAAGGTTCTGGGAAAAGCATGACAAGTGACTACAGAGCACTATATATCTGTCTCTTCAACTACACAATAGGTGCAGTGTCAGAATTGGTATGATCCTATTATTTTGGAATTCCAGAGTCTATCTGAAGGTTTACAGCTTCCAAAACAAGATTTGTAAACAATAATTAAATTTTATCAATTTTATAGCATAGATAAACAACAGCTATTTATTCTTTATTAACTACCGCTGTGGTATGCTGCCTTGAAAACACCTCTGGAGCAGCTTGAAAGAGACATGATAAACAGAAAGGACCCTGCCATTTAAATGTCAGGAGGACTTGTGCACCTATTGCTGCTTCTGATTATAGAGGTCCCAAGATAGATGAATAGCCGTTGTTTCATTTCTGAAAGCTTTTGCAGCCTTTTCCTCCTCCTACTCAAGCAACTTTCAAAATATTTAGAGAGCCAGAATATTTTTCCTCATTTTACTTTTTTTCCTTTTAAGAGGTCAGACATTTATGTACAAAAACATTCAAAAGTAAATATATATAAATAAAAACATGATAAATAAGCAACTTAACCATATCTTCCTCAGATGGTGCAGGCTCAAAAAAGACACAAGAAGTTCAGTAGGACTGATTTCCAGGACAGAAAGAGCCTGCATTATAAATAAACAAAACCCTAGCCAATCATAGAGTAAGAAAATCTGATTTTAAAATTACAGCATTTTCATATGTAAATGCCCTTTTTCAGCGTTAACAAAATCACTTACCATAAAGTGAAATAGAAAATTAGGGCTCATTCTAAGAAAAAAAAAATAACTAACACAAGCTTTTCCTACACAGTCCAAATGGCAGGCTTACTAAAAATTATTTTTTTTTAAATTAATGATCTTAGGAAGGTAATAGAATAAACAAAAAAGCACAGAGAGTCATGAACAAATAAATTATTAATAAAGAGAGAGTAAAATTATTTTTAAAACTAAAAAAATTTCTAGATATGCAAAGTGAAACAACTGAAATAAAAATTCACTACAGACATTTAAAAGCAGACTTGAGCAGATAGAACATAATATCAGCAAACCTAAAGAAAGAGCAATTGAAATTATTAAGGAAGGAAGAGAAAAAAATATATAAAGAAATGTGAACAGAGCCTAAAACATGTGGGACACCATCAAGCAGCCTTACTTACACATTTTGGAAGTTCAAAGATAAGAGACAAAGAATCAGAGAGACTATTTTAAAAAATAGTGGCCAAGGATGTCACAAGTGTGAGGAAATAAATAAACATCCAAGAAGCTCAATAAACTCCAAGTAAGATAAACTCAAAGAAACACACTCAAACTTCCTTGATAATTCAATATTTCTAAACAAAGACAAAGAGAACCTTGAAAGCAGCAAAAGAAGTGACTAGTCATGTACAGAGGACCCTCAAAAATAAAAAGTGGATTTCTTATCTAAAAATTCGAGGCCAGAAAGCAATGGGCTAATATATTCCAAGTGATGTAATAGAACAAATTCAAACAGAAATTTTATGTTCTAAGTGTCCATCAAAACTGAGAGGGAAATTATGACATTTTCAGATAAAAGCTGATGTCTTTTACCACCGGACTACCCTTTAAGAAATGCTTTATGGGGTACTTCATGGCAAAATGAACACTAGACAGCAGTATGAATAAATAAATATTAAGGTAAAGATAAATACATAAGCAATTAACAATATATATATATAAATTAACAATGTGCACCTTCACAAGTGATTCTCCACATAATTTAAAACACACACAAACATATGTGTGTATATATATATAAAATATATATAGTATTATATTATCTATATTTATATATATATTCACTAACTTGTGTTTTTGACATACAGTGCATAAAGGTATAATTTTGAGAACTCAGTAAGTAAAGTAATGGAGGCCATTCTATATAGGAGTAAGGATTTTTATGTTATTGAATGTAAATTAGAGTGACTTTAACAATGTTATAACTTTAGAATGTTCAATATAATGGTTAGAGCAACTGTAAAGGAAAGAGTAACAGGCAGGTAGAAAGCTTTCTGCACTACACCAGAGTAGCAGCGGTGGATTTAGCTTCTCTCATGTGAGAAGCAAGCTATCTTGGCACCATGAGACCAAGCCCAAGCTCTTCCACCAGGGAGTAAGTGTGGAGAGCCTAAGGCACATACCATAGCTGCTCCTTCACACAACTTTTACTACACCAGTGGCAACGAAGTGGAAGAGGCTCATCCATACTTAGCACCTGGTGAAGCACTGGAGGCAGAAAAATGTAACTATGGGAAGACCCCACTGAAATAAAGTTGGCACAGCAACTACCCTAAATCGGTCTCTTTCTTTACGGATTCCCAATAGTTAGAGGTTGAAACTTTTGTTTACACAAGACAAGACAAAAAAGAGAAGACAGAGTATTTGGTTCAGTGGAAAGGTTATGACAAACGGGATGACACTTGGGAACCAGAGCAGCACATTGTGAACTGTGAAAAATGTTTCTAAGTCTTTAACAGATGACAGACTGAAAATCAGAAAACAAAGACACAGATCAAAACAAGTAGAACTTTTTCAAACAATGCCCAAAAAAAAAGAACTTCCAGATCTACCAACACCAACTTTTCTAATAACTCTCCTAATATGTTATTAACTGGCAAACACCACAAGGCCTAAAACAGCCAGTGATTTGCTGCCAGCCACAACGTTAGGAAAAATGCAGCTTCACCTCTCTTTCACCCAAAGAATATGGAGATAGTAAATTCAACTATCAAGACACTTGCACATCAGAGCCCCTTTAGCAGCAAGAACAGAGTGACTGACATTCAGGAACCTGAGACACTAAACCCTATTGCACCAGATTAGCAGGACACAGTGGTGTTCAACGTGGCAGTAGAGAAGCCTGTCAGAGCTTTATCAGATCCCAGTGCAGGACCAGTTGGAATAGAAAAAAGGCCACTGATACATGCACTATTGTCTCAGATGTCTGGCTCAGTTACTACTGCATCCATGGTCACAGGCTCAGCTAACAAGGAAGGTATATTGGTATTAATGGACTCATTAACAGCCAACAGAAGAACAAATATGCATACACCTGTTACACAGAAGAACAAATATGCATACACCTATTACAAGAGTGAGAGGCGGGCAAAGAAAGGTTATTGATAATAAAAGAGACCAGCCTTTTATGTAGAGGATGCATGTCACCAGAAGGCTAACAGAAAGTGCCAGCAGATACAGAGACATTGTAGTGAGGAAAGAGGATGGATTCACCTAGATATTGGTATCAACTAGATTGACAGGAGAAAACACACTGAATGCAGAAGTAATGAAAGAAATCATGAATGCTCTGAATATGGCTGCTCCAGATGATAGCAAACTTGTGCTGTTCAGCACAGCTGGCAGTGTCTTTTGCTGTGGTCTTGATTTTGGGTACTTCGTGAAGCATTTAACAAATGACAGAAAGAGAACAAGCATTGAAATGGTGGACAATATCAAGAATGTTTTCGACAATTTCATTCAATTTAAAAAGTCAACTGTTGTATCAGTCAATGGGCCCGCGATTGGACTGGGTGCATCCATACTGCCTCTTTGTCACTTGATTTGGGCTAATGACAGCTTTGGTTTCAAACCCCTTATACAACATTTGGACAGAGTTCAGATGGCTTTCTAGTGTTACATTTCCCAAGATGATGGGTGAAGCATCTGCCAATAAAATGTTGATTGATGTGTGAAAGCTGACAATACAGGAGGCATGTGCCAAACACCTGGTTTCTCAGGTGTTTTGGACAGCAACTTTCACCCAAGAGGTTATGGTTCAAATTAATGAGTTTGTCTCATGTAATCCAGTAGTGCTGGAGGAATGTAAGGCCCTTGCTAGCTGTAATATTAAGATGGAGTTTGAACAAATGGCTGAGAAAGAATGTTAAATGCTGAAGAAAATCTGGGGCTCAGCCCATGGGATATAATATATGTTAGTGTAAGTGCAAAAAAAAATGATGAATTTTAATTATCAGTCTGTCTGCTCAGGGCACAATAACCGAGCTGAGAAGAAGACATCATTAGCTGCAAGATGCCCTAATCCACCTGCATATCCCAAAACAATTCTCCCAATATCTAAGTCTTGGAAACAGAACTGGAAATGTCAAAGCTATTTATTTAATATTATGAATGAAATTTTAAGTACTGTAACTTTAAAATAAATAATGAAGCAACTTCTTTGTCAAAATGTCATAATTTTATGCACATATAAGCCCAAATATAAAATCAGACTGGTGAACACTTGGCTGTTCTTTCAAATTCTAATTTTTATCCATGACTACTACTCTATAAAAAAAACAAAATTGTGATTAATTAGATTTGAAATACAAAAAACTTAATAATTTTTTTTTATTTTTTACTCTAGAATGCAGAATTTAATGGGGTATGAGGCAGCCTCTTCCCCTTTCCCCAAAATAGAGACACAGAAACATCTGAGATGGTGCTTTTGACTTTATAGTGGAACAAATACCACAGAGACACAAAATTCCAAATTAAAAGCCTAATATTTTAGGATAAACATTTCCAACACAAAATTCACTGATGATTTCTCTCCCAAACTGAAATAGGATGCAATTTATGCTGAGATTTCAATTGAATTTCTTTTTCTTTATAAATGTCTAGTGTTTACCCAGTTAACTTGAAGAAATCTTTATCTCTCTAAAACAAAACTTGTACAATATTAGTGCATCATGAAATCATTTAGGTAGAATTATCCAAGTGTTAATGTTTAGAATATATACTTTTGGGTTAACTTTGAGTATGTTCTATTTAATAAGTTAAAATTCTGGACACATTATTAAAGGCAGAAATTTCTTTCAAAGAGAAGAAAAGATACCTACACTATATCTGACATTTAAATTACTGGTGTTTGCTTTTATGTGCACACTATTTCTTAGAACACTCTACATGTTCAGCCATCGAGAAGCTCTGGCATCTTGTCCTCTTGGATTTTTATGGAGACTCCATTATGTAGGTATGATTGAATAATCCACTGGCTGATGGTGATCAACGTCACCTTTATCACAGGGACAGAGTTAGGTGAATGAGTGAGTGATGGTTGAGCACAGCCACTGCACACAGCTAGCCATATTGGCTATGATGGATGAGCAGTTCCAGGTGCTGGCACAGGGGCCAGCTCCCTAAAGTTCTTTGGCTGAATTTGGCATACCAAAAGCTGTTTCCTCTCCAGGGACGGGGAAATGCAGTGGAATCCAGAAGCTTAGAAATGTCAGAAATTGCACAGCCCCAAAGAGGGTGTCACAACACTGTCTTGGGAAAGGTTTAGGTCTGAGTTCCTTTAGGGCCAAAGCTCTGCTGTCCCTTATTTTTGTGGTAAGCAACAATGTGGCAACCTGGGGGTTGTGAGTTTCAGTCCTGTTTGTGTTACTAATTTTTCAGTTTTGCCATTCAGTCCTGAGTCCTTGTCCCATGTCCAGGAAAAATGAGGTATGTGAACAACTAAAAAATAATCAAGGTAAATATGTGCTTTATTGAGTGACAGTACAGTTTGCAGTGGATGTAAAGCAGGCAGCTCCTTTTTACAAGCAGGACCTACTTTCATCTGTGCAGCCCTCAGTGACGAGTAGAACCAGAGTGAGGAGCTCCAATCTGCAGGCAGTTTGTGCTGACATCTCTGCAGTCCTCAGTATGGATGAGATGCAGAGTGGCAAGCTTTTATCTGCAGGAAGGTTGTTGAGACGTTGCTACAGCCCTTAATGGAGAGGAGACGTATCTAACTGCAGGCCTGTAATGCCAGCAATTGCACAACTCTCAGTGGAGAGGAGACCGACAGTGGTTAGCTCCAATTTGCAAGCAAGTTATCCATGATCTCCCTAACTCTGGAGTTCATATGGGCTTAAGTAGGCAGAAGTACTGTGCTGATTGGTCAGTGGTGCTATTGGTGGGCCCAGAAAGAGACATAACTTTTCATTCTCATCTCCAGAACATGCAGCCCAGCCCCCAGTCTTCAGAAAATCCATGGCTTGAAGATGGAGTTTTAATGAGAAACTGCTTCTTTCTGCCTAGATGCCTGTCTGTCTCCTGCTACAGTTAATGGTACCAAGGCTATTTTTGCAAAGACAAACCTCCAGGCCCATACCAACTCCTTGAGTCTCCTATGCTCACTGAGGCCAAAAGACTAGAGAAAACTAATGTGGCATACGGTTTTTGTTTCAGTACAACCTCAAGTGTAAGCACACCTGGTCAGGTCATGACAGCACCTGGGCTTAGCTAAAAATTTTCTTCAACATTCAAGGGGACACTAGGATCTGGGAGAGGCCAGGCAATGGGATTTCAGAGCCTTTGTAGGAAGGATGGCTTTCCAGTCCCCAGAAAGCACAGGGATGCCTGAGTCTGCAGCATGGCTAGGCAGCTGCAACTGTGCCTGAGTAGGTGAGGTTTCTGCTAATTCCACTTGGATGTGGGTGTGGCTTCTCTCTGTTCTTGGTTCCCACCAGCTTCACAGAGTGAAGAGCCCTGGCTGCCCCTCCCTCACTACACCTGGCATCTTTTCTGCAGCCCCTCTAAATAGGCTGCTTCTGCCAGTACCCGCAGCAACTCTCCTATTCCAAAATAATGCAGGGTGACCCTGGGAGTCCCTGCACACTTATCAAGTCTTGTCTTTTTATTAACAAGCCCCAACCTGAAGCAGTCAGTTATTAGCATATAAAAAGACATCACTTTGGAGATTCCAAAGAACTCAGGATTTCTATGCCAGAAAACAGAGACAAACACCAAATATATTTCACAATCTTATAGCTACTTAAAAGAAACCCTAGGACTAGAGTCCTGGGTAGAATTCCACTGTCGAATTCTACCAAATGATCTAAGAATTAAAACAATTTATTCTCTTTTTCAAAGTCATTTATTTTAAAAGAAGAAAGTGCAGGTTGAACATTGCTAACACAAAAACATTAAATGTACTCCAGTGTGAAACTTGAGTGATGACATGACACAAGTGGAAAGCTCCACAGAATATTTCTTCACACAGCTTTGTTTTATGCACAAAACACATTAAATTTACCTTCATGATGTGGGAGAGAAAAACAGGAAACTAGGAAGGGTTCTTGGTAAAACTCTTTTAAGCACAGAAACAGACTGAAAAGTTAAGTTGCAGGCAACTGTAAGAGAACTAGAAGAGGAGGGTAGCAAAAGACATGTTCACAGCTGCAATAATCAGAAAACAGGAAAGAACATGAAAATGCCTTTGTCGTTTTTGCCTAAAACATATGCACAGCTGCACAGATAGGGGAGGAAGGCCACATGTAGAGATACCTTTGTCATTCACATAATCAGCAGGCTTCAAAAAGTAGACAATTCTGTCTTTGTGGGCATGATACCTAGTAGGCTCTAGTGGGCTCTGCTGGGACACTTTTCTAATTTGAATATGTTTTGACCTGTGAGCCAAGTGTTTCTGATTCATCCCTTCAGCTTCTGCTTTTTCCTGATGCAATGCCCCAAACAAAGCTTTTATTTCATCCTCTGATTTGTCCCGGGTCAGGTCCTGAACCAAGCTGATTACTGCTTTCTTCAAGATAGCTCACATGCAACTCAGAATATTTCTTTCTTTCCAGTTCACAAAAACCTCAGACCCAGCATTACAGTTGGAAAGTCTCATGGGTCCCTTCTTTAATGTGAACAGCTTTCTTCTTTTGATTATTAAACTTCTGTCCTATCTGAACTTTATGTGTAGTTTCCTTAATTATCTTGGTCATGAAACAACACTTCAGCATGTTATTGGTCCCAGGCCAAGGTATCAGACCAAGCTTTCACTTTAGCTGCTGCTTGGTCCAGGGCAAAGGATGAAGGCCAAGCTAAGTTGTATCTATAAATCATTACTTAACCTCCTGAAGAATCCCCAGCCAAAGTGCAGGGCCAGGCTGAGTAATGTTTCTCCAAGACCACTAAGCACATTTCTTTCGTTTTCTGTCTTTATTAACCCTGAAGCCCAGCCTTATAGTAGGCACACAACTTACACCCCACCTCCACTGTAAAGAGCTTTTTACTTTCACTTATAAAACTTTTGCTTCAACCTGTTTGCATCCATGCTCCTTAATTTTCTTGGCCATGAGACAAAGAGATCTGCTTGACACCTCACAATGAGAGATTGCTACATTGTGGTGCATTAATGAGATGGCAACAAATGAAGTGTGGGAATTGAGATCTGGGATGCATTAGTCTTACTGGACCATCTGGGAAACTGGCCCCACACTGTGATGAACACTCTTGGAGGCAGTCCAACATGTAGTAGTCACCAACACAGGATGGAAAGGGTCAAGGTAGCTACATTTTGATGCCTTAGCCATTCTTCCTAAGGTACCCTGGCTTACCTCACTGAGAGGAGTTTACAGGTGAATGTCAAATATCTTGGATTTTATAGGCCTGTAATTGGGTCACTAGTCTTTGTCTTTCTTTTGCATCATCTCTTTTTGCTGTGGCTGTTCCTGAGTCCTGTCATAAAAGATAGAGAAGGCTATGCCCACGAAGTTTCCCAAGGTAGTGTACAATTCCAGAGCCTGCCTCTGAAGTTTTCTTCTGATATTAGTAGGTGCCTGAGTAATAAACTTGCCTTTTAAGACTATCAATGTATTAATTGATTGAGGAGCTACAAAAGTGTGTTTCATGAACGTCCCTCTTTGCCTTTTCATAAAGGCTGAAAAATTTTTATCTGGTTTCTGATTCAATATGGTCCCTTTGAGTACCTTTTGTATTTTACGCTGGCTGTAGACAACGTGCAGTTGTCCCTGAATCTCTCTTGTTGCATGTAGGGCTGTCTGTTTCTCAGAAGCAGTTTGAGTTTGGCTGGTCCTAGGCCACACTATTATTTTAGCTCTTGAATGATCCAGGGCCAAGTTCCTGAGCCAAGCTGAATCACTTCTGAGTCACTACTTTAGCTCCTAATTTGTCCCACGTCAAAGTCCCTGGAAAAGTTCAGTAGCGCTTTCTTCAAGAATAGTTAGGACATTCTGTTTCTTCCCATTCCATAAAAAACATCAGACACTTCCTTATCGTGGACAACTCACTTTCCTCCACAAGAAGTTAACTTATTAAACATTTGCTACAATCTCATCATTTTCATTCATGGCTCTTAATTTCTTGGCCTTTAGATAAAAAAAAATCTATGTGACACCTCAGAATGAGAAACTGATACACTGTGGTGCGTTGGGGGACAGCAACTATGTTTTTTTTGCATGAGCTGGAAAAAGATTAATTAAAAAGTGACTAGGAGTGCACCTCCAAACTATTTACATTCACTTCTGAGGCTTGTTGTCCTCAGGGTTTTCTTTTTTAATTTCTCAAGAGCACACAAAACACTGGGCCAGTGTCAGTTAAAACCCAATAAAATGGCTACCATCCTTACAAGGCTCAGGAGATAGGCCTGCTGGGAAACACTCTGGCAATCCCCGTTTACCCTTAGGTGTCAAAAATGTTGCCTCTGTTCCAATTCAGTCTTCTTTCATGCAGGACCTAGTCATCATGTGGGGCTGAAAGAAAATCTAGAAAAACTGAAGGTTTCTGGTTAAGACTACACCACAGTGTTACCTGAAAGCCTCAGGACTAACTACAGTTTCTGACAGCCCATAATTATGTTGCCACCAAAAATTCCAGAAATTTCTGTTGCATTTTTTTTCTTTTTGTGACTATTATATATTCTATTTCCTCTTTGTATGAATGTTGAAACCTGGAGATATAATCTTATGGGGTAATGTCAGCTGGTGTGTTAGTAATTAGAAATATAATTAAAAGAGATGCTATTTTGTGATTTTTTTGGAACCAGAAAGAACTCAAATTGTACTCTTAAAAATTTTTATTTGGTGAGTGTCTTTTTGTCCCCCTGTGACAGATATTCATGGCACTCTATGGAAAGATATACATTCAGAAGAAAGTTTTTCTTTTTGTTGGTTATTTCTCTGTAAAAAGCTCAGCATTGCCATATAAATCTAAACAGTTTCTTTATTGAGACACATTAATCTTTTTTTCTGCAGAGACACGAACTGTGGGGACAGCCTATAGAGTTTTCCCCTTCTTTTTCTAAATTTTGGCTACAAAAACCTTGGAGTCAGAGTTTTCATCTAACATTTTAGATCTTACCATGTCACCTAGTGTGATGAAATTTTTCTCTGTAGGAAGACTTGTCAGTACTTTGCCCAAAACCCTGAGGTTTTCAACTCCTCTCTCTACTGTGCCTCTCTAACAGTAATAAGACTCCATGCCCTATCTGTAAACAGAAAATATCCACTTTCAATAGTTGGCAGAAAGTTGCCTTTGAGAGACATATTCTAGCTCCGGGCTTTTCTCTCTCTCTCTGCTTTGAGATGGAGTCTCATTCTGTTGCCTAGGCTGTAGCACAGTCATGCAATCTCGGCTATTGTAATCTCCACCTTCCGAGTTCAAGTGATTCTCCTGCCTCAGCCTCCTGAGCAGCAGTGATTACAGGTGCACACCACCATGCCCAGCTAATTTTTGTAATTTTTGTATAGATGACGTTTCACCATATTGGTCAGGCTGATCTCGAACTTCTGACCTCATGACCTGCCCACCTCTGCCTCCCAAAGTGCTGGGATTACAGGCATGAGCCACCGCACCCGGCCACTTAGTGCTATTTTAAGAAGACCAGCCATTCAAGTCCTACATTTTTGGAGGCATGTATTCTGCTTCCAGCAGCAATGGCATTTAAACTAAAAGAGAATTTTATGTTTCAAAGTCAATCGATCTCATTTTCTGGAATTTCAAGATTTTACTAGGGCAACAGCAAAGAAAGACAGAAATAGTATTGAACATCCACTGTGCAAAAGGTCCTTGCTCAAATCAAACTACCCATAATCTTTCTTAGGTTGCCAAGCTACCTTTGGAATCTTCTGGGTTGAGTATGCTTAGGAGACCAACAAAGGATCACTAGTGGAGAGCTAACGCCTTGTGCAGGTGAACATTACTTCTCCTTCTTACTAGCTCCTCTGGAACCATGGGTGAAGATTATGATTGTATCCATGGAGGACAACTATGATAGTTGCCAGATCCATAAAAGACAAGAAAAATGAAAAAACAATGAACACACTTTCTATCTTTCTTTTCACTCAGGGTTTTTCAAAAAGAGGAAAGAGACTGTGGGATTCTTTCTCTTTCTATATATTTTGAAAGGTCATAAACCTTCTGCATTCTGGACTTCTCTAGGTTGCATTCAGAAACACTGGAATTTATTTGACCATGTGACTCTGAAAAAAAAGTGGTTTTGTTTGTTTGTTTTGGCAAAAGGGCATTGCTATCTTACCAGCTCCAGACAGGCAGGCCTGGCTTCCTGAGGGAAGTGTTCATTTTAATACTATTCAACAACTAGATCTTTTCTCAAGATGGGAAAAAAAAAACCACTTTGAAATTTTCTATGTTTAAGCTTACTTTGATTTTGGAGACAACCCAGATCATCATAAACATTGTAAAATTGACTGCCCTCTTGGCAGTCATATCAGGCAAGTTTAAAACAATAATTTATTAAAGTCAGAGACAAACCCCTCAGGAACCCTCAAATGTGACTTCTAAATGCCCTACCTGCCACCCTTATGCAGGCCCTCCAACAGCCATTTCATCAGCTTTTCTTCTTGTGCCACCAAGGAAACTTCCAACTTCACTGCTGCCCCTGCAGGAAATAATCGATAGATGTGGTGCTACTAGAGTTCAAGTTTTCTTCTCATTTCAGGGCCTTACACAAATAGCAGGAAACAAGCAAGTCCTCTGATGACCCTGATTCATATACAGAGGCATTTCAAAGCATAACCCAAGTGTTCAATCTTACTTGTAAAATACTACATTACTCCTAAAGCAATCCCTAAATGTTACAGTAAAGCAGGCAGCTTTATAGATAGCAGAATTTTTTATAGAGGAAATGTGTGTTTCTTACAGCCAGCCAAAATTCAAGAAGAAGGGAGGGTGAAAGGGGAAAAAAAAGTTAAACAAATAGCAAAATGTTTATTTCTAATAAGAAAGGAAACAGCGTTTCTTGAAAACCCAATTGACATCTTGGTGATCTTGTAGATGAGTGAAAAAAAAAATCTAATAAGCATACTGGAAGGTTTATGAGGGAACAGGGCCATACTTCTTAATTACTCTAAGATACTGATAACAGATTAAAACTAGATGAAAATTATTTAGCCTTTACCTCCAGAATTACTTGGATCCTCTGTATCACAATGGCTGTAGAGCCTGGGACCCATTATTCCTGCTGAACAATCAGGGGAAAACACATTTGATTGGTGACAAATGTCACTGGGGTCATTTTTACTTTCACTGGTCTCCACCACAGGCTGGACAAAGTTAAGTATATTCTTCTTACTGCCTGTGCAATCCCTTTGAAAGTGTCCTGGCTTGTCACACCAGTAGAAATTAGCAGGTGCACCTTGGTAATTCTGCAACTTGTAGGCCTGTAATGTAGCCGTAGTACC
Source organism: Homo sapiens (assembly GCF_000001405.40). Taxonomy (NCBI): domain Eukaryota; kingdom Metazoa; phylum Chordata; class Mammalia; order Primates; family Hominidae; genus Homo; species Homo sapiens. Next base: position 21,706,685 of record NC_000024.10, read on the forward strand.
TCTTTCATTCTCTTATGACCCCCCTGGATTTTCTGGGACTCCTCGTTCCAGGTCTTCTTGTAAAAGACTGAAAAATCCACCCCAGGAGGCTGTCCACAGTGCTGAGTCATCCCATGGCCTGCTTTTGTGGTTTTCTTCTGATATCAGGGGCTGCCTGAGAAATAAACATGTATTTTAACATTATCTGTCTGTTGATGGATTTAGGAGGTAGAGAGGTATGTTTCACTAAAGCTTCTCTGACTTTCCAAAGAGCCTAAGAGATTTTTATCTGGTTTGTGATTCAACAACGATAGTTTAGATTATTTAAGAGGTTTTTTTCTAGTTCTTTGGAAGCCTGCTAATATGCACATAAGAAAGTGTTTTCTTATCCACTTATCCATGGGATCACTCAGACATCAATTAGGGTTTTCAAAAAGCACTGTTTTCGTATGTATTGGAAATAGTAATTCATCTCTTTTTTACTAAATTTTTCCTTCAACTGTGTTTCTTTCCTGACTATAGGGTACCAGTTGTTCATCTTAAAAATTCTTTGCTCCCGGCAATGCTGCCTGTTTTTCAGCAGCAGCAGCAGCAGCAGTTAAAATTTGGCCTAAAAGTCTCACAACATTTCTGCACATTAGATTAAACACTTGGTTTAAATTTTGAAAAGCCTGTGTATGTCTATCAGGGTCATCAGAGAACTTGCCTAAGTCCTACTTTATTGGTTTAATGTTACTGCAATGATAAGGAAATTTAAATTAGTTCCACCATGTTCATTGGGCATTTGCTATACAGGCAAGAGCAAAGTTGGAGGTTTCTTAAGGTAGCACAACCAGAGGAGTTTCTATATGGCTATTGGTAGCCCCAGATAAAGAAGGCAGATAGGGCACTCAGAAATAGCATCTGAGGGTTCTCCAGAGATTTCTCTCTCTGACTTTTGAAAATTATGTATTGTACACTTGCTTTGTATGGCTAATAAAAAGGCAAAGTAAATTCCACAATGCTTACAAAATTCACATTTTCTTTAAGGGCAAAAGAGCCTTAGTTGCCAGATAGTATTGAAACTATTCTTCTTTGAGAAGGCCCAGGCCTCCTCTTTGTAAAATGGCCACTTTGTTGTCAACAGAATATAAGCTGTTTTTTAAATGTATATGTATATGTATATGTATATGTATATTTACATTTATCTGTATTTTGAAATAGAGTCTCATTCTGTTGACCAAGCTTTAGTGCAATGGCACAATCTTGTCTCAGTGCAACATCTGCCTCGGGGGTTCAAGGGATTCTCCTGGCTCAGCTTCCTGAGTATCTTGGAGTAAAGACACCTGCCACCACATTCATCTAATTTTTGTATTTGTAGCAGAGATGGGATTTTACCATGCTGACCAGTCAATCTGCCCACCTTGCCCTCCCAAAGTGTTGGGACTACAGGTGTGAGCCACAACACCTGGCTTAAGCTTTTTTTTTTAATTTAGAGTCTCAGGGTTGATGGAATTCCAGTGTTTCCAAATGCATATCATTGGAATTCACTCTGCAGATGCATCGTTGCCATCTAGAAATGGAGGGGAGACAAGGTGTCCTTGAGACCTCTTCCTGTTTTGTTGTGATACAGGGTAAATAGAAATTGTTACGGTACCCTTCTTCTACTTCCTCTGTCTCGTCTGGGTCTGAAAATCTATCATACATGCTTCCCATAAATGAAACAACAACCTTTACTCAAGGATTTGGGGAGAGCTAATCTGCTTACTAGCCATGCTTACCTGCATGAAGCATCTACTCTGTTTTCAGGGAGATGTTATTTAGTAGTAGAATTTGTGCAAGACTTTTTAATGGAGAAAATGTCCTCCTACTAACTTGCTTTTCCTATGTGCCCAGAGAAACATCAGAATCTCAGAGAATGAGAGAGATTGACTTTCAAACATTTTAAATCCCAAATTAAGAAAATGGAGAATAGGTGCCTCAAAAGAGTGCAAAAGCTGAATGGCTGGTCCTTCATTAGATGGGGACAGCAAAGAGGTTAAAATCTGCCCTTCAACAGTGTCTTCCTCCCAACAGTTAAAGTGGAGGCTGCCTGCTTACAGATAGAACATGGGGCCTAATCACTGCTAGAGGAACATTGTTGGGAAAATAATTAGGAAACCATAAGTTTTGGACAATGACTTGCCAAGGCTTTCAATAGAAAAGAAATCTCACTTCACTAGGAGGTATTGTAAGGCTAGAAATGCTAGGTTAAAAATCCTGACTCCTGGCCAGACATGGTGGCTCACAACTGTAATCCCAGCACTTTGGGAGGTCAAGGCAGGTGAATCACCTGAGGACAAAAGTTTAAGACCAGCCTGGCCAACACGGTAAAAACCCATCTGTACTAAAAATACAAAAAAATCCAGGCATGGTGGTGGGCACCTTTAATCACAGCTACTCAGAAGGCTGAGGCAGGAGAACCACTTGAATCTGGGAGGTGGAGGTTGTAGTAAGCCAAGATCCCACCATTGCACTCCATCCTGGATGCCAAGAGCAAAAACTCCATCAAGAAAAAAAAAGAAAAAAGAAAGAAAGAACAATAATTCTGACTCCAAACTCACTTCAGCCAAAAGTTAGAAAGACAGTTCAGGGTTTGATCAGTTGTCTCCAGTGTATGCCCCCAATCAGGCAAAATTTAACTTGTCTCATGATATAACTGTTCTATGGAAAACCATAATATCTCTTAAAAATCCAAATTAAAAAAAGAGTATTCACTTTGGATGAAATATCCTCCCATACAGTGCCATAAAACTCTATCATTGTTGGACAGAAAGGCCCTTAATAGGTAAATATTTATACTGAATTCTTGAATTGCCCTTGTTTCAGGGAAATCACAAAAACAAACCTTTCTGAATTACATTCCTGCTTAAGTCATTGAGTGACTCTACTCAGCAAAATTTTATACCTAGGCTGTAAAAATGCCCAGAGCATTCCATACAAAAAATGGATAAAAGACATAATAGCTGTGAGAAGCAAAATGGTAAATTTAATAGACAAAAACTGGAAGTCCTTGTGCTAACAGCCTGATGAGCTGTTAGGGACTGGAACTAGTCTAAGGGCAATCAGATTACAGAGTTGTAACCTCAGTGAGAAACTTGCAGTTTCCCTAGGATCTCCTTTATGTCCCATGTGGTAGCCAGGCTCTTCATGAAAGAAAACTAGATTGAAAAAAAAACAAACACGTTTTTGAAATGAATGTAAAAGATTAAAGATCCATTCTTACCCTCTTATGAATTATTTGTTTCTCAGCCCATGCACCAATATATGTTGTAGTCCCACCAATGCACCAAGATTTAGTAGTATCCCTTCGTATGATATTATACCCAAAGATTTTTGTATTACATCCAAAAAAATTAAGAAGCTATGGCACCAAAGATGAGATTAAAACAAAAGAGAAGAGTAAAAGAAAAGCTCTCTCCTAGTAAAAAGAGAGGCCCAACTGCGTTTTCTACTATGAGGCTGGGTTTCAGGGTTATAATAAAGTGGGAAGAGAAAGAAATGTGCTTAGTCAGTGGGCTGTTTTGAAGAACATGTGATTCAGCTTGGCCCAGGGTCTTTGCCTGAGATTAATTAAAAAGCTTAGCCCAGGAGGCTTGCACAGAAATAATCAGGGACTGAAGTCATAATTTACAGTGGCTGTTCAGCTTATCCCATGACCTAACAGGAGCTGATGTGAAAGCTTGGCCCAAAAATTTGGCCCAGGCCTAATTAATAACTAAAATAATGATTCATAGAGGCCCAGCTCACAGTCCAAAAAGAAAAAATCAATGCCAACCAGAACCCACTCTGTTTATGTTTCCAAATGAAGAAGAAACTGCTTCCTGAGAGCCCACTGATTATAAAAAGGACAAGGATATTTTTATGCCAGGCCTAGTTTTCTTATTTGAATGAATCAGAATTTGTGAAAGATTTTTATCTGAATGGATTGAAGGTTCTTCTGCCTATAAACACACAGGTGCATCTCTAGGTACAACACCCATGTGTTAGTTATCTTATTGAAGTCTGCAACCTGATTTATTTTTCAGGCTGCTTAGTGTAGTATGTATAAATGATGCAGTGACCTCTAGGCTGGGGGTTTCCCAGGAACAATTCCTTGCTGTCCCCCTAAGTCAAGCTAGCTTTCTCCTCTCAGAAACATTCTAGAGAACCCCCTGAATGTGGCTAGTTCAGACTTACAATAGGGAACAAAAACAAGCATAGCAGAAAAAGAGAAAAGAAAAGAAAAGAAAAGAACAGAGACTCTAAAGACCACAATACAGGTCTATAAAATGTGGGTCCCTGAGGGCACCCGATAACTGTTATCAGTTTGGCAAGACAGGACACTTAACAAGAAATGCTGAGACAACAAAGGAAACCAACTTAACACTGTCCAACTTGTTGTGGTAACCACTGAAAGGAGTGCTGTTTCCAGAGGCATACATCAGTAGGCCCAGGATCAGTCTCACAAATGCTCTAGCAGGACTAATAATTCATAGATATCAATTCCTCAGCTCTAAGAGCTGCCATACTCCTCAAGGGCCATACTCCTTAGGAGCCTTGAGTGATTCTTGAGGTGGGAGGGAGGAAGGTAGAATTCCCTCTGGAAGCTGGAGCAAGTCTTTTTGTTCTCCTCTCCAATCTAGGTCTTCTATCCTTCCATTATGTGACAAATGATTGATGTGTCAGCAAAGAACTTTACCCAATATTTTCTCAGCTCACAGTTATAGTTGGAACGACCTTCTATTTACTCATGCCAATTTAGTCACTTCTGAAAGTCCCACTTTATTACTAGGTAGAGATATTCTGGCCTATACAGGAGGCATCATCTTAATGGCTCCAGGACAAATGCTTTGTCTCCCCTTAGTGGAAATCAATATTAACTAGGTAGAGATATTTCGGCCCATATAGAAGCCACTATCTTAATGGCTCCGGACAAAATCTTTTTCTCCCCTTAGCGGAAATCAGTATTAATGAAAAGGTGTGGGATAGCAAGAAAAAAATTACTGAACTACAGCCACTACATGCATCAATATTTACCTTAGGGATCCCACTATTCTTTCTAGCCAGGGGCAGTATTTCCCAAAGCCATAAGGTAGAAAAATGCTAGAAGACATTATAAATAAGCTATAGAAGAAAGACCTCCTTAGACCCCACATCAGTCTTTAAAAAACTGCAAATATTAGGAGAATATTAGGAGTAGAGAAACCCAATGAGGATTGGAGGCTAGTTAAGAACACTTGTCTCACTATTGAGGCAGTTTTTCCACTCTATCTGGTTGTTCTTAATTCTTGTACTTTTCTAACTCAAATTCCCAAGAGAACTGAATGGTTTAAAGTTTTAGACCTGAAGGATGCCTTTTTTATTTTTATCATTGCACCCTGGCTTCCAATACCTCTTTTCCTTTGAGAATCTGTCCAAACAGGATACACAGTTAACATGGAAAGTATTGCCACAGGGGTTTAAGAAAGCCTCCACCTGTTTTAGTAGACATTATCAAGAGACCTCTCTGAGTTCTCTCATCCTCAGGTTAAAGTTTTACAGTTTGACATTCTCCTCTGTGCCCCAACTGAGAAGGCTTCTCAATTATATAGCAAGCAGAGGTTATGAAGAATTACAATGTAAGCTCAGCTTTGTCAGACCTCAGTGAAGTACTTAGGCCTGGTCCTATCAGAAGAAACTAGAGCATTAGTCAAGGAGAAGATTTAGCCCATTTCCTCTTTTTCTTCTCCTCCATCTCTAAAACTAAGAGGATTTGGGGGCATTATCGATATTTGCAGATTGTGGATACCCATGTATGGTAAACTAGGTAACCCTTTATATCACGTTATAAAATAAACTCAAGCAGCTATAGCTAACTTTCTAATCTGGGCACTTGAAGCTCAAAATACCTTTAATCAGTTAAAACAAGCCTTACTCAAAGTACCTACCTTCAGTTTTCCCATAAATTAGACATTTAAATTTTATGCTTCACAAAAGAAATGGATGGCCTTGAGAGTTTCAACTCAGACCCATGATCCAGACAAGCAGTTGGTAAGTTACCTAAGCCAGGATCTCAACCTGCTGCCTGAAGAATAAACAGACTGCCTCCAAGCAGTTGAGTAGCACTGTTGGACATGCTGGTGTTGGAAGTTACAAAGTTAACGATGGGGAATAATTTTACTGTTTACACCCCACATAATTTAGGAGAATTGCTATCCTCTAAAGAATGTTTTTGGATAATAGAGAATCTTTTCCTAAAATATCAAGCTTTGCCGCTGAAAAATTTGTAGTTTGGTTAACAACCTGACTTTGCTTGAACCCAGGAAATTTCTTCACAGAAATAACTGAAGAACCTGAATATGATTGTGTTGGGAACAAGCCCCCCAAAATCTGGCCAAAAACTGGCCCCAAAACTGGCCACAGACAAAATCTCTGCAGCATTGTGACATGTTCATGATGGCCATAAAGCCCACTCTGGAAGTTTGTGGGTTTACAGGAATGAGGGCAAGGAATACCTCACCTGCCCAGTATGGAAAACCACTTAAAGGCATTCTTAAGTCACAAATAATAGCATGCATGATCTGTGCATTAAGGACATGCTCCTGCTGCATTTATCTAGCCCAACCTATTCCTTTAATTCTGCCCATCTGTATGTTTCCCATAAGGGAGACTTTTAGTTAATTTAATATCTATAGAAACAATGCTAATGACTGGCTTGCTCTTAATAAATATGTGGGTAAATCTTTGTTTGAGGCTCTCGGCTCTGAAGGCTGTGAGACCCCATTTCCCAAATCACACCTCTATATTTCTGTGTGTGTGTCCTTAATTCCTCTAGCACCACTGGGTGAGGGTTTCCCTGACTGAGCTGGTCTTGGCAAGTGGCGTCCATCATGGGGGCTTGAATCCAGGTTGAAGCATCACCAGAGTGATGGTTTGAGAAGGTGGAACTAGCTGGAGGACACCCGAGTACTCTTAAAACAATCCCCGTGGTGAGTAATAAGGGGAGCTCAGAAGCATCAGGGTAACAATGGGAGAAGTGTGAGGTGTGTTTCGTTCCACCTTGGAACTTTTTCATACTGATGGTGAGGAGGAAGGAGAATATAGGGAAGTAACAGAAGAGGTTACAGAGCATGTTTATTTGCCAGCTAAAGCTAAAGTGGCAAAGGAAGGAGAGGTTCATCCCTATACTTCTGCACACCCTCATTATTATTATGAAGAAAAAGACCCTCCATATCTTTCTTTTCTGGAGGACACTGGGCAAAAAGTATTTGCCACCATGACTGTTCAAGCAGCACCTTGAGTGACCACTCTTAGTTCTATTTAGGCAGGAATTCAACAAGCTAGATGGGAGGGTGATTTAGAAGCTTGGCAGTTCCCTGTTAGAATACACCACCGAGATCAACAGGGAAATGTTATAGCTACATTTGAGCCTTTTCCTTTCAAATTACTCAAATAATTTAAACAAGCTATAAATCAGTATGGACCAGGTTCTCCTTTTGTAATAGGACTGTTAAAGAATGTTGCTGTTTCCAGTCAGATGATTCCTACTGACTGAGATGCTCTTACTCGAGCTTGTCTAACTCCTGTTCAGTTCCTACAATTTAAAACTTGGTGGGCAGATGAAGCTTCCATTCAGGCTGCTCACAATGCCCATGCCCAACATTAAATTAATATAACTGCAGACCAACTTTGGGGGTTGGCGGCTGGGCTGATTCAGATGCACAACTGGTCATGCAGGATGATGACATAGAACAGCTTAGAGGAGTGTGCATTAGAGCTTGGGAAAAAAATCACTTCATGTGGAGAACAATATCCTTCCTTTAGTGCTATAAAACAGGGACCCAAAGAACACATACACTGATTTTATAGCTCTGTTACAGGAGTCTCTTAAAAAGATGACTGCAGATTTGGCTGCTCAGCATATAGTGTTGCAGTTATTAGCTTTCAGTAATGCTAATCCTGATTGCCAGGCTGCTCTGTGACCTATCACAGGGAAAGCACATTTAGTTGATTATATCAAGGCCTGTTATGGTATCAGAAGCAATCTGCATAAAGCTACTTTGTTGGCACAGGAAATGGCAGGACTGAGAGTGGATAAAGGAAATACTCCATTTCATGGAGCTTCTTTAAACTGTGGGAAGCATGGTCATACTAAAAAAGAATGTAGAAAAAATCAGCGAGTCAGGCCACAAGATAGGAGAAAAAAGAAAACTGCTGAGCATGAAATATGTCCAAAACATATAAAAGGACAACATTGTACTAATCAGTGTCACTCTAAGTTTGATAAAGAAGGGAACCCAATTTCAGGAAATGCCATGGGGTGCCCATCCCGGGCCCTGTTCTAAACTGGGGCATTTCTAGCTCAGGCTCTTCCCTCACCTCTGTATAATGTCTGTCCACTGCCACAGCTGGTAGTGCCCCAGTAGATTTATGCTGCACAAAAGCTGTGAGGCTTCTGCCTGGGGAACTGCCACAAAAGGTCCCAACAGGAGTCTGTGGACCCTTGCTAGCAGGGACAATAGGATTACTTCTAGGCAGCTCTTGTTTAAGTTTAAAAGGGGTATAAATACATACAGGAGTCATTGATTCAGATTATAATGGGGAAATTGAAATTGTTATATCTACTTCTGTTCCCTGAAAAGCAGAGCCAGGAGAGTGTATAGCACAGCTCTTGATTGTGCTGTATATGGGAATGGGAAAATGTGAAATTAAATGAACACAAGGACTTGGAAGCACAAATAAACAAGGCAAAGCACCTTATTGGGTAAATCAAATTACTGATAAACATCGTACCTGTGAAATAACTATTGAGGGAAAGAAATTTAAAGATGTGGTAGATACAGTAGTGGACATTTCAGTCATTTCTCTACAGCACTGGCCATCCAGATGGCCAATTCAACCCGCTCATTTTAACAGAGTTGGAGTTGGTAAAGCCCCTGAAGTATATCAAAGTAGTTCTATTTTGCTTTGTGAAGGGCCTGATGGACAACCTGGGACTATTCCACCAATTATAACTTTGGTACCTATAAATGTATGTGGAGGATATTTATTAAAACAATGGGGAGCACAAGTTCTAATTCCAGAACAATTATATAGCCCTCAAAGTCCACATATGGTGCATGAAATGGGGTATGTTCCTGGTATGAGACTATAAAAAAACTGCAAGGGTTGAAACAAAATCTTCAAGTGGAAAGACAAATTCTTGCCAAAGATTAGGAAACAATTTTTCATGGCGGCCATTGTTAAGCCTCCAGAAGCTATATCTTTAAAATGGTTAAGAGATAAGCCAATTTGGATAGAACAATGGCTGCTATATAAAGAGAAACTGGAGGCTCTAGAGAAATTAGTTACTGAACAATTAGAAAATGGGCACATAGCTCCAACATTTTCCCCTTGGAATTCTCCAGTTTTCATAATTAAGAAAAAATCAGGTAAATGGAGAATGTTAACTGACGTAAGAGCTATCAATTCAGTTATACAACCTATGGGAGCATTACAGCCAGGATTGCCTTCTCCTGCTATAATTCCAAAAAGAATTGGCCTTTAATAGTCATAGATTTAAAAGACTGTTTCTTAACTATCCCCTTAGCTGAGCATGACTGTGAATGGTTTGCATTTACAATTCCTGTGGTAAACAATCTGCAGCCTGCTAAGCGTTTTCATTGTTTTACAGATGGGCCTGGTAATGGTAAAGCTTCTTATTCTTGGTAGAAAAGTAAACTTTTTCAGAAGCCCTATACTTCAGCTCAAAAAGAGGAACTTGTAGCTGTAATTGAAGTATTTACTGCTTCTGATATGCCTATTAATGTGATTTCTGATTCTTCATAGGTATTTCATTCCACACAGTTAATTGAAAAGGCTCAGTTATGATTTGATACAGATGAACAAATGATGCCTTTATTTACCCAACTGCAAACAGCAGTTAGAAGTAGAATGCACCCTTTTTACATCACTCACACTAGGGCTATACACCTCTTACAGGACCTTTGACTGAAGGGAATCAAATGGCTAATCACCTCATTGCTAATGCAGTATCTAATTCTAGACACTTTCACAATTTAACCCATGTTAATGCCTTGTCTCAAATGCAGATACAGCATTACCTGGAAATAAGTTAAGCTATTATCCAGTGATGCCCAAGTTGCCAAATCGTACATTCATCATCTTTTATAGGAGGAGTTAATCATCGAAGATTGGAACCTAACTCTCTTTGGCAAATGAATATCACACTTGTTTCCTCATTTGGGAGACTAGCTTTTGTACATATATGTGTGTACACATTTTCTCACTTTTTCTGGGCTATGTGCAAATCAGGTGAGTCTTCTGACTGTGTTAAACATCAATTTTTGCAGTGTTTTGTGGTGATGGGCATTCCAGCTTCTACTAAAACAGTTAATGCCCCAGGCTGTACTATCCAAACTCTAGCTACATTTTTCTCTATGTGGAATACTAAACACATTACTGGTATCCCATACAATTCTCAAGGACAAGCCATAGTGGAAAGAATGAATCTTTCCCTAAAAACAGCAGTTGCAAAAGCAGAAAGGGGGAAATGGAGAATATGGAACCCCATAGATGCAACTGAATCTAGCATTATTAGCTTTAATTTTTTTGAGCCTGTCCAAAGGCCAGATGTTATCAGCAGCTGAACAGCATCTCCAGAAACCACCTGCAAAGACAGAAGCAGAACAACTGATTTGGTGGAGAGATACAATAACGAAATTGGGAAATAGGTAAAATAATAACTGGGGGTGGAGGTTATGCTTGTGTTTCTCCAGGCCAAAATCAACAACCAATTTGGACACCATGAAGACACCTGAAACCTTATCATGAGCCAGATGCCAAGGAAGAGACTCCGTGAGGATCCCGAGGATCCCCCAGTTGCAGCCACATCAAGGATGCCTCTGAGGAACACCCCAACTGTCATGAGCAACACCTGTTGAACACAGCCACTGACCTGGGGACAGATCAAGAAGGTGTCAAAGATGGCGGAAGAAAACCTGAGGAAAGCAGTACAACCAGTCACAATGAGTAATTTAATGGTAGCTATCATAGCAGTTATCACCACTGCTGTGAGTATTCCTTCAACAAAGGCTGACACAGAGAACAATTATGCTTATTGGGCATATTTATCAATCCTGTCTGGTAATAATGCCTGGATATAGTCACTCTATGCCACAGTTACACATGCCTTCTGATCTCAGTATTTTACATAATAAATCTGCCCCTATAATTGAGGCATACTGCCCTCAAAAACCTATTTGTAAAAAAATAGAACCTGGACAGAAATAATGAATGTAATTGTTTAGGAAAATTTCTTTGCAGAACAGGCAGAGGTGCTGCACAATGATTCCTATGGAATCATTATTGATTGATCCCCTAAGGGGATGTTTCTCTTGAATTGCACCTCTCAGTCTGCGTGCCATGGCCACATTATGTTCAGCTTGCCTGAACAAAATGGTAGGATGGTAGAAATGATAAGAAGTATGGCAAGAGTTCCTATTTTCTGGAACCATGGTGGTATAGTTACGCCTCAACCTCAAATGATATGGCCTGCTGTAGGAGCTAAACATAAGGATTTGTGGAAACCATTAATACCTCTTAATAAGATCAAAATTTGTGAAAGAATGAAAAAGCATATATTGCAAAATTAAAAGAACAAATATTTAAAGCATCCCAGGCACACCTGACCTTAATGTCAGGAACCGGAGTGCTTAAAGGAGCTGCAGACAGATTAGCAGCTGGTAACCCATTAAAATGGATCAAAACACTTGGAAGCTCTGTGATTTCAATAATGGTTGTGCTTTTAATCTGTGTTGTTTTTGTTTGTATAGTCTGTAGATGTGGATCCTGACTCCTGCAAGAAGTAGCTCACCATGACAAAGCTGCCTTTGCTTTTATCAATTTGAAAATTAAAGAAGGGAGCATGTTGAGAACAAGCCCCCCACAAATCTGGCCATAAACTGGACCCAAAACTGGCCATAAACAAAATCTCTCCAGCACTGATATGTGCATGATGGCCATAAAGCCAACACTGGAAAGTTATAGGTTTATGGGAATGAGGGCAAGGAACACCTTGCCTGCCCAGTGCAGAAAACCACTTAAAGGCATTGTTAAACACAAACAATAGCATTCATGATCTGTGCCTTAAGGACATGATCCTGCTGCAGTTAACTAGCTCAACCTATTCCTTCAATTTGGCCCATCCTTTCATTACCCATAAGGGATACTTTTTGTTAATTCGATATCTATAGAAATAATGCTAATGACTGGCTTGCTGTTAATAAATATGTGAGTAAATATCTGTTTGAGGCTCTCAGCTCTGAAGGCTGTGAGGCCTCTGATTTCCCACTTCACACCTCTTTATTTCTGTGTGTGTGTTTAATTCCACTACTGCCACTGGGTTAGGGTCTCACCAACTGAGCTGGTCTCAGCATGATTGTTAACAGAGAGTAGTGAAAACTTACACAGCCAGAGAGGACCTCAAAGAAACTCCCTTAGTAAATGTAGAAATGGAGCTTTTTCCTAAAACAAGAAACACCAAAGTTAGGGTATGCAGTAGTCCCTTTGAATTATATTACTGAGAATATGCCTCTCTTACCAGGCACCAGAGTTCAAATCACTGAGTTACTTGCCCTTGTGAGAACACTCAAATGAAGCAAAAAAAGAAAAAAGAAATGTTTATAATATTTATACTGGTTTTAAATATGCTTTTCTGATCATCTATGACCATGCCACTTTGTGGAAAGAAATACATTTTCTGACAGTCACTCATTAAGTATCATCAGGATATACATAGATTTTTCTCCTGTTTTTCTTTCATGGAAAGTAGTAGTACTACATTGTAGAAGACACAAGTAGGGGACTGATAAAGCAGCCAAGAAAAATAGATTGAGAAACCAGAGAGCCAAACAAACAAACAACAACAACAACAAAAAAAACAATTTTGCAATATACTGGAAGTCTCTCTTGTCTTAGAAAGCTTCATTAGAGAAATAAAGCCTCAGTATTCCCATGCAAAGATAGAATGGACCACTTTTGAAAGATACATTTTTCAGCACTCTAAATATTTATAATTGCATTATGAGCCTTCAGCCAGTGAAATGTTTTTAATGTCCTCCACCAAGTTTTGACTTATAAAACAACAAGAAAAAAAAACTACTGAAAAGAGTCAAACAGATTCTTAATACTTTTGAAACCTGCCTTAAAAATAATCTTCTTGGGCCAGGTGCAGTGGTTCATGCCTGTAACCCCAGCACTTTGGGAAGCCAAGGCGGGCAGATCACAAGGGCTGGAGATTGAGACCATCCTGGCTAACATGGTGAAAACTCATGTCTACTAAAAATACAAAAAAAAAAAAAAAAAATAGCTGGGCATGGTAGTATGTACCTGTAGTCCCAGTTATTCAGGAGGCTGAGGTAGGAGAATCACTTGAACCCAGGAGGCAGGAGTTGCAGTGAGCCCAGTTTGCATGACCGCACTCCAGCCTGGCAGACAGAGCATGACTTCATCTCAAAAATAATAATAATCTCAAAAGACAGTTTCTATCCCTGCTGCTCAATATCTGAAAAGCTATCTAGGGAAAGATTGAGAGAAGAACTTCATTTATATGACAGATAAAGTGTGCATTTATTACCTCCTGATATGTATTAAAAACCCACAAAATATTGCAGACTTGTGGTGAGTAAAGAATGTCACTTGCTAACAGGCCCAGGATTTTCATGTTTTTGGACCTCAAGAAGAGTAAAGTTTGCCCAACTCATAGGTATTTGAAAGTAAAACCCATAGTTGTTCTTGGCTTTAAGAGTGCTTATCAGAGTTTCCTCCTGAAGAACAGTTTCGTAAAAGCCAATTTAGAGAGACTATTTAAAAATAATTATTTTTGCTGCACTTTATGCAAATACTTAGGTTAAATATAAAATTATAGTTCATTTTACTATTTTCAACTCAGGCCTAACATACTTTGTTTATTTACAGTAATAAGAAATGAAGAGAGAAAAATTATGTTTAAATCTTTTCTTTTTTCTTTTTTTTGCGATGAAGTTTCACTCTTGTTTACCAGACTGGAGGGCCAATGGCACTATCTCGGCTCACCACAACCTCTGCCTCTTGAGTTCACATGATTCTCATGACTCAGCCTCCCAAGTAGCTGGGATTACAGGCATGTGACACCATGCCTGGATAACTTTGTATTTTTAGTAGAGACGGTGTTTCTATGTGTTGGTCAGGCTGATCTTGATCTTGAAGTGCTGGGATTACAGGTGTGAGCTACCTCAACTAGCCTACATGTTTCAAATCTTATCATATGTTTGCCATTATATTCTCATCTCATTAGTTGTCTTTAGCATTTGCCTATATTTTAGGCTATCCCTGTTGATCCCTGTGAGCCAGCCAGAAATCTCTAGCTGCAGCTAGGTTGAAAATATAAAAATATTAATATTGCAAAATATGTAAACATATATTTGTTATGGGCAATTACCCTACAAAGCTTGCCAGGTAATGAGAGTATATAGTTGACTCATAATTCAGGGGGTTTTTTGTTTTGGGGGACAAGACCAAGGAAGCTAAGCCAAGCCAAGCCCCATGCACCCAAAACTTGTTAAGCATATCTATAGCTATTAGTTATAAGGGCATGTCAGCAGCCTCAGAATTTTTAAGCTATCCTTTTCCTCACCTCGTCTCATTTTAACACTTTATATTTTGATAACCAAGATTGTTTCATCTCACATAGAGGCAATCAAACAAATTGTACTGCAAACGAAACCACTTATGTAAACACCGTGGTTTTGAAAAACCTTACCCTAACCTCAGTGTGAACTCCAGCTGTTGTATTTCCTTACAAGATGACCCTTCCTAGCAAAAAGTAGCTAGAAAGATCAATCCTCAATCTCCCTAACAGCAATTAGTGTTTTCACACCTGCAGGGGACAATGAGAGAGAAACTTAGTAGGTGTCATTGGTAAAACTTCTTTAAACAGAGATGCAGCCTAGAAATGTACAGCGTTTCCAATGTACAATCTTCCGTTGCCTTGGTAGATAACCCAGATCTTTGTAAGTATTGTAAAACTGTCTCTGAGCTTTGGCCATCATAGAAAGCAGGCATACAAAAGATAATGCCCCAAAGTCAGAGACACAAACCCTTGGTAAACCCTTAAATTCTACTTCTAAATGCCCTACCCGCACCTCTTTTATAGGCTTTCTAATGTCCATGTCATCAGTTTCTCTCCCTGTTCCACCCTGTAAACCATCAATTTCAATGTGGGCCCTGTAGAAAATGCCAAAAAAACGTGGTACTACTAGATTTCAAGTTCTCTTTTCATTGCAGGGCCTTAGAAAAATAAATGTAAATCTAGTCGAGTTCTCTGATGACTCTAATAGATATATAGAGGCATTCCAAAATCTAACACAGGTATTTCATTGTATGTGGAGACATGCTACGTTAATCCTAAACCAAAGCTGCAGAAAAATTGGCAGCTTTACTAGCAGCAAAAGCATTTGAAGATGAACAACATATTTACTATACCCAGCCTAAAAGTATAAAGGGAAAGAAATCTAGAAAAACGGATGGTGAAAGACAAAACTAAGGTGAACAGATAGCATAATCTTTATTCCCAACAGGAAAAAAGACAGTGCTCTTTGAAAACATAATTGGAATCCCCGTCATTTGATAGAGGAGTGGAAAAGAATAAAAATTTAGAATGCATGTACAGGAATGCTAGTAAAAGAACAGTGCCAAACCTCTTAATTACTCTAAGATAAACATAATAGATTAAAACTTGATGAGAATCCCTCAATCTTTATGGAAAGGCTGAGAGAGGGTGAGTAAAACGCACCTCTGTATTTTCTGACTCAGTTGAGCACCAGTTAATCTTAAGAAAGAAGTTTATTTTTCAGGCAGTCTTGATTTAAAAAAAAAAAAAGCTACAAAGCAGGTCACATGACCGGATAATGTACTAGTTTTAGCAGTGCAACAAGATGTAACAATTCTTTTTTGTTTTAGATATTGCTCAGAGCAACACATACACATATGTACTACTCAGTATATGTAAGTGTATATATACAGTCTGGTTTGTGTATATAGATATATGTATAAATACACATAGCATGTGTGTGTGTATATATATATATGTATATGCACACACACATATACACACACACACACACCTACACAGACACACAATTTAGAAGATTAAGGAGCATGAACACATGGGTAAAGTTTGAGGAAAACTTTAATATGCAAAAGAAGAGATCATTTCACCAGCAGAAATATGGGCCCACATGAGTTGCAAACTATGAGGCAAGTGTTTAAAATTTTTATAAACTGAAAAGAGAAAGGGATGTTCTTAGTTTGTCAGCTATCTTATACAATGTGTCTTAGCCTTGGTCTTGGACCAGTAAGAAAGCATAGCCTAAGACCTTGGTCTGGGACCAATAGGAGGCTGAAGTGATAATTCATAGAGACTGCTCAGGATAGCCCAAGAAGACTTAAAAATGCAAATGAAAGACTGGCTTGTGAGTTTGGCCCAGGATCAGTCAGGAGCTTAAGTGATAATTCTTAGAAGCTGGACTTATTGTCTGAACAATAACAACAACAAATAGAGCGAATGAGAACCCACTGAAGCTTGCTGAATTTATGCCTGTGAAAGGAGAATAAAATTTTCTCATTGTGGGTGTGGGGCACTGATTATACAAAGGACAAAAATATTCTATGCCACACCTCTTTCTTTCATCTGTGTAAGCCTGAGTTTTGTGCAAGTTTTTTTTTTTTTTTTTCCAGAATGGACTGGAGGTTCTTCCGTCTGTGTAGCTGCAGGAATATGTTCAGGCAGTAGCCACTGTGTTAGGTCCTGTATCAGTGGTTTCAGCTTAATTTCTTTTAAGGCTGATTGTTGTGTTATGTTTGGTTGAGGCACTGACATATCTGCTTGGGGCTCTCTGGAAACCCTTGCCTTGCTTTTTACCTAAGAGAAGCTAGCTAACTTTTCTCAGTCTCCCCTCAGAAATAAAGAACCTAACTGCTTTAGGGAGATTAAGTGTTGATCTTTCTGGCTACTCTCTGCTGCAGAGGGGTGTTTGTAAAAAACAGCAGTTAGAATTTATTTCAGACATTGTTTCAGAGTCCTCAGAAGATAGGTGATTTTATGTGTGGTCTTACTTGCATTATTACTATTTGGAGTTGACAGCCTCAAGGAAAAAAAATAGAGTTACTAAAGGACATGTATTGTAACAAGACAAGTTGGCTAAGGACAGCTTAAGTGTCCCAAGCCTGGTGACACACCCTTATAACTGATGGCTACAGTTATGCCTGCTAAGATTTAGGTATATGGAACTCAGCTTTAATTAAAAAAATACAAACAAGCCTCTGTATTATGGGAACCATATTTATTTTCATCAACTGGCAGGATTTGTAGGATTTTTGCCAAGAATTATATATAATATTGTAACAAATTTTTAAATTACTCATTACTTTCTGTTTACTTTGATCTAAAGTCAAAGATTATTAATTGGCTCATGGGATTCAGCAGGGTTAGTTTAAAATGTAGGCAACAACTTAAAAACAACTTATGAGAACTTATGAGACTATGCATTAATGACAGAAGTACAATAAGTTTTGAAACATATTATTTCTCTTCAGT
This sequence comes from Homo sapiens, assembly GCF_000001405.40. Lineage (NCBI taxonomy): Eukaryota > Metazoa > Chordata > Mammalia > Primates > Hominidae > Homo > Homo sapiens. Next base: position 21,724,278 of record NC_000024.10, read on the forward strand.
TCATATTTTTGTAAAAAAATATCATGATAGAACTAAATTGTTTGGAAAATAGATGTCAGTCTTCCACTTGGCCTAGTTTTATAAAGTGCAGGCAAGAATAATTACCTTTACATTTTTTTTTCAATTGGCTTTCATGGAACTCCGTTCTGCAAGGAATCTCAGGAAGTTTTAAAGCTGAGACCAGCCATGAGCTTGTACCCTTAAATACTGAGCTGGGTAAACTCCTCTCTTATTGAGTTACCAAAAGCATGGGGTTGTTTTGAGGCTTTTGAGAAAGTGATATTCTCTACCTACCACAGGTTCAGAACCCTGAATGGGAATGGTGTAGACAAGGTTTAAAGCCATTTTTTTCCCTAAGGGACTTTACGTTGTTTATTGAAGTCAAGCTTTATTCTTTTTTTTTTCTTTCCAGAGGAAGTCTTGCTCTTGTCACCTAGGCTGGAATGCAATGGTGTGATCTCAGCTCACTGCAACCTCTGCCTCTCAGGTTCAAGTGATTATCCTGCCTCAGCCTCCCAAGTAGACGGGGTTACATGTGCTCACCACCACACCAGGCTAATTTTTTTTTTTTTGTATTTTTAGTAGAGATGGGGTTTCACCATGTTGGTCAGGCTGGTCTTGAACTACTGACCTCAGGCAATCCACCCCCGCCTTGGCCTCCCAAAGTGCTGGGATTACAGGTGTGAGCCACCATGCCCTGCCTCAAGCTTTATTCTTTAAAGAGAAACATATCCTTTCAGTCAAAGCCTCAGTAAAATAACCAGTTTTTTTCCAGTTTTGTTTTGTTAAAACAAATTTTTTTTTTGCACTGATGCAAACAACTATATTGCTGTAAGTTAAGAAAAGCAAAAATTAGTTACCAAGTATTAGAGAAAACAGGGAGGGAAAAATAAAATATTTTTATATTTTTTACAATAGTATACTTTAATCAGTTGTTGAACACTGTTGCCTGCACAAAAGAAAGTTCCCTTAACCCTGAAAAACAAAATACACAGAAATATTTGAAGTCAATGTTGAAAAAATGGCTTCAGTGTTTTTAGTCCATTTTCTTAAGCTTTTCATGAGTTTTGTTAATATCTAATTATAAACCTGCATTTGAGAGCAGCTGTTAAAGTCCTACAGCTAATTATAAACCATTTTTAGAAAAGGATTAAAACAATTGTCTGTAAATGACAGAATGCCTAAAGTGGTTACAGACACTCGTTGACAAAAAATGGCTATTTTTATGGTTTACAATGGCTAAACATAATAATTTTGATTAAGTTTGATAGCCTTTTTAGACCTTAGAACTTTGACACCGCATATGGCTACAAAACTTATGTTAATATTATTTACTAAAATGTAACCTGAAGAAAATTAAAATTAGCTTGGTAACCACATGTATTTAAACAACCTAAATGCATAAGGTTGTTAAATACTTTTAAAAATACATGTTAAAGACGTGTTTGAAATGGGAGCCCTCTGTAGCATTTAAAATCGAGGACTCAGAAAGGACAACTCTGTAACAAAAATTTGTTTTTGAAATGCCTGCCAAATATGTACGAAATTTAAAACATTTACTGTTATAAAATATAAAGATTATCATAAGTCATTTGTTTTGCCAAAATAAATTTAAAAATTTGAAGTGACAAAAAGCTACTGTTATTAGCCTTTATATTACATAAAAATCTTGTTCTAGAGTGGAAACAGATTTTACTGTTGCATTAGTCCACTATTAAATTTACCGCTATTCTTTTTTTTTTCCTTTGTTTGTTTGAGACAGAGGCTCACTCTATCACCCAGCTTGGGGTGGCACAGTCTCAGCTCACTGCAAGCTCCACCTCCCAGGTTCAGGCCATTCTCCTTCATCAGCCTCCATCTCTTGACCTCATGATCTGCCTGCCTCAGCCTCCCAAAGTGCTGGGATTACAGGCGTGAGCCACTGTGCCAGTCCAATTTACTGCTATTTTTAAATTAAACCTTATAGACAAATTTATCTTAATCAGTTTAACAACGAGGTGAGGTTTTCATAAACTTTTTAAAACCCTTTAACAACTCTTTACACATTTTGCTAAAGAGCAGATTAGCATCTCAAGAAAACCGCGCTGCACTTTTATTTCAATGCTTCACTTATAGAGTAACCATATAATATATCCCTTTTTATTTAATGTGTTCAGACAGCATTTTCTTTTGCAAGATTAACATGTACAGTTGTTCTTCCATCTGCTTAAATCTTTAGCTTTATGTGATTTGATTTAAGAGAAGTCTTTATCTCTAAGATAAATGAGCATTTACATGCCATTTTATAAATTTTACTATATTTTACTTTTCTTATACACCTTACATGAAAATTTAATTTTAGTAGTCTCAATCACATGTTATAATGGTAACATTTTGTAATTTTTCACTTGAATGTAAAACATGGTAAGTTGTTTTAATTGTGTGCTAAGTGCAGATAAAGGCTGACTCTCTCAGCTTACTTAGAGGTGTGATTACTTTTATATGTCCCCAGGCTATACCAATAGTGAAGCAGGCAAGCCTATGGTTTTCAAAGGACAAAGAAGTAGTTTACATCCTTCAAACAATTAGGAAACTTACATTTTTTACCTGCATAATATAGACCACATATTAACATCTGGAAGACATTTGCATTTTATCAATAATCTTGGAGGCTGTTTTTTTTTTTCAAACAGAGCCTCGCTGTGTTGCCAGGCTGGAGTGCAGTGGCATGATCTCAGCTCATTGCACTGCCTCAGCCTCCCAAGTAGCTAGAATTACAGGTGCCAACCACCATGCCTAGCTAATTTTTGTATTTTTAGGAGAGACAGGATTTCACCACCTTGGCCAGTCTGGACTTGAACTCCTGACCTCGTGATCCACCTGCCTTGGCCTCCTGAAGTTCTTTGATTACAGGTATGAGCCACCATGCCTGGCAGAGGGTGCTTTATTTTTAAAAAGTTAAAGTCACATGAACTGAAAGCTACCACAGCCTTTATTTTTCCTTTTCATAATATTTTGGTCAAGTGGCTATCTTTTCTTAAGCTAATGAATTAGAGATCTTTTAATAAAAATAATGTATACATAACCAAACAAACCAACAGAAAATATACTAGTTATACAATTTTTTGTTTTCCATTTTTCTCATCAGATTATTCACCTATGGAGGGGTGTGTGTGTGTGTGTGTGTGTGTGTGTTTTGAGATGGAGTCTTGCTCTGTCACTGAGGCTGGAGTACAATGGCAGAATCTTGGCTCATTGCAACCTCTGCCTCCTGGGCTCAATTAATTTTCCTGCCTCAGCCTCCCAAGTAGCTGAGACTACAGGCACCCACCCAGATAATTTTTGTATTTTTAGTACAGATGGGGTTTCACCATGTTGCCCAGCCTGGTCTTGAACTCCTGACCTTAAGTGATCTACTTGCCTTAGGATCCCAAAGTACTGGGGGTGAGGCCTTTTAAGGACAAGGTTACTAATGCAGTTATCAGGGCTTAATAAACAAGCATAGCTTTAAGAAAAACACAGATTATGAGAGGGGCTTATTCACCTCTTATTCCAGGGTCTTTATAAACTAAGAAGGGGAAGGAATGTGCTTATTCTGCAGGCTGTCTTGGAGAATGTGTGACTCACCTTGGCTTGGGAATTTGGCTTGAGATCAATCAGAAACCTTTCCCCAAAATGTTGGTCCAGTAGCAATCAGAGCTGATGTGATGATTACTGGAGGCTGTTCAGCTTGTCATAAAATCTATACGCAGCTAAAATGAAAGTTTGGCCCACAACTTTAAAGCAGCACAAATCAAGGGACGAAATACTTAATAGAAGACAAATCAGAATTAAGAAACAAACAAACAAACAAGCAAACAACAACAACAACAACAACAAAATAGTGACTGCCCGGAAACCACTGGATCCCACTGTGTTAATGTCCACAAACAGAAGAAATTCTTTTTATGGAGCCCATTGATTATGCAAAAGTCAAAGTCATTTTTATGTCAGGCCTAGTTCCCTTAGACGTGTGAGCCAGAGTTTCTGCAAGTTTTTATTTAAGTGGGTGAAAGATTCTCCTATCTTTGGAGCCATGGGTTTATCTGCAATAATAACTCCATGTACTAATTTTTGTTGGTGCCTGCAGCTTATTTTTCAAGACTGGTTTTACGTGTTGTTGAAAATAAGGCACTGACCCATTAGCTGGGATTTTATGGGAAACTTTCTTTTGCTGTTTATCTAGAGCAAATCAGCTAAATTCCTTCACTGTATGAATAAGTAAGGCCTGGATTGGAGAGGAGAACAAAATGATTCATTGCAATGTTTAGAAGAAAGTTTGCTTTTTTTTTTCCTCTAGCCACCCAAATTACTTGGGACTCCTAAATAGCAATGGTAGTTAGAGCCATTGAAGCTCAAAAATTGAGAACCAGCACAGATGAGTTCTGCCTGATCATCTGAAGACTGGTCCTGGATATGGTGACCTATGTCTCTAAACAAAGGGAGTCTTTCAGTGGTCTCCATCAAAAGCTGGACAGGGTTAAGACAGCTTCTTCCAAATGCCTGGACAAGGCTTTGTCAAGTGTTCCAGCTTGCCACACTGGTAGTAATTTGCAAGTGTATTTAGGGATTATAGATCAACTGTCCTATAAAGTGTCCACTAATGCCTCTTTTGTTCTCTTGTGCCTCTACTCATTTTCCTGGCCTCTTTCTCCTGTTTCTCATTGTGGCATACGGAGGAAGTAAATCCAAGAAGGTTTTCCATTGTACTCTCTGATTCTACAGACTACTTTGTAGTTTTCCCTAAAATTAACAGCTGCTTGACAAATAACTTTATCTTTTAAGATTATCTGTGTCTCAGTTGAATTAGAGAAATAAAAAGATGTGTTTCACTAAAGTTTTCTCAAACTTTCCAAAAAGGATGATAAATTTTTATCTTGTTTCTGATTCAACAAGAATGTTTTAGAGTAATTAAAATGTTTATTTCTGTTATTTGCAAGTCTTTTAATATGCACATTAAAAAGTGTTTTTTTTTTTTTTTCATTTACCTTAGCACCACTAGGGCTCCAATTCAGATTTTCAAAAATCATTGTTTCTCTTCCAATTGGAAATGGGGTCACAGTTTCTATTTTACTATTTTGTTTACTCTTGACTTTTTTTTTTAATTTGACTGGTTGCAGAATACTTCTTGTTCATTTCCAAATCTCTCTACTGCCTTTAGCACTGCCTGTTTCTTGACAAAAGTTAGGATATAGCTTTAAAGTAGTGTAGCACTACTACACATAAGATGAAACACTTGGGTTGATTTTTAGAAGCCTCATATACTTATTAAGGTCATCAGATAACTTCCTTAAGTCTTTTTTATTTAATTTATTTAAAGTTCTTTTGTGAGAAAAAAAAATTTGAACGTTAGTAGCATGAAGTTCATTGAGCATTTTCTGCCCCACTGAAGTTGTAAACTTTTTGGGTGACACAACTGAAGAAACTGATAATATGGGTGCTGGGGGTCTTTTATAAGCGAGGCAGATAGAGCACCCAAAAGTTGCATTTGAGAATTCCTCAAAAGTTTATAAATCTGCCATTTGTAGACTTGCTTTCAATGGTTACCAAGAAATCAGGTTCATTTTACAAAGCTTACAAAGATCTCAGTTGTCTGGAATAGCAAGTGAAGATGTTGTCATTGGATACCATTGAAATTATGTTTTTTCCAAGAAGTTCAGAACTCTTGCTTATAAAATGTCCAAGTCTTTGTGCAAAATGATATAAGCCACTTTTTTTCTCCAGAGTCTCAGAGTCAAAGAAGTTCTCATGTTAAAAAATAAACAGGGGAGTATAGACTGCATGCAGTTTTTTACCAGGTAGAAATAGAGAGGATATTTTCTAAACCCTTCAGTTGTAGTTGTGGAGACCTGGTATTTAAATATCCCAATTTAATTATTTTTGAAAGTTTCACTCTTCTACTAGGTAATTTTAGCTTATATGGACACCATCATTCTAACGGCTTCAGGACAAAGCTTTGTCTCCCCTTAGTTAAAACCAATGTTAATCCAGAGGTCTGGCCACATCAAGGAAAAATTTGCAGAGCTGCAACTGCTATACTTGTCCAGATTAGCCTTAAGAGTTTTATTTTATTTTTTTACCCTAGCGTTAGGCAATATCTTTTATAGACAAAAGGTAGAAAATGGCTGCCATCAGAGATAACCTAAAGGCCAAATACTTCCTTAAACTCTGCAACGTCTTAACAACACCCAAATATTAGAGGTACAGAAACACAGTGAAGAATGGAGGCTGGATCAGAACCTCTGTCTCATTAATAAGGCTGTTGAAAACCCAAAACATTAGTAAAGGAGAGAATTAATCCCATCTCCTTCTTTCCCATTCCCAAAACACTCAAACATCTAAAAGGATCATTGGACATTATAAGTTTTTGAGGATGATGGATACCAAGGTTTGGTGAAACAGCTATTTCTTTATATTATCTTATAAAAGAATCTCAAGCAGCTTCGGCTTTCTTCCTGACATAGGAAACTAAAACTCAAATACCTTAACCAGATCAAACAAACCTGACAAAAAGCACTGGCCCTCAGTGTACCCACAAATAAGTCATTGCATCTTTATGTCTTATAAAAGAGAAGGGATAGCTTAGGAGTTTTAACTCAAGCTTGAGATTTGGCCCAGCAACCACTAAGTTACATAAACATAGAGCTTGACTGGGTGGCTAAAGCATAGACAAGTTGCCTCCAAGCAGTTGTAGTGGTGGCCTTGCATGTACTGCAAGCCAGTAAGTTGAGCATGGGGAATGTTCTAACTGATTACACCGCACGTAATGTAGGGTGTCCTCTAAAGGAAGTCTCTGGATAACAGATAATCACCTTGTCAAAGATCAAACTTTGCTTCTAAGGAATCTACAGTTCCATTAAAAAACCCATAACCTATTCCCTTTCCTTTAAGAAGTAACCTGAACAACCTGAACATGACTGTAAACAGGTAGTAGTGAAAATCTGCGCAGCCAGAAAGAACCTAAAACTAATTTCTTTAGAAAAATTGTCTGAACTTTCTTTAGAGGGAAAAGTTATTTTGTAAAACAAAATACCTCTAAGGCAGTGTGTGCAATATTCACCCTGATTTATATTCTTGACAGCATGCCTCTCTGACAAAGCACAAGACTTATTAGCTATGTTCATTGTCTTTTAACCATTTAGAGAAAAAGGCAGTGGACACATACTGATTCTAGGTATGCTTCTTCTGGCTCTCTATGCCCATGCCACTATTTAGGAAAAAAAAAAGACATTTCCTGACTGCTAATGGGTCTTACATTAAATATCACCAGGAAATAGATTAGTGTCCTCAGTTTTTCTTTTTTCTTCTTTCTTTCTGGGAAGTAGCAGTAATATATTACAGAGGACACCAGAAAATGATTAATAAAATAGCCAAAAGCAAAAAAATAGGTTGCCAAGTCAGTAGCAAAAAGAGCCCAAGTTCCCAGAATATTTAAAGCCTTTCTTATTTGGGAAAGCATTATAGAAGAAATAAAGCCTCAGTATCTCCCTGAAAAGATAGAATGGGCTACTTCTGGAGAATCAATTTTTCAGACTGTTGTATGGTTACAAATGAAAGGCAGAAAACCCCACTTGTCAGCATCCAGTCAGTGGAAAGTTCTTAATGTCCTTCAGCAAACTTTTCACTTTACAAAGAACATAACTTATCAACTGATCCAGAGAATGTTCTCCAGTAAAAATCTACTGAAAATAGTCAAACAGTTTGTAAATGCATGTGAAATATACCTTAAAAATAATCCCCCCAACAGATAGCTTCTCCTCCCTCAAGCTCAAAAAAAAATGGAAAGAAACCTAGGGGAAGGTTGGCAGATAGACTTTACCCATACACCCAAAACATAGAAAACCCAGTATCTGCTGGTATAGGTAGACAGTATCCCTAACTGTATGGAGGCATTTTTATGTAGAAGAGAAAAATCCTTTGAGGTAGTAAAAGAAATATTTTAAAAAATAATTCTTTGCTCTGGCCTCCCTCAGTGCCTCCAAAACAACAATGGCTCCTCATTTAAAGCAACCATTACCCAGTGAATTTCAAGAGCTCTGGGCATAGAATATAATCTTCATTGTGCCTGGAGACCACAGTCTTCAGAAAAGGGGAAGAAAATAAATTATATCATCAAGAGATTCCTCAGGAAGCTTCCTCAAGAAACTCACCTCTTTTCAATTACTCTTTTTCATGGCCTTAGTGACAGTGAAGTACATCGCTACAAAGCTGGCTTTGAACTACTTTAAATTTATTATGTATGACCTTCTCTTAACATTGATATTTTAGTAGATGAGTGACTTCTGAATTTTTTAAACATATAAACTCCCTGACCCCACTTTCAAGAGGAATGAAAACATCATCAGAAGTACAACCCCAAAAATCCAAATCCCCCTGTATTCAACCCAGAAGAGTTGGTACTGGGGTAGACTCCTCCTCTTTCTCTCCTGTCCCTACACCCCAGTTGGGAGGGACCTAACACTATTCTTCTCCTTACTCCCTCAGCTGTGAAGATGGTGGAAATTGACTCGTATTTATTTCACTCGAGTGAAAGCCTGGAAACCAGTGAAAGCAGTCCCTGACAGTCTAGAAGTATTATAATAAAAATCAGATAAAAATTATCTAATACACAATACTTATAGAAATTACATTTCTTACTTTACCTCTTGCAGTGGGGTTATAAACTGAAGCACCTTCTGAGTAAAGCATCAAACAGAGAGTCTCAATTACCATAATATTTTACTTAATCATTATCATTATAGCAAAAATAGTAGTGACAAATAAAAAATAAACATGAAGATTTTGTTACTGTCAGGTTTACTAACATTCACTGTTAGACGTAGCACTGACATGCACCCCAAGGTCCCTACAATATTAGCCATTGCCCATCTATACAAGAAGACAAACTTCTAGTTTTGCCTTGAAAAATTTTATCAGATTTAAAACAGACGCTTTAATTATATGAACTCAATATATTAGTATTCTATTGGTTAGTTTCACCTTTAACAATTAAGCACTTGAGAGGGATGAATGGAATCTTGTATGGAATCACTTTTAACTCCATCCAGAAAGACATATTTCTCGAATGTAAGACTCAAACTCTTAGGCTAGGTGAAGTTGATAGAATAATAGCAAACAACTTTCTCTGCTTTAGAGGCAAAAGGAACCACACTTGGAGAATCTCAAATATGGCAACGCCATCTTGTAATTGCTGAGAGTGTGGAGATCTGGAGAGTAAAAGTGCAGGTGACCTCAAACCTTGGGAAAGACTATGAAAAAACATTAACAATCTAACCAGACTTTTCCTTTGGTATTTCTAGTAGAAATTATTACCCATAGGCAGAAATGCTGCCTCTTTCCAACATTATTATCAGATAATAAATAATACTTGTTTCCAACCAAATGTGCCCACAGATGGAATCCTGAACGCTTGTATAATATTTTATAATGGTGGCATCCTACATGTATGCAGGAGAACTGGAAACATCTAAACTAATAACCCCTGTAATGAGGATTACCAAAGATACTGGGCAGAACATGCTGTGTCTCTGATTTTCTGAAACTCCACCTGCCAAAAAGATTATTCCAAACCAGCAGGCAGAATTCCAAACAACACACTGAGTAACTGTACTGAATATGGACATTACACCTCCTCTTAGACATAGGAGGAGTAAACTTACAAGGTACAAACTAAATCTAGCAAGAACCCTCACAAATGACAACTTAGAACCATCTGTTTAGGAAATGGGGCTTTACCTTCTCTGTGGCCCCTGGCTACATTTAATCCTCCCTAGACACTAAACGGGAACAGGTACTATAATAATAGTGACCCTGGTATGTTATTTTTATATTTCACCAAAATGACACCATCATCTGGTGACATTTTCAGTCGAGACTCTTTTTCAGAGTAGATTCTCTTGCACACACAAAAATAAATCTCTTGTCTCTATGCCGTCACATGGAGTTTTGAGGGAGAGAATTGAGGAAAATATGCACATTATAATCCTATACTGTGAAAATTAAAATTGAAACATGCAAGATCAGGAGGCCTATTTGATTTCTCTGTATACTTTTCTTGAAACACTAGCCATTAGTATTTTCATCATAATGCAACAAGGGTGGAAGTCAACTGTAGAAGCCACAGATGCCCAATGCCAATTGGTAAATCTCCTAGCCTCAGAGATAATGAAGAATAATTAAACTCTGGATGCCTTTTTGGCCTGAGTAGAGAATGCCTATGCACTATTCAATGAGACATGCTGCTTCTGAATCAGCACTTTTAGTCAGGTAAAAATATAAAGAAATAAATACAAGTGCTAAATGACCTACTTAAAATCGTCAGTGGACTGAGAGAAAGTGAGGACTCTGTTCCCGTTGGCTACGATCTTTTCTTAATAGATTTAAGTCTTCTCTTTAGACCTAACTAGCTTCTTTGCTAAGACCTCTTTTCCTTGTATATGTGGTGTTAATGTTTGGACCATCTATACTCAATGGTATAACCAGAATTATGTCTTCTCATCTAGTGGCTATCAAGCTCCAAATGTTGATGTGTGGATTCACTTATCTACTGAGGACACTTATACCAGCCCCAGAAGAGACCCTAACTTCTGTAACTTAGATAATACTTATCTTTAGAAAAAAGGAACCAGAAATATTGTCACTCCATTTTTTTTTAATTGAGATAAAGTCTCGCCATGTCACCCATGCTGGAGTACAATGACATGATCTCACCTCACTGCAACCTCTGCCTCCTGGGTTCAAGCAATTCTCCTGCCCCAGCCTCCGGGGTAGCTAAGATTATAGGTGTGTGTACCACACCTGGCTAATTTTTTGTACCTTTAGTAGAGAAGGGGTTTCACCATGTTGGCCAGGCTGGTCTCAAACTCCTTAGCTCATGATCCACCCTCCTCAGCCTCCCAAAGTGATCGGATTACAGGCATAAGGCACTGCACCCAGCCCATCACTCCACTTTCCTAACAGCAGTTAGTGTCTCCATTCCTGAGAGAGAAAATAAGAGAGAAATGTTAAGCAGTTGTGGTGGATTATTGGTAAAATATCTGGAAGCAGAGAAAAAGCCTGATAAAATCAAGCTGCAGGCACTGATAAGAAAACTGGATCAAACATTGGCCCATTTATATGTTTTGTTTGCTTGTTTGTTTGTTTGTTTTTAAAAAAGGCCAAACATAGACACACCTTTCTTGTTTCTAAGAAAAGCCTGCAAGTACTCTGGTGAGAGAGCAAGGTTCGACATAAAAATTCCTGTGTTCTTTGTGCAGACAGTAGGCTTCCAGGAAAGAATCTATTCTTTGTCTGTGGGCATGTACACAGTTGGCTTCAGTGGGTTATGCTGGGCACTTTTCTTTCTATTTTTGAACATGCTTTTCACTGGGAGCTGAGTTTCTATGAATCATCACTTCAGCCTCTGATTGGTCTCAGGCTAAGATCTCAGGCCAAGGTTTAACTTTACCTCCTTTTTGGCCCTGGGCCAAGGTGCCAGGCAAATCTGAGTGGTCTCCATGAATAATCATTTCAGCTCCCGGTTAGTTCTGGGTCAAACTCTGAGAAAATCTTAGTCATTCTGTTTCAAACCAGTCATCACATTTCTTCTCCTCTGAGCTTATACAAACCTCCAACCCTGCCTCATAGTGGGTAATCTACCTGGGCCCCACTCTCCACTGCAGAGAGCTTATTAAACTTTTACTCAAATGATACCCTTTGTGTTCAAGATTTTTAATTTTTTGGATGTGAGAAAACAAAATAAAAACCTGGGTGATACCTTACAAAAAGAATCTTCTACATTGTGTGTGGTGAATTTGTGAGACTGCAAGAGTACTAAAATTTACTTTTTTTTCAGGAGTAAAGCCCTGTTTATCCTGGAGCTAGTAACATAATCATGCCCTTGTGCATGAGAATATAAATCTCTTTTGTTTCAGAGTCTCAGGATTAAAAGAATCCCAGTTCTTCAGTACACACTTGAGAAAAGTGCAATCTAAAGATGGTTTATTATCTGGAAAAGGAAAAAGCAGAGGCATTCCTCCCTCTTCTTCCTTCTTTTCAAAGTGACCCAGGGAGAAGAGAGTGATAGAAAGGGCATCCCGTTTCTCCACTTTCTTTACATCCTCTGGGTCACAGCAACCATTAGAGGTGGAGCCTATAAATGCAAGCATAATTTTCACCCATGTATCTGGAGGGGCTAGTCTACAGAAGTATCATCCTCACTTTTCTGAGGCTAGAACTCTTTACCCTTCTGCATTTTCTAGACTCACTTGGATCATAAATCCCCCAGGGTATTCTAAGTTTGTGGGAGAGACTATGCAGCAGTTGGATTTCAGTGAGATCTCTTAACGGAGAGAGTGTTTCTAACACCCATTTCTGCCTTCTGTAGCTATGGCTCTAGTCAAACTATGGATTTCCAAATAATGAGCCAATTGACTACTACCCATGTAATTCTCCTTTTTAGTTGTTAAAATGCCAATGTAACTCATTTTAGAAAAACTATCTTAATAACATAAAAATAGAATGACTATCTTTCCTCTAATGGGGACAGCAGTTAGGCCTGAATTTTTCACTTAAGGTTTTTTTTTTTTTTCTGGGTTATTGAAAAAGAATTTTTTCTGTGTGTAAGTGAGGCATGGAGCCTGATTTTGAAAAAAGGAACAAAGAAGAGAGAGGTATTAGGAGACTAGAGGGTTTGTACAAAGAGCTAATACAATGAACACATATGGAGAAATAAATCCCACTAGGTGGTGCTATAAGGTTTGAATGTTGGTAAAAACTGACTTCAATTTTTTTTTTTTCCAGGCAGAAGTTAGAAAAAGAGAATTAGGGCTTTGTAGGCTGTTCGCATAGTATGGCTTCTACTACAAGAAAACGATCTTAAAAACCATGGAATATTTTATTTCTCATTTTCCCCACAAGGCCTTTCTACTGGATCCCTGATGTTCATAAGTCAGAGGAAGGTTTTCACTTACCTCTGCTTCCAGCTGTCCCCCAGTGAGGTGATGGTGCTCAGTGTGTGCTGAGCAGAACGCAGGTCTCGTCCTCTAAAGCAGCCGATGTTGAACACGTGGGAGCCTCCATGGTCAGAAAAGGTGGCATCACCTGCACCCTGTGGTTGTCATGATGTGGGAACCATGCGCCCCCTCCTGGCTTACCTGTGGCACCAAATAAAGGCAGAGTTCAGATTGTTCAGTGCCATCATTTTGGAAATTCAAATGGAAATGGAACTTATTCTTGTGTGCGTGTGTGTGTGTGTGTGTGTGTGTGTGTGTGTGTTTTAATTATGAAAGAATCATTAACTGGAAACCACAGGAAATAAAATGAAAACGGTTGCAAACTTTCCAACTTATATAAAGTTTTCCTTAACATAGTCCTGAGATTTAAAATATAAAAATATACAAATTCTTAAAGAAAGTACAAAAAGAAAGGTATGTGACCTTGGGTTTGGTCATGAGTTTTAACATATGACATCAAAGTCGATTCATAACAGAAAAAATAATTAGCAATATAGACTTTCTCATATTAAAAGTTTATTCTCTGTGAAAAAATCTAGTTCAGGAAATAGACAAGCCATAGCCGAGAAGAAATATCTTCAAAATACAGAACTAAGTAATAACTTTAACTCAAAATATACAAAGATTCTTGAAGCTCAACAATAATATAGACTACCCAATTAAAATAGTAAAGAGCTGAGCAGATCACATCACCGATGAATATACACAGATGGCAAGCAAACAGAAACATGTACAACTTCATATATCATTAAGGGACTAAAAATTACCACAACGAGATGGTGTGGCCTATCTATATTTGTTAGAACTGCTAAACCGTTTTTAAACCATGGCAAATGAATTGCTGGAGGAAAAAACAGCATTTCATTCATGGCTGCTGGTACAGAAATTATGAAAAATACAGAAATTATGAAAAATTATGAGAAATCATGATGGTACAGAAATTATGAAAGATGGTGTTGAAAACCAGAATATGCCCCCCAATATATGACTATAGGAAACCAGAATATGCCACCACAAAATAAGCCTCTTGGGTATAAAAATCATTTTGAACCTATTATTTTAAGAAAATGCAGACACAAGAGAACTGAAAACAGAGCAGAACTTATCCATTTGTAAAGAAAATGCACATCTACTAAGGAAATCTTCATTTTAATGGAGTCTCCCTCTCAGTACCAATAAGAGAATGATGACTAAATCAATAGAGGCTCTTCTTAAACACTTCCAGAAGCACCCTCACAAATATACCCAGAAATGGTACTTTACCAGCTATGTGTGTTCCCTTAATCTTGTAAACTGAACATCTAAAATTTACAATCACAATTTTTATGCCTGATTTGTGGCTAAAATTTTAGAACTAAAGCTATAAGATATCTGTTTAGATCTATCTGTATATGTGTTTGCATATGTTTTCTATAGGTGATATTTTCAAATCTCTGGATGGCATTGCAAACAATTTCTAAAATCATTTAAAAGTGTTCTAAATTGGCTTCAAAAAAGTAAGATATTTTAAGTAAAATATTAACAAAACACTCAGAAAATATAGAAACTGATCCAAATGTTTTTCAAGTGCAGATTATTTTGATAAACCTCAGGTAAGTTGCACTATTTTAATAATTTTGACTTACTAAAACAAGTATGTTTTCAGAATTTTCACTATTAAATAATAAAACAGACATACATTTTTATACTGTTTTGTTACCTGTCAAATAAACTAATATTATATTCAGCAGATATTTAAAATCTTTAAAGTTATATTTGATTTTAATTAAGTTGTCATTATTATGACCAACATTATTGTAGTAATAATTATGTTTTACAGTATATCTAATAATTTATAAAATCTTTCTAGTGATTTGCTACCTTAAAGTTATGGTAAGTAAAAGATGTTTATTAAATTTCTAGAATGTTTATAAATGAGATAAAATGCTAAACTTTTCATTATTCAACATAAATTGAACCATATATATTTGTAGCTTCTTATTTTCACAGAGAGACTGAAGATATTTTGATCTATTTAAAAACATTATTTTCTGCAAGAATGAGACATTGCCTCATTATTATAGAGAAAACATATGCCTCTAGAAATTATGAGATGGTGTATTTATAAATTATCAATCTACTATGGAATGCTAGCATTTGATAAACAGTATGAAATGAGCAGTATACAAAATATACAAATAAGAAAATATGCTTAAACTTTCTTGGTTATATTTGTATTGGTAAAATATTATCTTTTCAAAAACTTTATGGAATTC